>NC_000011.10:54828104-55131134 GCF_000001405.40 Homo sapiens | reverse complement strand
ATAGGCCTCAAAGTGTTCACAAATATGCCTTTGCAGATACTACAAAAAGACTTTTTCTAAACTGCTCAACCAAAAGAAATGTTCAGCTTTCTGAGATGAATGCAGACATCACAAAGAAGTTTCTGAGAAAGCTTCTGTTTAGTTTTTATATGAAGATGTTTCCTTTTTCACCATAAGCCTCAAGGAGCTCAAAAATGTCCCTTTGCAGTTTCTACAAAAATACTTTTTCCCAAATTGCTCAATCAAAAGAAAAGTTCAACTCTGTGAACTTGAAAGTTGAAAAAAAATTCAACTCTGTGAATGTGTCCCAGAGATTCTGGTATGTTGTATCTTTGTTCTCATTGGTTTCAAAGAACATCTTTTTTTCTGCCTTCATTTTGTTATGTACCCAGTAGTCATTCATGAGCAGGTTGTTTTGTTTCCATGTAGTTGAGCAGTTTTGAGTGAGTTTCTTAGTCTTGAGTTCTAATTTGATTGCACTGTGGTCTGAAAGACAGTTTGTTATAATTTCTGTTCTTTTACATTTGCTGAGGAGTGCTTTACTTCCAACTATGTGGTCAATTTTGGAATAGGTGTGGTGTGGTGCTGAAAAGAACGTATATTCTGTTGACCTGGGGTGGAAAGTTCTGTAGATGTCTATTATGTCTACTTGGTGCAGAGCTGAGTTCAATTCTTGGGTATCCTTGTTAACTTTCTGTCTCGTTGATCTGTCTAAAGTTGACAGTGGGGTGCTAAAGTCTCCCATTATTACTGTGTGGGAGTCTAAGTCTCTTTGTAGGTCACTAAGGACTCACTTAATGAATCTGGGTGCTCCTGTATTGGGTGCATATATATTTAGGATAGTTAGCTCTTCTTGTTGAATTGATCCCTTTACCATTATGTAATGGCCTTCTTTGTCTCTTTTGATCTTTGTTGGTTTAAAGTCTGTTTTATCAGAGACTAGGATTGCAACCCCTGTTTTTTTTTTTCCATTTGCTTGGTAGATCTTCCTCCATCCCTTTATTTTGAGCCTATGTGTGTCTCTGCATGTGAGATGGGTTTCCTGAATACAGCACATTGATGGGTCTTGACTCTTTATCCAATTTGCCAGTCTGTGTCTTTTAATTGGAGACTTTAGCCTATTTACATTTAAAGTTAATGTTGTTATGTGTGTATTTTGTCCTGTCATTATGATCTTAGCTGGTTATTTTGCTCATTAGGTGATACAGTTTCTTCCTAGCTTTGATGGTCCTACATTTTGGCATGTTTTTGCAGTGGTTGGTACCGGTTGTTCCTTTCCATGTTTAGTGCTTCCCTCAGGAGCTCTTTTAGGGCATGCCTGGTGGTGACAAAATCTCTCAGCATTTACTTGTCTGTAAAGTATTTTATTTCTCTTTCACTTATGAAGCTTAGTTTGGCTGGATATGAAATTCTGAGTTGAAAATTCTTTTCTTTAAGAATGTTGAATAGTGGCCCCCACTCTCTTCTGGCTTGTAGAGTTTCTGCCGAGAGATCAGCTGTTACTCTGATGGGCTTCCCTTTGTGGGTAACCCGACCTTTCTCTCTGGCTGCCCTTAAAATTTCTTCCTTCATTTCAACTTTGGTGAATCTGAGAATTATGTGTCTTGGAGTTGTTCTTCTCAAGGAGTATCTTTGGGTCGTTCTCTGTATTTTCTGAATCTGAATGTTGGCCTGCTTGCTAGATTGGGGAAGTTCTCCTGGATAATATCCTGCAGAGTGTTTTCCAACTTGGTTCCATTCTCCCCATTACTTTCAGGTACGTCAATCAGACATAGATTTGGTCTTTTCACATAGTCCCATATTTCTTGGAGGCTTTGTTCAGTTCTTTTTATTCTTTTTTATCTAAACTTTCCTGCTTGCTTCATTGCATTCATTTCGTCTTCCATCACTGATATCCTTTCTTCCAGTTGATTGCATCGGCTCCTGAGGCTTCTGCATTCTTCACGTAGTTCTTGAGCCTTGGCTTTCAGCTCCATCAGTTCCTTTAAGGACTTCTCTGCATTGGTTATTCTAGTTATCCATTCGTCTAATTTTTTTTGAAAGTTTTTAACTTCTTTGCCATTGGCCTGAATTTCCTCCTGTAGCTCAGAGTAGTTTGATCATCTGAAGACTTCTTCTCACAGCTCGTCAAAGTCATTCTCCATCCAGCTTTGTTCCATTGCTGGTGAGGTGCTGCATTCCTTTGGAGGAGGAGACGTGCTCTGCTTTTTAGAGTTTCCAGTTTTTCTGCTGTTTTTTCCCCATCTTTGGGGTTTTATCTACTTTTGGTCTTTGATCATGGTGACGTACAGAAGGATTTTTTTGTGTGGATGTCCTTTCTGTTTGTTAGTTTTCCTTCTAACAGACAGGACCCTCAGCTGCAGGTCTGTTGGAGTTTGCTAGAGGTCCACTCCAGACACTGTTTTCCTGGATATCAGCAGCGGTGGCTGCAGAACAGCGGTGGCTGTGGAACAGCAGATCTTAGTGAAACGCAAATTCTGCTGGCTGATTGTTCCTCTGGAGGTTTTGTCTCAGAGGACTACCCAGCTGTGTGAGGTGTCAGTCTGCCCTTACTGGGGGTTGCCTCCCACTTAGGCTGCTTGTGGGTCAAGGACCCACTTGAGGAGACAGTCGGCCCATTCTCAGATCTCCAGCTGCGTACTGGGAGAACCACTACTCTCTTCAAAGCTGTCAGAAAGGGCCATTTAAGTCTACAGGTGTTACTGCTGTCTTTTTGTTTGTCTGTGCATTTCCGCCCAGAGGTGGAGCCTACAGAGGCAGGCATGCCTCCTTGAGCTGTGGTGGGCTCCACCCAGTTCGAGCTTCCTGGCTGCTTTGTTTACCTAATCAAGCCTGGGCAATGGCAGGAGCTCCTTCCCCAGCCTCACTGCCACCTTGTAGTGTGAGCTCAGACTGCTGTGCTAGCAATCATTGAGACTCCGTGGGCGTAGGTCCCTCTGAGCCAGATGCGGGATATAATCTCCTGGTGTGCCGTTTTTTAAGCCCATTGGAAAAGCACTGTATTAGGGTGGGAGTGACCCGATTTTCCAGGTGCTGTCTGTCACCCCTTTCTTTGACTAGGAAAGGGAAATCCCTGACTCCTTGTGCTTCCCGAGTGAGGCAATGCCTCGCCCTGCTTTGGCTCACACACGGTGTGCTGCACCCACTGTCTGGCACTCCCTAGTGAGATGAACCCTGTACCTCAGATGGAAATGCAGAAATCACCCCTCTTCTGCATCACTCACACTGGGAGCAGTAGACTGGAGCTGTTCCTACTCAGCCATCTTGGTTCCACCCTTCTGTCTAGTTTTTCTGTGAAGATATTTCTTTTCAACCATAGGCTTCAAAGTGCTCACAAATAAATATCCCTTTGCAGATTCTACAAGAAGAGAGTTTCCAATGTGTTCAATGAAAAGAAACCTTTACTTCTGTGAAATGAATGCACACACTGTAAAGCAGTTTCTCACAAATCTTGTGTGCAGTTTTTATGTGAAGATACTTGCTTTTTCACCATAGGCCTCAAAGGACTCACAAATATCCCTTTGTAGATTCTACAAAAGACTGACCCCAAACTGCTGAATCAAAAGAAAGTTTCAACTCTGTGAGATGAAAACAAACATCACAAAGAATTGACTCAGAAAGCTTCTGTCTAGTTTTCATGTGAAGATATTTCATTTTTCACCATAGGCCTCAAACCACTCACAAATATCCCTTTACAGATTCTACAAAAAGACTGTTTCCAAACTGCTCAATTAAAAGAAACGTTCACCTCTGTGAGATGAATGCATGCATCATAAAGTAGTTTCCCAAAAGGCATCTGTCTAGTTTTTATGTGAAGATATTTCATTTTTCACCACAGGCCTCAAATCGCTCACAATTATCCCTGTGCAGATTCTACAAGAACAGAGTTTTCAAACTGCTCAGTGAAAAGAAACGTTTACCTCTGTGAGATGAATGCACACATCACAAGGAAGTTTCTCAGAAAGCTTCTGTCTAGTTTTATATGAAGATATTTCCTTTTTCCCCATAGGCCTCAAACCACTGGCAAATATCCCTTTGAAGATTCTACACAAAGACTGTTTCCAAACTGCTCAATGAAAACAATTTCAGCTCTGTGAGATGAATGCACACATCACAAAGAAGTTTCTCAGGAAGCTTCTGTCTACTTTTTATGTGAAGATATTTCCTATTTCACCACATGTCTCAAACCACTCGCAAATATCCATCTTCAGATTCAACAAAAAGACTGTTTCCAAGCTGCTCAAGGAAAAGAGAGTTAAAACTGTCTGAGATGAATATACACATCACAAAGTAGTTTCTCAGAAGGCTTCTCTGTAGTTTTTGTCTGAAGATATTTCATTTTTCACCATAGGCCTCAAAGCACTCACAAATATCCCTTTGAAGGCTCTACGAAAAGACTGTTTCCAAACTGTTCAATCAAAAGAAAGATTCAACTCTGTGAGATGAATTCACACATCTCAAAGAAGAAGTTTCTCAGAAAGCTTCTGTCTAGTTTTTATGTGAAGATATTTCCTTTTACACCATGGGCCTCAAACCGCTCACCAATATCCCATTGCAGATTCTACAAAACACTGTTTCCAAACTGCTCAATCAAAGAAAGTTTCAACTCTGTGAGATGAATGCACACATAACAAAGAAGTTTCTGAGAAGCTTCTGTCTAGTTTTTATATGAAGATAATTCCTTTTTCACCATAGGTCTCAAACCACTCACAGATATGCCTTTGTAGATTCTACAAAAAGACTGTTTCCAAACTGCTCAATCAAAAGAAAGGCTCAACTCTGTGAGATGAATGCACACTTCACAAAGTAGCTTCTCAGAAAGCTTCTGTCTAGTTTTTATGTGAAGATATTTCTTTTTTCACCATAGGCCTCAAAGTGCTCACAATTATCCCTTTGCAGATTCTACAAGTAGGGAGTTTCCAATCTGCTCAATGAAAAGAAAAGTTTACCTCTGTGAGATAAATGCACACATCACAAAGCAGTTTCTCAGAAACCTTCTTTCTAGTTTTTATGTGAAGTTATTTCCTTTTTCACCATATTCCCCAAAGGGCTCACCAATATCCCTTTCCAGTTTGCAAAAAGAAAAAATATTTCCAAAGTGCTCAATTAAAAGAAATATTCAGCTCTGTGAGACGAATGCACACATCACAAAGAAGATTCTCAGGAAGTTTCTGTCTAGTTTTTATGTGAGGATATTTCCTTTTTCACCACAGGCCTCAAACCACTCACAAATATTTGTTTCCACTTTCTACAGAAAGACTGTTTCCAAACTGCTCAATCAAAAGTGAGGTTCAACTGTGTGAGATGAATGCACCAATCACAAACAAGTTTTTCAGAATGCTTCTGTCTAGTTTTTATGTGGAGATTTTTCCTTTTTCACCATAGGCCTGAAACCACTCAAATATATCCCTTTGCAGATTCTACAAGAGCAGTGTTTCCAATCTGCTCAATGAAAAGAAACTTTGACCTCTTTGAGGTGAATCACACATCACAAAGCAGCTTTTCAGCAACCTTCTGTCTAGTTATGTGAAGATATTTACGTTTTCACCATAGTCCTCAAAGGGCTTACAAATATCCCTTTGCAGAATCTACAAAAAGGCTGTTCCCAAACTGCTCAAACAAAGAGGTCGTTCAATTCTTTGAGATGAATGCATATATCACAAAGAATATTCTCAGAAAGCTTCTGTCTAGTTTTTCTGAAGATATTTCCTTTTTCACCATAGGCCTCAAAACACTCACAAATATCACTTTGCAGATTCTACAAGAACAGAGTTTTCACTGTTCAATGCAAAGAAACATTTACCTCTGTGAGATGAATGCACGCATCACAAAGCAGTTTCTTAGAAAGCTCCTTGCTAGTTTTTATGTGAAGATATTTTCTTTTTTACTGTAGGCCTCAATGCACTCACAAATATCTCTTTGCAGATTCCACAAAAAGACTGTTTCCAAACTGCTCAATCATAAAATGGTTCAACTCGGTGGCATAAATTCATGCATCACAAAGAAGTTTCTCAGAAATTTTCTATTTTTTATGTGAAGATAATTCCTTTTTTAACGCAGGCATCAAAGCACTGAAAAATATCCATTTTCAGATTCTACAAAAATAGTTTCCAAGCTGCTCAATGAAAAGAAACACTGATCTCTGTGAAATGATTGTACACATTATAAAGCAGTTTATCAGAAGCTTTCTTTCCAGTTTTTCTGTGAATACATTTCCTTTTTCTCCAAAGGCCTCAAAGCGCTCACAAATTTCCCTTTGCAGATTCTTCAAAAAGACTGTTTGCAAACTGCTCAATCAAAAGAATGTTTCAACTCTGGGAGTTGAATGCACACATCACAAAGCAGTCTCTCATAAAGATTCTGTCTAGTTTTTATGGGAAGATATTTCCTTTTTCACCATAGGCCCCAAAGTGCTCACAAATGTCCCTTTGCAGATTCTTGAAGGACAGAATTTCCGAACTGCTCAATGAAAGGAAATCTTTACTTCTCTGAGATGAATGGAAACAACACAAAGCAGTTTCTCAAAGAACTTCTTTCTAGCTTTTATGTGAAAATGTTTCCTTTTTCACCATAGTCCCCAAAGTGCTCACAAATATCCCTTTGATGATTCTAGAAGGACAGAGTTTCCAAACTGCTCAATGAAAGGAAACGTTTACTTCTCTGAGATGAATAGACACAATACAAAACAGTTTCTAAGAAAGCTTCTCTCTAGCTTTTATGTGAAGATATTTCCTTTTTACCACAGGCCTCAAAGCTCTCTCAAATATTCCTTTGCAGATAGTACAAAAGGACTGTTTCCAAATTGCTCAATCAAAAGTTAGGTTTAACTCTGTGAGATGAATGGACACTTCACAAAGAAGTTTCTGAGAAACCTTCGGTCTAGTTTTTATGTGAAGATATCTCCTTTTTCACCATAGACCTCAAAGTGCTCACAAATATCCCTTTGCAGATGCTACAAGAACACAGTTTCCAAATGGACCAATGAAAACAAATGTTTACCTCGGTGAGATGAATGCACACATCACAAAGCATTTTCTCAGGAACCTTCTTTCTCCTTATTATGTGAAGATATTTCCTTTTCACCATAGGCCTCAAAGCGCTCACAAATATCCCTTTGCAGATACGACAAAAAGACTGTTTCCAAACTGCTGAACCAAAAGAATGGTTCAACACTGTGAGATGAATGCACACATCTAAGAAGTTTCTCAGAAAGCTTCTGTCTAGTTTTTATGAGAAGATATATCCTTTTTCAACATAGCTCTCAAAGCGCTCAGAAATATCCCTTTGCATGTTCTAGAGAAACAGAGTTTCCAAACTACTCGAAGAAAAGAAATGTTTGCCACTGTGAAATGAATGCACACCTCACAAAGTACTTTCTAGAAACCTTCTTTCTAATTTTTATGTGAATATACTTCCTTTTTCACCATAGGCCTCAAAGCACTCACAAATATACATTTGCAGATTCTGCAAGAAGAGAGTTTCCAAAGTGCTCAATGAAAAGGAACCTTTAGCTCTGTGACATGTAGGCACATATCACAAAGCAGTTTCTCAGAAACCTTCTTTCTATTTTTTATGTGAAGTCATTTCCCTTTTCACTGTAGGCCTGAAAGCACTCACAAATATCCCTTTGCAGATTCTGCAAAAACAGAGTTTGCAAACTGTTCAATGAAAGGAAACGTTTACCTCTGTGAGATGAATGCACACATCACAAAGAAGTTTCCCAGAAACCTTCTGTCTAGTTTTTATGTGAAGATATTACCTTTTTCATCATAGGCCTCAAAGCACTCATAAATAGACCTTTTTGGATTCCACAAAAAGATATTTCCAAACTGCTCAATGAAACGAATGGTTCAACTGTTTGAGATGAATGCACACATCTCAAAGTAGCTTCTCAGAAAGCTTCTTTATAATTTTTTTGTGATGATATTCCCTTTTTCACCATAGGACTCATATCACTTACAAATATCACTTTGCATATTATAGGAGAGTTTCCAAACTGCTCAAAGAAAAGAAACTTTTACCTCTGTAAGATGAACACAGACATAACAAAGCAGTTTCTCAGAAACCTTCTTTCTAGTTTTTACATGAAGATATTTCCTTTTTCACCATAGGCCTCAAAGAGCTCACAAATATCCCTTTGCAGATTCTAGAAGGACAGACTTTACAAACTGCTATATGAAAGGAAACCTTTTTTTCTGTGAGATGAATGGCCATACCACAAAGCAGTTTCTCAGAAAGCTTCTTTCTAGTTTTTATGTGAAGTTATTTCCTTTTTCACCATAGGACTCAAAGAGCTCCCATGTATCCCTTTGCAGATTCTACAAAAAGACTGTCCCCAAAATGCTGAATCAAAAGAATGGTTCAATTCTTGGAGATGAATGCACACATCACAAAGAAGTTTCTCAGAAAGCTTCTGTCTAGTTTTTATGGGAACATATTTAATTTTTCACTATAGGCCTCAAAGCACTCACAAATATACCTTTGCAAATCTTACAAAAACACAGTTTTCAAATTCCTCAATGAAAATAATGTTTCAACTCTGTGAGGTGAATGCACACATAACAAAGCAGTTTCTCAGAAAGCTTCTTTCTGGTTTTTATTTGAAGATATTTCCTTTTTCACCATAGGTCTCACAGAGCTCAAAAATATGCCTTTGCAGATTTTAGAAGAACAGAGTTTCCAAACTGCTAAATGAAAAAATGGTTCAACTCTGTGAAATGAATGCACACATCACAAAGCAGTTTCTCATAAAGCCTTTTTCTATTTTTTATGTGAAGATATTTCCTTTTTCACCATAGGCCTCAAAGTGCTGCCAAATATCCCTTCATAGATACCACAAAAAGTGTATTTCCAAAGTGCTCATTCAAGAGAATGGTTCAATCTTGTGAAATGAATGCACACATAACAGAAGATGTTTCTCAGAGAGTTTCTATCTAGTTTTTTTAAGAAGATATTTCTTTTCAACATAGACCTCAAAGCTCTCAAAAATATACCTTTGCAGATTCTACAAAAAGACTGTTTCCAAACTGCTCCATCAAAAGAATGGTTCAACTCTGTGAGATGAATGCACACATCACAAAGAAGTTTCTCAGAAATCTTATATATGGTATTTATGTGAAGATATTTCCATTTTCACCATAGGCCTCAAAGAGCTCCCAAATATCCCTTTGCAGATTCTACAAGAACAGATTTTCCAAACTGCTCAATGAAAGGAAACGTTTACTTCTGTGAAATGAATGGACACATCACAAAGCAGTTTCTCAGAAAGCTTCTGTCCAGTTTCTATGTGAAGATGTTTCCCTTTTCACCATATGCTTCAAAGCACTCACAAATATCCCTTTGCAGATCCTACAAGAAAAGAGTTTCAAAACTGCTCAATGAAAAGAATGTTTCAAGACTGTGACACTAATGCACACATCAGAAAGCAGTCTGTATTAAATCTTCTTTCCAGTTTTTATGTGAAGATATTTCCTTTTTCACCATAGACCTCAAAGCGCTCAGTAATATTCCTTTTCATATTCTTCAAAAAGACTGATTCCAAACTGCTCAATCAAAGGAATGTTTCATCCCTGTGAGATGAGATGAATGCACACATCCTGAAGATGTTTCTCTGAATGGTTCTGTCTAGTTTTTATGAGTAGATATTTCCTTTTTCACTACAGGCCTCAAAGCTCTCACAAATATCCGTTTGCAGATTCTAGAAGGACAGAATTTCCAAACTGCTCAATGACAGGAAAATTTACTTCAGTGAGATGAATTGACACATCACAAAGCAGTTTCTCAGAAAGCTTCTTTCTACTTTTTATGTGAAGATATTTCCTTTTTCACCATGGGACTCAAAGTGCTCACAAATATCCCTTTGCAGATTCTAGAGGAACCGAGTTTCCAAACTTCTCAATGAAAAGAAACGTTTACCTCTGTGAGATGAATGCACACATCATAAAGCAGTTTCTCAGAAAACCTCTTTCTAGTTTTTCAGGAACCTTCTTTCTATTTTTTTGTGATGATATTTACCTTTTCACCATAGGCCTGAAAGCACTCACAAATATCCCTTTGCAGATCCTACAAAAACACTGTTTCCATACTAATCAATGAAAAGAATGGTTCATCTCTGTGAAATGAATGCACACATCATAAAGAAGTTCTCAGAATGCTTCTGTCTTATTTTTATGTGAAGATATTTCCTTTTTGACACTAGGCCTCAATGCACTCACAAGTATCTCTTTGCAGATTCTAGAGAAACAGAGTTTCCAACGTGCTCAGTGAATAGAAAAGTTTACCTCTGTGAGATGAATGCACACATAACTAAGCAGTTTCTCAGAAAGCTTATTTCTTTTTTTCATGTGAAGATGTTTCCTTTTTCAACATAGGCCTCAAAGCACTCAACAATATGCATTTGCAGACACTGCAAAAAGGCAGTTTCCAAGCTTCTCAATAATTAGAATAGTTCAACTGTGTGATAATAATACAAACATCACAAAGAAGTTACTCACAAACTGCAATCTAGTTATTATGTGAAGATATCAGCTTTTTAACCATAAGCATCAAAGTGCTCACAAATATCCCTTTATAGATCTTAAAAAAGATGTTTTCCAAACTGCTCAATCAAAAAAATGTTTCAACTCTTGAAATGAATGCACATGTCACAAAGAAATTTCTCAGAAAGCTTCTACCTAGTTTTATGTGAAGATATTTCCTTTTTCACCATAGGTCTCAAAACACTCACAAATATCCCTTTTCAGATCTACAAGAAGAGAGTTTCCAAATTGCTCGATGAAAACAGACATTTACCTCTGTGAGATGAATGCAAACATCTCAAAGAAGTTTCTCAGAATGCTTCTGTCTAGTTTTAATATGAAGATATTTCCTTTTTCACCATAGGCCACAAGTCACTGACAAATATCCCCTTGGAGAATCTACAAAAAGACTGTTTCAAAACTTCTTAATCAAAAGAAAGGTTCAACTCTGTGCAATGAATACACACATCACAAAGAAGTTTCTCAGAAAGCTTCTGCCTCGTTTTTTTATGAAGATATTTCTTTTTTCACCATAGGCCTCAAACTGCTCACAAATATCCATTTGCAGATTGTACAAAAAGACTGCTTACAAATTACTCAATCAAAAGTGAGTTTCAACTCTGTGAGTTGAATGCACACTTCAAAAGAAGTTTCTCAGAAACAGTCTATCTAGTTTTTATGTGAAGATATTTCCTTTTTCACCATAGGACACAAACTGCTCACAAATATCCCTTTGCAGATTCTACAAAAAGACTCTTTTTAAACTGCTCAATCAAAAGAAACTTTAAACTCTGTGAAATGAGTGCGTGCATCACAAAGAAGTTTCTCAGAAAGAATCTATCTAGTTTTTATGTGAAGATATTTCCTTTTTCACCATAGGCCTCAAACCGCTCACAATTATCCCTTTGAGGATTCTGCAAGAACAGAGTTTCCAATCTGCTCAATGAAAAGAAAGGTTTACCTCTGTGAGATGAATATATACATCATAAAGCAGTTTCTCAGAAACCTTCTTTCTAGTTTTTATGTGAAGGTATTTCCTTTTTCACCATAGCCCTCAAAGGGCTCAGCAATATCCCTTTCCAGATTCTAAAAAAAAAGTTTCCAAAGAGCTCAATCAAAAGAAAGGTTCAACTCTGTGAGATGAATGCACAGTTCACAAAGAAGATTCTCAGAAAGCTTCTGTCTAGTTTTTATGTGAAGATACTTCCTTTTTCACTATAGGCCTCAAACCAGTCACAAATATCCATTTGCAGATTCTACAAAAAGACTGTTTCTGAGCTGCTCAATCAAAAGTGAGGTTCAACTCTGTGAAATGCATGCACATTTCACGAAGAAGTTTCTCAGAAAGCTTCTGTCTAGTTTTTATGTGACGATATTTCCTTTTTCACCCTAGGCCTAAAATTGCTCACAAATATCCCCTTGCAGGTTCTACAAAAAGACTTTTTCCAAACAGCCCAATCAAAAGAAACGTTCAGATCCGTGAGATGAATACACACATCACAAAGAAATTTCTGAGAAAACTTCTATCTAGTTTTCATGTGAAGATATTTCCTTTTTCACCAGAGGTCTCAAAGCACTCACAAATATCCCTTTGCAGATTCTACAAGAACAGATTTTCCAATCTGCTCCATGAATAGAAACATTTACCTCTGTGAGATGAATGCACATATCACAAAGCAGTTTTTCAGAAACCTTATGTCTACTTTTTTATGTGAAGATATTTCCATTTTTAATGTAGGCCTCAAAGGGCTCACAAATATCCCTTTGCAGATTCTACAAAAAGACTGATTCCAAACTGCTCAATCAAAGGACTGGATCAACTCTGTGAGATGAGTGCATACATCACGAAGAAGATTCTCAGAAAGCTGCCATCTAGTTTTTGTTCAGATATATCCTTTTTCAACATAGGCCTCAAAACACTCACAAATATCGCTTTGCAGATTCTACAAGAACAGTGTTTCCAATCTGCTCAATGCAAAGAAACATTTACCTCTGTGAGGTGAATGCACACATCACAAAGCAGCTTCTCAGAAAGCTCCTTGCTAGTTTTATGTGAAGATATTTCCTTTATTACCATAGGCCTCAAGGGGCTCACAAATATCCCTTTTCAGGTACCACAAAAAGAATGTTTCCAAACTGCTCAATCAAAAGTGTGGTTCAAACCTGTGGGATGAATGCACACATCACAAAGAAGTTTCTCAGAAATTTTTGTCTGGTTTTTATGAGAAGATTATTCCTTTTTCATCACAGCCCTCAAAGAGCTCACAAATGTCCCTTTGCAGATTCTAGAATTACAGTGTTTCCAAACTGCTCAATGAAAGGAAACGTCTACTTCTCTGACATGAATGTACACAACACAAAGCAGTTTCTCAGTAAGCTTCTTTCTAGTTTTTATGTGAAGATATTTCCTTTTCCACCATCAGCCTCAAATCACTCACAAATATCCCTTTGAAGATTCTACAAGAACAGTTTCCATAGTGCTCAATCAAAAACATTGTCCAACTCTGTGAGATGAATGCACACATCACAAAGAAGTTTCTCAAAAAGCTTCTGTCTAGTTTGTATGTGAAGATATTTCCTTTTTCACCAAAGGCCTCAAAGCACTTATGAATATCCCTTTGCAGAGTCTACAGAAAGACTGTTTCCAAGCTGCTCAATCAAAAGAATGTTTCAACTCTTTGACATGAATGCACACATCACAAAGAATTTTCTCAGAAAGTTTCTGTCTGCTTTTTATGTGAAGATATTTCCTTTTTCACCATAGGCCTCCAAGTCTTCTGAAATATCCTTTCATAGATTATAGAAGGACAGAGTCTCCAAAATGCTGAATGAAAAGAAACGTTTATTTCTGTGAGGTGAATGGACACATCACAAGGCAGTTTTTCAGAAAGCTTCTGTCTGGTTTTTATGTGAAGATATTTCCATTTTCACCATAGGTCTCAAAGTGCACCTCAAATATATCCTTTTGCAGATTCTACAAAAAGACTGTTTCCAAACTGCTCAATCAAAAGCATTGTATGGTTCAAATCTGTGAAATTAAAGCACACACTAGAAAGCAGTTTTTCAGAAACATTCTGTCTAGTTTTTATGTGAAGATATTTCTTTTTCACCATAGGCCTCAAAGCGCTCACAAATATCCCTTTGAAGATTCTACAAAAAGAATGTTTCCACACTGCTCAATCTAAATAATCCTTCCACTCTGACATGAAGGCACACATTACAGAGTTTCTCAGAAACCTTCTGGATAGTTTTTATGTGGAGATATTTCCTTTTTCAGCATAGGCCTCAAATGACTCAAAAATATCCCTTTGCAGATTCTACAAAAAGACTCCTTCCAAAGTGATCAATCGAAAGAATGTTTCAACACTGTGAGATGAATGCAGACATCACAAAGAACTTTCTCAGAAAGCTTCTGTGTAATTTTTATGTGACGATATTTCCTTTTTCACCATAGGCATCGAAGTGCTCACAAATATCTGTCTGCACATACTGGAAGAACAGAGTTTCCAAAGTGCTTAATGAAAAGAAACATTTAACTCTTTGAGATGAATGCACACATCACAAAGCAGTCTCTCAGGAAGCTTCTGTCTGGTTTTTATGTGAAGATATTTCCTTTTTCACCATAGGCCTTAAAGCGCTCAGAAATATCCCTTTGCAGATTCTACAAGAACAGATTTTCCAAACTGCTCAATGAAAAGAAACGTATATCTCTGTGAGATGAATACAAACTCACAAAGCAGTATCTCAGAAACATTTTTCCTAGTTTTTATGTGATGATATTTCCTTTATCAGTATAGGACTCAAAGTGCTCACAAATATCCCTTTGCAGATTCTACCAAAAGATGGTTTCCAAACTGCTCAATCAATGTGATTGTTCAACTCTGTGACGTGAATGCACACATCACAAAGAAGTTTCTCAGAAAGCTTCTGTTTAGCTTTGCATTCATCTCACAGAGGTAAATGTTTCTTATCATTGAGCAGTTTGGAAACTCTGTTCTTCTAGAATCTGCAAAGGGATATTTGTGAGCCCTTTGAGGCCAATGGTGAAGAAGTAAATATCTTTACATAAAAACTAGACAAAAGCTTTCTGAGAAACCTCTATATGATGTGTGCATTCGTCTCATAGAGGTGAAAAATTCTTTTGATTGAGCATTTTGGAAACAGTCTTTTTGTGAGATCTGCAAAGGGATATTTTGAGCACTTTGAGGCCTATGGTGAAAAAGGAAATATCTTCACACAAAAAAGTAGACAGAAGATTTCTGAGAAACTTCTTTTTGATGTGTGCATTCATCTCACGGAGTTGAACCATTCTTTTGATTGAGCAGTTTGGAAATAGTCTTTTCATAGAATCAGCAAAAGGAATTTGGGGAATGGTTAAAGGCCAGTGGAGAAAAAGGAAATATCTTCACATAAAAACTAGAAGGAAGCTTTGTGAGAAACTGCTTTGGACGTGTGCATTCATCTCACAGAGTTGAACCATTCTTTTGATTGAGCAGTTTGGAAAGAGTCTTTTTGTAGAATATGTGGAGGGACATTTGTGACTGCTTTGAGGTCTATGGTCAAAAAGCAAATATCTTCACAAAAACTAGAGAGAAGCTTTCTGAGAAACTGCTTTGTGATATGTGCATTCATTTCACAGAGTTGAGCCATTCTTTTCATTGAGAAGTCTGGAACCACTCCTTTTTAGAACTGGCTAAGGGATATTACAGAGCCTTTTGAGGCCTATGGTGAAAAAAGAAATATGTTCATACAACATCTAGACAGAAGCTTTCTGAGAAACATATTTGTGATGTGTGCATACATATCACAGAGTAGAAACATTGTTTTGATTGAGCAGTTTGACAACCATCTTTTCGTAGAATCAGCAAAGGGATATTTGGGATCATTATGAGTCCTACGATGAAAAAGGAAATATCTTCACGTAAAAACTAGACAGAAGGTTTCTGAGAAGCTTCTTTGCGTGGTGTGCACTCATTACACAGAGTTGAAGCATTCTTTTGTTTGAGCTGTTTGGAAACAACCTTTGTGTAGAATGTGCAAAAGGATATTTTCATGCACTTTTAGGCATATGGTGAAAACGAAATATGTTCACATAAAAACTAGACAGAAGCTTTCTGAGAAAGTTCTTAGTGATGTGTGCATTCCTCTCACAGAGTTGAGCCATTCTTTTGATTGAGCAGTTTGGATACCATCTTTTATAGAATCTGCAAATGGATATTTGGGAATGCTTGAGAACCTCTTCGCAGATCCTAAGAAGAAACTCTTTCCAAACTGCTGAATGAAAAGAAGGGCTTAACTCTGCTAGATGAATGCACACATCACTAAGAACTTTCTCAGATAACTTGCTTCTAGTTTTATCCTTGGATATTCACTTTTATTTCATTGGCTACAATGAGCTCCCAAATGTCCATTCACAGGATCGAGAGAAACAGCATTGCCAAACTGCTGAATGAAAAGATAAGTTTATCTCTGTGAGATGAATGCACACATCGTGAATTGGTTTCTTAGATAATTTTCATCAAGTTTTTTCCTGCAATATTTCCTTTTTTCCATTGGCCTTAACTTTGTCAGATGAATGAACACATCACCTTATTAGTTTCTCATAAAGCTTCTTGGTAGTTTTTATCTGAAGATATTTCCTTTTTCACCAGGGGCCTCAATGAACTACCAAATATCTCTTCGTAGATCCTAAGTGATCTGTGTTTCCAAACTGCTGAATGAAAAGAAAAGTTTAACTCTGTGAGATGAATGCACACATCACAAAGCCGTTTCTCAGATAGCTTCCTTCTAGTTTTAAAACTGGGATATTTGCTTTTCCACCATTGGTTTCAGTGAGCTCCCAAACGTGCATTCACAGAATGGACACAAACAGGGTTTCCAAACTTCTGAATCCAAAGAAAGGTTTAACTGTCTGAGATGAATGCACACATCATGAATTGGTTTCTTATGTAACTTCCTTCTAGTTTTTATCCTGGGATATTCGCTTTTACCCCATCAGCCTCAATGAGGTCCCAAATGTCCATTCACAGAATCGACAGAAACAGGGTTTCCAAACTGCTGAATCTAAAGAAAGGTTTAACTTTGTCAGATGAATGAACATATCACAAAGCAGTTTCTCAGAAAGCTTCTTTCAAGTTTTTATCTGAAGCTATATCCTTTTTCACCATAGGCCTCAATGCGCTAAAAAATGTCTCTTTGCAGATTATATGAAAACAGTGTTACCAAACTGCTGAATGAAAAGAAAGGTTTAACTCTGTGAGATGAATGCACACATTATGAATTGGTGTCTCAGATAACTTCCTTCTAGTTTTCATCCTACAATATTCGCTTTTTCTCCATTGGCCTCAATGAGGTCTCAAATGTCCCTTCCAAGAATGTACAAAAACTGTGTTTCCAAACTGCTGAAACAAAAGACAGGTTGAACTCTCTGAGATGAATGCACACGTGTGAAACGAGTTTATCATTAAGCCCCTCAAGTATTTATCGGAAGATATTTCCTTTTTCACCATTGATCTCCATAGTCTTCCAGATGTCTCTTGGCAGATTCTAAGAAAACAGTGTTTCTAAACTGCTGAATGAAAAGAAGGGTTTAACTCTGTGAGCTGAATGCACACAACGTGACTCACTTTCTCAGATAAATTCTTTCAAGTTTTTATCCTGGGATATTCTCTTTTTCACTTTTGGCCTCAATGTGCTCCAAAATGTCCATTGGCAAAATGAACACAAACAGCATTTCCAAACTGCTGAATCCAAAGAAATGTTTATCTCTGTGAGATGAAAAACACTTCAGAAAGCAGTTTCTCAGAAAGTTTCTTCCTAGTTTTTATGTGAAGATATTTCCTTTTTCACCTTAGGCCTCAAGGCACTGCCAAATATCCTATTGCAGTTTCTACAAACACAGTTTTTCCAAACTGCTGAAAGAAAAGAAAGGTTTACCTCTGCTAGATGAATGCACACATCACTAAGAAGTTTCTCATGTAACTTCCTTCTAGTTTTTCTCCTGGGATATTCACTTTTTTGCCATTGGCTTCAATGAGTTCCCAAATATCCTATCACAGGATCAACAGACAGAGTGTCTCCACACCGCTGAATGCAAAGAAAGGTTTAATTCTGTGAGATGAATGCACCCATCACGAACTGGTTTCTCAAATAATCTCCTTGTAGTTTTGGTCCTGGGATACTCGCTTTTTCACCATTGGCCTCCATGATTTCCCCAATGAATATTCCAAGAATGGACCAAAACTCTGTTTCCAAACTGCTGAATACAAAGACAGATATAACTCTCTGAGATGAATGCACACATCTGGAACAAGTTTCTCTTTTAGCTTGTTTCTAGTTTTTATCTGAAGATATTTCCTTTTTCACCATGGGCCTCCATGAGCTACCAAATATCTCTTGGCAGATACTAAGACAACAGTGTTTCTAAACAGCTGAATGAAAAGAAAGACAA
This sequence comes from Homo sapiens, assembly GCF_000001405.40. Lineage (NCBI taxonomy): Eukaryota > Metazoa > Chordata > Mammalia > Primates > Hominidae > Homo > Homo sapiens. Next base: position 55,113,167 of record NC_000011.10, on the reverse strand, counting down.
CTCTGTGAGATGAATGCACACATCACTAAATGGTTCCTGAGATCAATTCCTTCAAATTTTTTATCCTGGGAGATTTGCTATTTCACCATTGGATTTAGTGAGCTCCAAAATATCCATTACTAGAATGGACAAAAGCAGTATTTCCAAACTGCTGAAACCAAGGAAAAGTTTAACTCTGTAAGATGAATGAACACATCACAAAGGGGTTTCTCACAAAGCTTCTTGCTAGTTTTTATCTGAAGGTATTTCCTTTTTCAACATGGGCCTCCATTCACTACAAAATATCTCTTGGCAGATTCAAAGACAACAGTGTTTCTAAAGAGATGAATGAAAAGAAAGACCTACCTCTGTGAGATGAGTGCCCACATCACTAATCGGTTTCTGAGATCAGTTCCTTCAAGTTTTTATCCTGGGAGTTTCATCATTTTGCCATTAGATTCAGTGAGCTCCCAAATATCCATTAGCAGATGGACAAAAGCAGTATTTCCAAACTGCTGAATCCAAATAAAAGTTTAACTCTGTGAGATGAATGAACACATCACAAAGCAGTTTCTGAGAAAATTTCTTGCTAGTTTTTATTTGAAGATATTTCCTTTTTCACCATTGGCCTCAATGTGCTTCCAAATATCTCTTCACAGATTCTAAGAATTCAGTGTTTCCAAACTGCTGAATGAAGAGAAATCTTTAACTCTGGGAGATGAATGCACACATCACAAGGCCATTTCTCAGATATCTTCCTTCTAGTTTTAATACTGGGATATTCACTTTTTGACCATTGGCCTCAAACAGCTCCCAAACGTCCATTCACAGAATTGGCACAAGCAGGGTTTCCAAACTGTTGAATCCAAAGAATTTTAACTCTCTGAGATGAATGCACACATCACGAATTTGTTTCTCAGGTAACTTCCTTCTAGTGTTTATAATGTGATTTTCACTTTTTCCCCATCGGCCACAATGAGCTCCCAAATGACGATTCACAGAATCGACAGAAACAGGGTTTCCAAAATGCTGAATCCAAAGAAAGTTTTAACTTTGTGGGATGAATGAACTTATCACAAAGCAGTTTCTCAGAAAGCTTCTTTCGAGTTTTTTTTCTGAAGATATATCCTTTTTCACCAAAGTCCTCAATGTGCTAAAAAATATCCCTTTGCAGGTTCTAAGAATCAGTGTTTCCAAACTGCTGAATGAAAAGGAAGGTTTAACTCTGTGAGATGAATCCATACATCACGAATTGGTTTCTCAAGTAACTTCCTTTAAGTTTTCATCCTGTGATATTCATTTTTTTCTTTTTTTTTTCTTTTATTATTATACTTTAAGTTTAGGGTACATGTGCACATTGTACAGGTTAGTTACATATGTATACATGTGCCACATTGGTGCGCTGCACCCACTAACTTGTCATCTAGCATTAGGTATATCTCCCATTGCTACCCCTCCCCCCTCCCCCAATCCCACAACAGTCCCCAGAGTGTGATGTTCCCCTTCCTGTGTCCATGTGATCTCATTGTTCAATTCCCACCTATGAGTGAGAATATGCGGTGTTTGGTTTTTTGTCCTTGTGATAGTTTACTGAGAATGATGATTTCCAATTTCATCCATGTCCCTACAAAGGACATGAACTCATCATTTTTTATGGCTGCATAGTATTCCATGGTGTATATGGGCCACATTTTCTTAATCCAGTCTATCATTGTTGGACATTTGGGTTGGTTCCAAGTCTTTGCTATTGTGAATAGTGCTGCAATAAACATACATGTGCATGTGTCTTTATAGCAGCATGATTTATAACCCTTTGGGTATATACCCAGTAATGGGATGGCTGGGTCAAATGGCATTTCTAGTTCTAGATCCCTGAGGAATCGCCACACTGACTTCCACAATGGTTGAACTAGTTTACAGTCCCAACAACAGTGTAAAAGTGTTCCTATTTCTCCACATCCTCTCCAGCACCTGTTGTTTCCTGACTTTTTAATGATTGCCATGCTAACTGGTGTGAGATGGTAACTCATTGTGGTTTTGATTTGCATTTCTCTGATGGCCAGTGATGATGAGCATTTTTTCATGTGTTTTTTGGCTGCATAAATGTCTTCTTTTGAGAAGTGTCTGTTCATATCCTTCGCCCACTTTTTGATGGGGTTGTTTTTTTTTTCTTGTAAATTTGTTTGAGCTCATTGTAGATTCTGGATATTAGCCCTTTGTCAGATGAGTAGGTTGCAAAAATTTTCTCCCATTTTGTAGGTTGCCTGTTCACTCTGATGGTAGTTTCTTTTGCTGTGCAGAAGCTCTTTAGTTTAATTAGATCCCATTTGTCAATTTTGGCTTTTGTTGCCATTGCTTTTGGTGTTTGAGACATGAAGTCCTTACCCATGCCTATGTCCTGAACGGTATTGCCTAGGTTTTCTTCTAGGGTTTTTATGGTTTTAGGTCTAACGTTTAAGTCTTTAATCCATCTTGAATTAATTTTTATATAAGGTGTAAGGAAGGGATCCAGTTTCAGCTTTCTACATATGGCTAGCCAGTTTTCCCAGCACCATTTATTAAATAGGGAATCCTTTCCCCATTGCTTGTTTTTGTCAGGTTTGTCAAAGATCAGATAGTTGTAGATATGCAGCATTATTTCTGAGGGCTCTGTTCTTTTCCATTGATCTATATCTCTGTTTTTGTACCAGTACCATGCTGTATTCGTTACTGTAGCCTTGTAGTATAGTTTGAAGTCAGGTAGTGTGATGCCTCCAGCTTTGTTCTTTTTGCTTAGGATTGAGTTGGTGATGCGGGCTCTTTTTTGGTTCCATATGAACTTTAAGTAGTTTTTTCCAATTCTGTGAAGAAAGGCATTGGTAGCTTGATGGGGATGGCATTGAATCTGCAAATTACCTTGGGCAGTATGGCCATTTTCACGATATTGATTCTTCCTACCCATGAGCATGGAATGTTCTTCCATTTGTTTGTATCCTCTTTTATTTCACTGAGCAGTGGTTTGTAGTTCTCCTTGAAGATGTCCTTCACATCCCTTGCAAGTTGGATTCCTAGGTATTTTATTCTCCTTGAAGCAATTGTGAATGGGAGTTCACTCATGATTTGGCTTTCTGTTTGTCTGTTGTTGGTGTATAAGGATGCTTGTGAGTTTTGTACGTAGATTTTGTATCCTGAGACTTTGCTGAAGTTGCTTATCAGCTTAAGGAGATTTTGGCCTGAGACAATGGGCTTTTCTAGATATACAATCATGTCGTCTGCAAACAGGGACAATTTGACTTCCTCTTTTCCTAATTGAATACCCTTTATTTCCTTCTTCTGCCTAATTGCCCTGGCCAGAACTTCCAACACTATGTTGAATAGGAGTGGTGAGAGAGGGCATCCCTGTCTTGTGCCAGTTTTCAAAGGGAATGCTTCCAGTTTTTGCCCATTCAGTATGATATTGGCTGTGGGTTTGTCATAGATAACTCTTATTATTTTGAAATACATCCCATCAATGCCTAATTTATTGAGAGTTTTTAGCATGAAGGGTTGTTGAATTTTGTCAAAGGCCTTTTCTGCATCTATTGAGATAATCATGTGGTTTTTGTCTTTGGTTCTGTTTATATGCTGGATTACATTTATTGATTTGCATATATTGAACCAGCCTTGCATCCCAGGGATGAAGCCCACTTGATCATGGTGAATAAGCTTTTTGATGTGCTGCTGAATTCGTTTTGCCAGTATTTTATTGAGGATTTTTGCATCAATGTTCATCAAGGATACTGGTCTAAAATTCTCTTTTTTGGTTGTGTCTCTGCCCGGCTTTGGTATCAGAATGATGCTGGCCTCATAAAATGAGTTAGGGAGGCTTCCCTCTTTTTCTATTGATTGGAATAATTTCAGAAGGAATGGTACCAGTTCCTCCTTGTACCTCTGGTAGAATTCGGCTGTGAATCCATCTGGTCCTGGACTCTTTTTGGTTGGTAAGCTATTGATTATTGCCACAATTTCATCTCCTGTTATTGGTCTATTCAGAGATTCAACTTCTTCCTGGTTTAGTCTTGGGAGAATATGTGTCGACAAATTTATCCATTTCTTCTAGATTTTCTAGTTTATTGTATAGAGGTGTTTGTAGTATTCTCTGATGGTAGTTTGTATTTCTGTGGGATCATTGGTGATATCCCCTTTATCATTTTTTATTGCATCTATTTGATTCTTCTCTCTTTTTTTCTTTATTAGTCTTTCTAGCGGTCTATCTATTTCATTGATCTTTTCAAAAAACCAGCTCCTGGATTCATTAATTTTTTGAAGGGTTTTTTGTGTCTCTATTTCCTTCAGTTCTGCTCTGATTTTAGTTATTTCTTGCCTTCTGCTAGTTTTGAATGTGTTTGCTCTTGCTTTTCTCGTTTTTTTAATTGTTCAGACCACAGTGCAATCAAACTAGAACTTAGGATTAAGAATCTCACTCAAAACCTCTCAACTACATGGAAACTGAACAACCTGCTCCTGAATGACTACTGGGTACATAACGAAATGAAGGCAGAAATAATGATGTTCTTTGAAACCAACGAGAACAAAGACACAACATACCGGAATCTCTGGGAAGCATTCAAAGCAGTGTGTAGAGGGAAATTTATAGCACTAAATGCCCACAAGAGAAAGCAGGAAAGATCCAAAATTTACACCCTAACATCACAATTAAAAGAACTAGAAAAAACGTTCATTTCTTCACCATTGTCCTCAATGAGTTCCCAAACGTCCATTCCAAGAATGTACAAAAACTGTGTTTCCAAACTGCTGAAACCAAAGACAGGTTGAACTCTCTGAGATGAATGCTCACATGCCAAACGAGTGTCTCATTAAGCTTCTTTCTAGTTTTTATTGGAAGGTATTTCCTTTTTCACCATTGACTTCCACAGTCTTCCAAATATCTCTTGGCAGATTCTAAGAAAACAGCATTTCTAAACTGCTGAATGAAAAGGAAGGTTTAACTCTGTGAGCTGAATGCACACATCATGAGACACTTTCTCAGATAAATTCCTTCAAGTTTTTATCCTGGGATATTCGCTTTTTTGAAATTGGCCACAGTGTTCTCCAAAATGTCCATTCACAAAATGGACACAAACGGCATTTCAAAACTGCTGAATGCAAATAAATGTTTAACTCTGTGAGATGAAAGAACACATCACAAAGCAGTTTCTCAGAAAGTTTCTTTCTTCTTTTTATCTGAAGATATTTCCCTTTTCAGCTAAGGCCTCAATGCGCTGCCAAATATCATTTCACAGTTTCTTCAAAGACAGTGTTTCCAAACTGCTGAAAGAAAAGAAAGGTTTAACTCTGCTAGATGAATGCACACGTCACTAGGTGGTTTCTCAGATAGCTTCCTTCTAGTTTTAATCCTGGGATATTCTCTTTTTTTGCCATTGGCTTCAAAGAGCTCCCAACGTCCATTCGCACAACGGACAAAAACAGTGTTACCAGACTGCTGAATCCAAAGAAAGGTTTAACTCTATTGGATGAACGAACAAATCACAAGGCAGTTTCTCATAAAGCTTCTTGCTACTTTTGGACTGAAGATATTTCCTTTTTCGCCATGGGCCACAATATGCTACCAAATATATCATTGCAGATTCTTAGAAAACACTGTTTCCTAACTTCTGAATGAAAAGAAAGATTTAACTCTGCTAGATGAAAGCAAACATCAACAAGAAGTTTCTCAGATAACTTTCTTCAAGTTTTTATCCTGGGATATTCGCATTTTTGCCATTGGCATCAATGAGCTCCCAGATGTTCATTCGCAGGATCAACAGAAACAGTATTTCCACACTGCTGAATGCAAAGAAAGGTTTAACTCTGAAATGAATGCAACCATCACGAGTTGGTTTCTCAAATAACTTCCTTCTAGTTTTGATCACGGGATATTCACTTTTTTGCCATTGACCTCAATGAGTTCCCCAATGTATATTCCAAGAATGGACCAAAACTGTGTTTCCAAACTGCTGAATACAAAGACAGATTTAGCTCTCTGAGATGAGTGCACACGTCCCGAACTAGTTTCTCATTAAGTTTGTTTCTAGTTTTATCTGAAGATATTTCCTTTTTCACCATGGGCATCTATGCAATACCAAATATCTCTTGGCAGATTCTAAGACAACAGTGTTTTTAAACAGCTGAATGAAAAGAAAGATTTATCTATGAGATGGATGCAGACATCAATAATTGTTTCCTGAGGTTGCTTCCTTCACATTTTTATCCAGGGAGATTCACTGTTTCACCTTTTGCCTCAGTGAGCTACAAAATATCCATTCGCTGAATGGACAAAAACAGGATTTCTAAACTGCTGAATCAAAGAAAAAGTTTAACTCTGTGAGATGAATGAACACATCACAAAGAAGTTTATCAGAAAGCTTTTAGCTAGTTTTTATCTGAAGACGTTTCCTTTTTCACCATGGACCTCAATACACTACCAAATATCTCTTCGCAGCTTCTAAGAAATCAGTGTTTCCAAAGTGCTGAATGAAGAGAAATGTTTAACTCTGTGAGATGAATGCACACATCACAAAGCCTTTTCTCAGATCGCTTCCTTCTAGTTTTAATACTGGGATATTTGCTTTTTCACCATTGGCCTCAATGAGCCCCCTAACGTCCATTCAGAGAATGGACACAAACAGTGTTTCCAAACTGTGGAATCCAAAGAAAGTTTTCTCTCTCTGTGATGAATGCACACATCATGAATCATGGACAAAAAAAGGATTTCTAAACTGCTGAATCAAAGAAAAAGTTTAACTCTGTGAGATGAATGAACTCATTACAAAGTGGTTTCTCAGAAAGCTTGTTTCTAGTTTTTATGTGAAGATAATTCTTTTTTCACCATGGGCCTCAATGCACTGCCAAATATCTCTTTGCATATACTAAGAAATCAGTGTTTCAAAACTGCTGAATGAAAACAAATGTTTAACTCTGTGAGATGAATGCACACCCCACAAAGCCATTCCTAAGATAGCTTCATTCTAGTTTTAATACTGGGATATTCCCTTTTTTGACATTGGCCTCAAGAAGCTCCCAAGCATCCATTCACAGAATGGACACAAACAGTGTTTCCAAACTTCTGAATCTAAAGGAATGTTTAACTCTCTGAGATGAAGGCACACATCACGAATCAGTTTCTCATATAACTTCCTTCTAGTATTTATCCTGGGATATTCACTTTTTCCCCATCGGTCTCAATGAGCTCCCAAATGTCCATTCCCAGAATTGACAGAAACAGGGTTTCCAAACTGCTGAATCCAAAGAAAGATTTAACTCTGTGGGATGAATGAACACATCACAAATCAGTCTCTTAGAAAGCTTCTTTCGAGTTTTTATCTGAATATATATACTTTTTCACCATAGGACTCAACGCACTACCAAATATCTCTTCACAGATTCTAAGAAATCAGTGTTTGCAAATGGTTGAATGAACAGAAAGGTTTAACTCTGTGAGATGAATACTGCCATCATGAATTGATTTCTCAGATAACTTCCTTCTAGTTTTTATCCTGTGATATTCACTTTTTCACCATTGGCCTCAATGAGTTCCCAAACGTCCATTCCAAGAATGCACAAAAACTGTGTTTTCAAACTGCTGAAACCAAAGACTGGTTTAACTCTCTGAGATGAATGCACACATGCTAAACGAGTTTCTCATTAAACTTCTTTCTAATTTTTAACAGAAGATATTTCCTTTTTCATTGTTGACCTCCATTGTCTTCCAAACATCTCTTGGCAGATTCTAAGAAAACAGTGTTTCTAAACGGCTGAACGAAAAGAAAGTTGTAAGTCTATGGGACGACTGCACACAACATGAGTCAGTTTCTCAGATAAACTCCTTCAAGTTTTTCTCCTGGGACATTTGCTTTTGTGCCATTGGCCTCAATGTGTTCCAAAATGTCCATTCACGAAATGGACAAAAGTAGTGTTTCCAAAATGCTGAATCCAAAGAAATATTTAACTCTATGAGGTGAATGAACACATCACAAAGCAGTTTCTCAGAAAGTTTATTTCTAGTTTTTATCTGAAGGTATTTCCTTTTTTACATTAGGCCTCCATGCACTGCCAAATATTCTTTCCCAGTTTCTACAAAGCAGTGTTTCCAAACTGCTGAATGAAAAGAAAATTGAACTCTTTGAGAAGAATGCACACATCACAAATCAGTTTCTCAGATAACTTCCTTCTAGTTTTTATCCTGGGATATTTGCTTTCTTGCCATTGGCCTCAATAAGCTCCCAAATGTTCATTTGCAGAATAGGCAAAAACAGTGTTTCCAAACTGCTGAATCCAAAAAAAGGTTTAACTCTGTGACGTGAATGAACACATCATAAAGCAGTTTGTCAGAAAGATTCTTTCTACTTTTTATGTGAAGATATTTCCTTTTCCCCCATAGGCCTCAATGTGCTACCAAATATCTCTTCCCAGTTTTTAAAAAATCACCTGTTTCCATACTGCTAATTGAGAAGAAGGGTTTAAATCTGATGATGAATGCATGAATCATGAATCAGTTTATCACATAACTTCCTTCTACTTTTTATCCTGGGATATTCACTTTTTCTCCATTGCCCTCAATGAGCTCCAAAATGAACATTCGCAGAATGGATAAAAACACTGTTTAAAACCTGCTGACTCCAAAGGATGGTTTAACTCTCTGAGATTAATGCACACATCCCAATCCAGCTTCTCATTAAGCTTCTTTCTAGTTTTTATCTGAAGACATTTCCTTTTTCACCAGTGGCCTGCATATTCTTTGAAATATCACTTTGAAAATTCTAAGAAAACAATGTTTCCAAACTGGTGAATGAAAAGAAAAGTTGAACTCTGTGAAATGAATGCACATATCATGAATCGGTTTCTCAGATAACTTCCTTCTAGTTTTTATCCTGGGATATTCGCTTTTTTGCCTTTGGCCTCAATAAGCTCCCAAATGTCCATTCCAAGAATGGATAGAAACAGTGTTTCCAAACTGTTGAATCCAAAGAAAGATTTAACTCTGTGAGATGAATGAACACGCCACAAAGCAGTTTCTCAGAAAGCTTCTTTCTAGTTTCTATCATATTTCCCTTTTGACCATTGGCATCAATGTGCTGCCAAATATCCTTTTGCAGTTTCTACAAAAACAGTGTTTCCAAACTGCTGAATGAAAAGAAAGGTTTAACTCTGTGAGATGAATGCACACATCACAAACCTGTTTCACAGAGAGCTTCCTTCTAGTTTTAATCCTGGGATATTTGCTTTTTCAACATTGGCCTCAATGAGCTCCCAGACGTCCATTCACAGAATGGATAAAAACAGTGTTTCTAAACTGCTGAATCCAAAGAAACGTTTAACAATCTGAGATGAATGCACACATCCCAAACAACTTTCTCATTAAGCCTCTTTCATATTTTTATCTGAAGCCGTTTCTTTTTTCACCATTGGCGTCCATACCCTTCCAAATTTATTTTCACAGATTCTAAGAAAACAGTGTTTCTAAACTGCTGAATTAAAAGAAAGATTTAACTCTGTGAGATGAGTGCACACATCATGAATTTGTTTCTCAGATAACTTCCTTCAAGTTTTTCTCCTGGGATATTCACTTTTTTGCAATTGGCCTCAATGATCTCCCAAATGTCCATTTGCAGAATGGACAAAAACAGTATTTCCAAACTGCTGAATCCATAGAAAAGTTTAACTCTGTGAATGAATGAACACAACACAAAGCAATTTCTCAGAAATTTTCTTTCTAGTTTTTATCTGCAGATATTTCCTTTTTCACCATGGACCTCAACGTGCTGCCAAATACCCTTTAGCAGTTTCTCCAAAAAGAGTGTCTCCAAGCTGCTGAATGAAAAGAAAGTTTTAACTCTGTGAGATGAATGCACACATCAGAAAGCTATTTCTCAGATAGCTTTCTTCAAGTTTTAATCCTGGGTTAGTCACCTTTTTGACGTTGGCTTCAATGAGCTCCCAAACGTCCATTCACAGAATGGACAAAAACAGTGTTTCTAAACTGCTGAATCCAAAGAAAGTTTTAACTCTCTGAGATAAATGCACACAAGCAAAACCAGTTTCTAAGAAAACTTCTTTCTGGTTTTTATCTGAAGATATTTCCTTTTTCACCATAGGCCTTAATGTGTTACCAAATATCTTTTCACAGATTTTAAAAAATCAGTGTTTCCAAACTGCTGATTGAAAAGAAAGTTTTAACTCTTTGAGATGAATGCACACATCATGAATCATTTTCTCATATAGCTTCCTTCTAGTTTTTATCCTGGGATATTCACTTTTTTCCCGTTGGCGTCAATGAACTCCCAAATGTCCATTTGCAGAATGGACAAAAACAGTGTTTCCAAACTGGTGAATCCAAAGAAAAGTTTAACTCTGTGGCATAAATGAACACATCACAAAGCAGTTTCTCAGAAAGCTTCTTTCTAGTTTATATCTGAGGTTATATCATTTTTCAACATTGGCCTCAATACGGTACCAAATATCTCATCGCATATTCTAAGAAATCAGTGTTTCCAAACTGCAGAATGAAAACAAAGTTTTACTCTGTAAGATGAATGCACACATATATAATTGGTTTATCATATAACTTTCTTCTAGTTTTTATCCTGTGATATTCAATTTTTCACAATTGGCCACAATGAGCTCTCAAAATCCATTCACACAATGGACAAATACAGTATTTCCAAACTGCTGAATCCAAAGAAATCTTTAACTGTGTGCAATGAATGAACACATCACAAAGCAGTTTCTCAGAAGGCTTCTTTCCAGTTTTTATCTGAATATATTCCCCTTTTCACTGTAGACCTCAATGTGCTGCCAAATATCTTTTACAGTTTCTACAAAAACAGTGTTTCCAAACTGCTTAATGAAAAGAAAGGCTTATCTCTGTGAGATGAATGCACACATCAAAAAGCTGTTTTTCAGATACTTTCCTTCTAGTTTTAATCCTGGGAATTCGCTCATTTGACATTGGCCTCAATGAGCTCCCAGACGTCCATTCACAGAATGGATAAAAACAGTGTTTCTAAACTGCTGAATCCAAAGAAACGTTTAACAATCTGAGATGAATGCATACATTGCAAACAACTTTCTCATTAAGCCTCTTTCATATTTTTATCTGAAGTCATTTCTTTTTTTACCATTGGCCCCCATACCCTTCCAAATATCTTTTCACAGAATCTAAGAAAACAGTGTTTCTAAACTGCTGAATGAAAAGAAAGATTTAACTCTATAAGATGAATGCACACATCATGAACTGGTTTCTCAGATAACTTCCTTCAAGTTTTTCTCCTAGGATATTCATTTTTTCACAATTGGCCTCAATGAGCTCCCAAATGTCCATTTGCAGAATGGACAAAAACAGCATTTCCAAACTGCTGAATCCATAGAAAAGTTTAACTCTGTGAGATGAATGAACACAACACAAAGCAATTTCTCAGAAATTTTCTTTCTAGTTTTTATCTGCAGATATTTTCTTTTTCACCATGGACCTCAATGTGCTGCCAAATACCCTTTAGCAGTTTCTACAAAAACAATGTTTCCAAGCTGCTGAATGAAAAGAAAGTTTTAACTCTGATAGATGAATGCACACATCACAAGACGGTTTCTCAGATAGCTTCTTCTATTTTTAATCATGGGATATTTTCTTTTCTGCCATTGGCCTGAATGAGCTCTGAAATATCCATTCACAGTATGGACAAAAACAGTGTTTCAAAACTGCTGAATCCAAAGAAACGTTTAACTCTCTGAGATGAATGCACACATCTCAAACCAGTTTCTCATTAAGTTTCTTTCTAGTTTTTATACGAATATATTTCCTTTTTAACCATTGGCCTCCATACTCTTCCTAATACCTCTTCACAGATTCTAAGAAAACAGTGTTTCTAAACTGCTGATGGAAAAGAAAGGTTTATCTCTGTGAGATGAATGCACACATCATGAATCAGTTTCTCCTATAGCTTCCTTCTAGTTTTTTTCCTCGGATATTCACTTTTTCTCCATTGGCTTCAATGAGCTCCCAAATGTGCATTTGCAAAACGGACAAAAACAGTGTTACCAAAAGGCTGAATCCAAAGAAAGGAGTAACTCTCTGAGATGAATGCACACAGCGCAAACCTGTTTGTCATTAAGCTTCTTTCTTGTTTTTCTTTGAAGATATATCCTTTTTACCATAGGTCTCAATGACTTACAAAATATCTCTTTGCAGATTCTAACAAAAAAGGTTTTCCAAACTGCTGAATGAAAAGAAAGTTTTAACTCTGTGAGATGAATGCACACATCACCAATCGTTTTCTCAGATAACTTCCTTCTGGTTTTTATCCTGGCATATTCTCTTTTTCACCATTGGCTTCAAAGAGCTCCCAAATATCCATTTGCAGAATGGACAAAAACAGTGTTTCCAAACTGCTGAATCCAAAGAAAAGTTTAACTCTGTGACATGAGCACATCACAAAACAGTTTCTCAGAAAGCTTTTCTCTAGATTATATCTGAAGATATTTCCTTTTCCTACATAGGCCTCACTCCACTGCCAAATATCCCTTCACAGATTCTACAAAAACAGTGCTTCAAATGAATGAATGAAAAGAAACGTTTAACTCTGTGGGATGAATGCACTCATCACAAGGAAGTTTATCAGATAGCTTCTTTCCAGTTTTTCTCCTGGGATATTTGCTTTATTGCCATTGGAATCAATGAGTTCTCAAATGTCCATTCCTAGAATGGACATAAAGAGTGTTTGCAAAGTGCTGAATCCACAGAAATATTTAACTCTGTAAAATGAATGCAAACATCACAAAGCAGTTTTGCAGAAACCTTTTTATTTTTTATCTGAAGATATTTACTTTTTCACCATTGGCCTCAATGTGCTCCCAAATATGCCCTCGTGGATTCTGCCAAAGCTGTGTTTTGAGACTGCTGAATGAAAAGAAAGGTTAGCTCTACGAGATGAATGCACACATCACAAAGCAGTTCCTCAGATAGCTTCCTTCTAGTTTTTATCCTGGGATATTCGCTTTTTCGACATTGGCCTCAATGAACTTCCAAATGTCCATTCACAGAATGGACATTTACAGTGGTTGCAATCTGCTGAACCCACAGAAAGGTTTACTTCTGTGAGATGAATGCACACATCACAAAGCAGTTTCTCAGAAAACTTCTTTCTTCTTTTCATCTGAAGATATTTCCTTTTCACCATAGGCCTCACAGTGCTCCCAAATATCCCTTTGCAGATTCTCCTAAAGCAGTGTTTCCAGACTTCTTAATGAAAAGAAAGCTTTATCTCTGTGAGTTGAATGCACACGTCATGAAGCATTTTCTCAGATAGCTTCCTTCCAGTTTTTATCCTCGGATAGTCACTTTTCCACCAATGGCCTCAATGAGGTCCCAAATGTCCATTTGCAGAATGGATAAAAACAGTGTTCTCAAAATGCTGAATTCACGGAATGTTTTAACTCTGTGATACATATGCACACATCACAAAGCAGTTTCTCACACAACTTCTTTCTAGTTTTTATCTTGAGATATTTCCTTTTTGACCATAGGCCTCAATGGTCTCCCAAATATGCCTTCACAGATTCTGCCAAAACAGTGTTTCCAGAATGCTGAATGAAAAGAAAGTTTTAACTCTGTGAGGTGAATGCACACATCACAAAGCATTTTCTCAGATAGGTTCTTTATATTTTTTATCCTGGGTTATTTGTTTTTTAACCATTAGCCTCAATGAGCTCCCAAATGTCCATTCGCAGAATGGATATAACAGTGTTACCAATCTGCTGGATATAAAGAAAAGCTTAACTGTGTGACATGAATGCACACATCACAAAACAGTTTCTCAGAAAGCTTCTTTCTAGTTTTTATCTGTAGATATTTCCTTTTTCCCCATAGGCCTCAATGCGCTCCGAAGGTATATACCTTCGCAGATTCTACCAAAACAATGTTTCCAAACTGCAGAATGAAAAGAAAGATTTAACTCTGTGAGATGAATGCACACATCACAAAGCACTTTTTCAGATAGCGTCCTTCTAGTTTTTATCCTGTGATATTTGCTTTTTCACCATTGGCCTCAATGAGATCCCAAATATCCCTTCGCAGTTTCTCAGAAAGGTTCTTTCTAGTTTTTATCTTGAGATATTTTCTTTTTCACCATAGGCCTCAGTGCACTCCCAAATATGTCTTCTTGGATTCTGCCAAAAGAGTGTTTCCAGACTTCTGAATGAATAGAAAGTTTTAACTCTGTGAGGTGAATGCACACACACCAAAGCTGTTCCTCACATAGCTTTCTTGCAGTTTTTATCCTAGGATTTTCACTTTTTTGCCATTGGCCTCAAAGAGCTCCAAACGTCCATTCACAGATTGGACAAAAACACTGTTTGCAAACTATTGAATACGCAGAAAGACTTAACTCTGTGAGATGAATGTACACATCACAAAGCAGTTTCTCAGAAATCTTCTTTCTAGTTTTCATCTGAAGATATTTCCTTTTTCACCATAGGCCTCAATACATTCCCAAATACCATTTCACAGATTCTACAAAAACAGTCTTTCCAAACTTCTAAATGAAAGAAATGTTTAACTGTGTGAGATGAATTCACACAACAAAGCAGTTTCTCAGAATGCTTCTGTCTAGTTTTTTTTTTTTTTTTTTTTGAGACAGAGTCTCGCTCTGTCCCCTAGGCTGGAGAACATTGGCATGATCTCGGCTCACTGCAAGCACCATCTCTGGGGTTCTTGCCATTCTTCTCCTCAGCCTCCTGAGTAGTTGGGACTACAGGCACCCACCACCACGCCTGGCTAATTTTTTCTATTTTTTTGTATAGACTGGGTTTCACTGTGTTAGCCAGGATGGTCTTGAAATCCTCACCTTGTGATCTGCCCACCGCTGCCTATGAAAGTGCTGGGATAACAAGCATGAGTCACCATACCCAGCACTGTTTCTGTCTAGTTATATCTGAAGATATTTCCTTTTTCTCCATAGGCCTCAATGCACTCCCAAATATCCCTTTGAGAATTCTGCCAAAACAGTGTTTCCAGGCTGTTGAACGAAAACGATGTTCTATCTCTGCAAGCTGAATGCACACATCACAAAGCAGTTTCTCAGATAGCTTCCTTCTTGTTTTTATCCTGGGATATTCGCTGTTTCACCATTGGCCTCAATGCCCTCCCAAATGTCCATTCACAGAATGGACAAAAACAGTGTTTGAAACTGTAGACTCCACAGAAAGTTTTAACTCTGTGAGATGAATGCACACATCACAAAGCAGTTTCTCAGAAACCTTCTTTCTAGTTTTTATCTGTAGATATTTCCTTTTTCATCATAGACCTGAATGAACTCCCAGATACCCCTCACAAATTCTATGAAAACAGTTTCCAAACTGCTTATTGAAAAGAAACGTTTAAGTCTGTGAGATGAATGCACACATCACAAAGCAGTTTCTCAAATAGCTTCCTTCTACTTATTATCCAGGGATATTCACTTTTTCACCATTGGCCTCAATGAGATCCCAAATATCCCTTCACAGATTCTACAACAACCGTGTTTCCAAACTGCTGAATCCAAAGTAAGTTTTAACTCTGTGAGATGAAAGCACACAATACAAAGGAGTTTCTCAGAAACCTTCCTAGTTTTTATCTGAAGATATTTCCTTTTTCATCATAGACCTGAATGCATTCGCAGATACCCCTTCACAAATTCTATGAAAACAGTGTTTCCAAACTGCTGATTGAAAAGAGAGGTTTATCTCTGTGAGATGAATGCATACATCAAAAAACAGTTTCTCAAATAGCATCATTCTCATTTTTATTCTTGGATATTTGCTTTTTTGCCATCGAAGTCAAAGAGCTCCCAAATGTCCATTCACAGAATGGACAAAAACAGTGTTTTAAAACTGCTGAATCCACAGGATGGTTTAACTCTGTGAGATGAATGCATACATCAAAATGCAGTTTCTCTGAAAGATTCTTTCTAGTTTTTATCTGAAGTTATTTCCTTTTTCAAAATAGACCTCAAGGTGCTCCCAAGTATCCCTTCGTGGATTCTGCCAGAACAGTTTTTCCAGACTGCTGAACGAAAAGAAAGCTTTATCTCTGTGAGGTGAATGCTCACAACACAAAGCAGTTTCTCACGTAGCTTTCTTCCAGTTTTTATCCTTGGATTTTCAGTTTTTTGCCATAGGCCTCACAGAATCCAAATGTCAATTTGCAGAATGGACAAACACAGCGTTTGCAAACTACTGAATACACAGAAACATTTAACTCTGTGCGATGAATGCACACATGACAAAGCAGTTTCTCAGATAGCTTCCTTCTAGTTTTTATCCTGTGATATTTGTTTTTTCACCATTGGCCTCAATGAGATCCCAAATATCCCTTTATGGATTCTGCCAAAACTGTGTTTCCAACTGCTAAAACCAAAGAAAGGTTTTATCTCAAAATGAATGCACACATCACAAAGAAGTTTTTTAGAAAGTTTCTTTCTAGTTTTTAAGATATTTCCTTTTTCAACATAGATCTCAATGCGCTCCAAAGTACTCCTTCGCAGATTCTACAAAAACAGTGTTTCCAAACTTCTGAATGAAAAGAAAGATTTAACTCTGTGAGATGAATGCACACATCACAAAACAGTTTCACAGAAAGCTTCTTTCTAGTTTTTATATGAAGATATTTCCTTTTTCACCATAGGCCTCAATGTGCTCCTAAATACTGCTTCACAAATTCTTCTGAAAAGGTGTTTCCAGACTGCTGAATGAAAACAAAGTTTTAACTCTGTGAGGTCAATGCACTCATCACAAAGCGCTTTCTCACAAAGCTTCCTTCTCGTTTTTTTTCCTGGGATATTCAATTTTTTGCCATTGGCCTCAGTGAGCTCCCAAATATCCCTTTGTAGATTCTACAACAACAGTGTTTCCAAGCTGCTGATTCCAAAGAAAGGTTGAACTCTGTGAGCTGAATGTAGTATTCACAAAGCAGTTTCTCAGAAAGTATTTCTCTAGTTTTTATCTGAAGATACTTCCTTTTTCAACATAAACCTCAATGTGATCCCAGATATCACTTTGCAGGTTCTACAAAAACAGTGTTTCCAAACTGCTGAATGAAAAAGAAAGGTTTAACTCTGTGAGATGAATACACACATCACAAATCAGTTTCTCAGAAAGCTTGTTTCTAGTTTTTATCTGAAGATATTTGCTTTTTCACTGTAGGCCTCAATGCATTCCCAAATATCCCTTCAAAGATTCTACAAGAAGTGTTTCCAAATGCTGAATGAAAACAAAGGTTTAACTCAGCGAGATGAAGTCCACTTCACAAACCATTTTCTCAGAAAGCTTCCTTATAGTTTTTATCCTGGGATGTTCCCTGTTTCCCCATTGGCCTGAATAATCTCCCAAATTTCCGTTCCCAGAATGCTCAAAAACAGTATTTCCAAAGTGCTGAATAAAAAGAAGAGTTTAACTCTGCGAGATGAATGCAGACATCACAAAGCAATTTCTCAGATAGCTTCCTTCTAGTTTTCTTAGTGGGATATTTGCTTTGGCCTCAATCACCTCCCAAATAACTCTTTGCACATTCTACAAAATAGTGTTTCCAAACTGCTGACAACAAAGGTTTAACTCAGTGAGATTAAGGCACACATCACAAAGCAGTTTCTCACAAAGCTTCTTTCTAGGTTTTATCTGAAGATGTTTCCTTTTTCACCATGGGACTGAATGCACTCCCAAATACCCCATCTCAGATTCTACACAAAGAGTGTTTCCAAACTGCTGCCTGAAAAGGATGGTTTACCTCTGCGAGATGAATGCACACATCACAAAGCAATTTCACAGATAGCTTCCTTCTAGTGTTTATCCTGGGATATTTGCTTTATCACTTTTAGCCTCAATGAACTCCCAAATAACCCTTCACTCTTTCTACAAAAACAGTATTTCAAAACTGATGAATGCAAAGAAACATTTAACTCTGTGAAATAAATGCACACATCACAAAGCAGTTTCTCAGACAGCTTTCTTCTAGGCTTTACGTGGGATATTCGCATTTTCACCATTTGCCACAATGGGCTTCCCAAATATCCATTTGCAGAATGGACAAAAACAGTGGTTCTAAACTCCTGAATGAAAAGAAAGGTTTATCTCTATGAGGTGAAATCACACATCACAAAGCAGTTTCTCAGACAGCTTTCTTCTAGTTTTTACCTGGGGTATTCACATTTCCACCATTGGCCACAATGAGCTCCCAAATGTCCATTCACAGAATGGACAAAAACAGTGGTTCCAAACTGCTGAATCCAAAGGAAGGTTTAACTCTGTGACTTGATTGCACACATCACCAAGAAGTTTCTCAGAAAGCTTATTTCTAGTTTTTATCTGAATATATTTCCCTTTCTACTTAGGCATCAAAGTGCTCCCAAATACCCCTTTGCAGATTCTACCAAAATATTGTTTCCAAATTGCTGAATGAAAATAAAATTTTAACTCTGTGAGATGAACGCACATATCACAAAGCGGTTTCTCAGATAGCTTTCTTCTAGTTTTTATCCTGGGATATTCACCTTTAGACTCAATGAGCTCCCAAAAACCCCTTCACAGATTCTACAAAAACACTGTTTCCAAATTGCTGAACCCAAAGAAAGGCTTAACTCTGTGAGATGAATGCACACATCACAAAGCAGTTTCTCAGACAAGTTCTATCTAGTTTTTATCTGAAGATACTTCCTTTTTCACCTTAGGCCTCAATGCGCTCCCAAATATCCCTTCACAGATTACACTGAAGCAGTGTTTCCAAACTGCTGGATGAAAAGAAAAGATTAACTCTTTGAGAAGAATGCACATATCACAAAGCAGTTTCTCAGATAGCTTTCTTCAATTTTTTATCCAGGGTTATTTGCTTTTTTGACATTGGACTAAATGAGCTCCAAAATATCCATTTGCAGAATGGACAGAAACAGGTTTTCCAAACTGCTGAATCCTAAGAAAGTTTTAACTCTGTGAGATGAATGCTTACATCATGAAGGGTTTCTCAGAAAGCTTTTTTCTAGGATTTATCTGAATATATTTCCTTTTTCACCACATGCCTCAATGTCTTCCCAAATATCCCATCCCAGAGCCTACAAAAACACTGTTTCCAAACTTCTGAAAGAAGAAAAATGTTTAACTCTGTGAAATGAATGCACATATCACAAAGTGGTTTCTCAGATAGCTTCCTTCTAGTTTTTATAATGGGATATTCACTTTATCACCTTTGTCCTCAATGAGCTCCAAAATATCCTTTTGAAGATTCTTTGAAAACAGTGTTTCCAAATTGCTGGAACCACGGAAACTTTTAACTCTGAGAGATGAATGCACACATCACAAAGCAGTTTCTCAGAAAGGTACTTTCTAGTTTTTATGCTGGGATGTTCACTTTTTCAGCACTGGCCTCATAGAGCTCCCAAATGTCCATTCGCAGAATGGACAAAACCAGATATTTGAGTGCTCATTGAGGCCAAAGGTGATAAAGACAATATACCAGGATAAAAACTAGAAGGAAGCTATCTGAGAAACCGCTTTGTGATGTGTGCATTCATCTCACAGAGATAAACCTTTCTTTTCACTCAGCAATTTGGAAACAATGTTTTTGTAATATATGCAAAGGGATATTTGGGTGTGCATTGAGGCCCATGGTGAAAAAAGAAATAACTTCAGATTAAAACTAAAAGCAGCTTTCTGAGAAACTGCTTTGTGATGTGTTCATTCATCTCACAGATTTAAAACTTTCCTTCGATACAGCAGTTTGTAAACACTGTTTTTGTATAATCAGCAAAGGGATATTTGGGAGCTCATTGAGGCCAATGGTGAAAAAGCAAATATCCCAGGATAAAAACTTCAAGGAAGCTATCTGACAAACCACTTTGCAATGTTTGCATTAATCTTGCAGAGTTAAAACTTTCTTTTCATTTAGCAGTTTGGAAACACTGTTTTGGTAAAATCTGCAAAGACATATTTGGGAGTGCATTGAGGCCTGGGGTTAAAAAGGAATTATCTTCAGATAAAAACTCCAAAGAAGCTTTCTGAGAAACTGCATTGTGATGTGTGCATTCATCTCACAGAGTTCAACCTTCCTTTGGATTCAGCAGATTGGAAACAAGGTTTTTGTATAATCTGCGAAGGGATATTTGGGAACTCATTGAGGCCCAAGTTGAAAAAGCGAATATCCATGATAAAAACTGGAAGGAAGCTATATAAGAAATCATTTTGTGATGTGTGCAGTCATCTCACAGAGCTAAAACATCCCTTTCTCAGCAGTTTGGAAACACTGATTTTGTAGAATCAGTGCAAGAATATTACGGAGTACATTGTGGCCTACAGTGAAAAAGGAAATAACTTCAGGTAAAAACTAGAGAGAAGCTTTCTGAGAAACTGCTTTGTGATGTCTGCATTCATCTCTCAGAGGTCGACCTTTCTTTGGATTTAGTAGTTAGGAAACACTGTTTTGTACATTCTGTGAATGGACATTTGGGAGCTTATTGAGGACAATGGAGCAAAAGTGAACATTCCAGGATAAAAACTAGAAGGAAGCTCTCTGCGAAACTGCTTTGTGATGTGTGCACTCATCTCACAGAATTAAACCGTTCTTTTAATTCAGCAGCTTGGATATACTGTTTTGATAGAAAGCACAAAGGGATATTTGGGAGTGCATTGAGGCCTATGGTGAAAAAGGAAATATCTTCAGATAATAACTGGAAAGAAGCTTTCTGAGAAACTGCTTTTAATGTGTGCATTCATGTCACAGAGTTAAACCCTTCTTTGGTTTCAACTGTCTTGAAACAGTCTTTTTGTCCATTCTACAAATGGACCTTTAGGAGCTCATAGAGGCCAATGGCAAAAATGCAAATATCCAGGACAAAAACTAGAAGGAAGCTATCTGACAAACCGCTGTGTGATGTATGCATTCATCTCACAGAGTTAAAACTTTATTTTCATTCAGCAGTTTGGAAACACACTTGTGGTAAAATCTGCGATGTGATAATAGGGAGCCCATTGAGGCCTACGGTGAAAAATGAAGTATCTTCAGATAAAAACTAAGAAGAATCTTTCTGAGAAACTGCTTTGTGATTCGTCTCACTGAGTTAGACCTTTCTTTGGGTTAAGCAGTTTTGAAACTCTGTTTTTATAGAACACGCAAAAGGATATTTGGGAGCTCATTGAGGCCAAATGCGAAAAATCGAATATCCCAGGATACAAACTAGAAAGAAGGTAGCTCAGAAACTGCTATGTGATGTGTACATTCATTTCACAAATTGAAATCTTTCTTTTCTTTCAATAGTTTAGAAACGCTGTGTTTGTAGAATCTGCGATGAGATATTGGGAATCACATTGAGGCCTATGGTGAAAAAGGAAATACCTTCACATAAGAAGTAGAAGGAAGTTTTCTGAGAAACTGCTTCGTGATGTGTGCATTCAACTCACAGAGATATATCATTCCTTAGATTCAGCAGTTTGGAAACATTGTTTTTGTAGAATCTGCAAAGGGATATTTTGGAGCTCATTGAGTCCAAGGATGATAAAGTGAACATCCCAGGATAAAAACTAGAAGGAAGTTATCTGAGAAACCACTTTGTGATGTATGCTTTCATCTCACAGATTGAAACCTTTCTTTTCATTCAGCAGTTTGGAAGCATAGTTTTGGTAGAATCTGTGAAGGGATATTTGGGAGCGCATTGAAGCCTAGGGTGAAAAAGGAAACATTTTTTCATAAAAACTCTAAAGAAGCCTCCTGAGAAATGGCTTTATGATGTTTGTATTCATCTCACCGAGTTAAACCTTTCTTTGGATTCAGCAGTTTGGAAACATTGTTTTGTAGAAACTGCAAAGGGGTATTTGGGAGCTCATTGAGGCTAAAAGCGAATATCCTAGGATAAAAACTAAAAGGAAGCTATCTGAGAAACTGCTTTGTGATGTGTGCATTCATTTCGCAGAACTAAAACTTTCTTTTCTTTCAGCAGTTTGGAAAAAACGTGTGTGAAAAATCTGCGAAGGGATATTTGGAACTACATGAGGCCTATGGTGAAAAAGGAAATATCTTCAGATAAAAACTAGAAGCTTTCTGAGAAACTGCTTTTTGATGTGTGCAGTCATCTCACAGCTTAAACATTTCTTTAGATTCAATAGTTTGCAAACACTGTTTTTGTCCATTCTGCGAATGGATATTTGGGAGCTCATTCAGGGCAATGGCAAAAAAGGGAATATCCCAGGACAAAAACTAGAAGGAAGTTATCTGCAAAACTGCTTTGTTATGTGTGCATTCACCTCGCTAACTTAAACAATTCTTTTCATTCAGCAGTTTGGAAACACCGTTTTGGTAGAATCTGTGAAGGGATTTGTGGGATCGCATAGCGGCATATGGTGAGAAAGGAAATATCTTCAGATAAAAACTAGAAAGAAGCTTTCTGAGAAACTACGTTGTGATGTGTACACTCATCTCACAAAGTTAAAACTTTCTTTTGAATCAGCAGCTTGGAAACACTGTTTTTGGAGAATCTACCATGGGATATTTTATAGATAATTGATGCCACAGGTGAAAAAGTGAATATCCCTTGATAATAACTAGAACAAAACTATGTAAGAAACCGTTTTGTAATGTGTGCATTCAACTCGCACAGTTAAATCTTTCTTTTCTTTATTTTATTTTATTTTATTTTATTATTATTATACTTTAAGTTTAAGGGTACATGTGCACAATGTGCTGGTTAGTTGCATATGTATACATGTGCCACTCTGGTGTGCTGCACCAATTAACTCATCATTTAGCATTAGGTATATCTCCTAATTCTATCCCTCCCCCCTTCCCCCCACCCCACAACCGTCCCCAGAGTGTGATGTTCCCCTTCCTGTGTCCTTGTGTTCACATTGTTCAATTCCAACCTATGAGTGAGAATATGCGGTGTTTGGTTTTTGGTTCTTGTGATAGTTTACTGAGAATGATGATTTCCAATTTCACCCATGTCCCTACAAAGGACATGAGCTCATCATTTTTTATGGCTGCCTAGTATTCCATGGTGTATATGTGCCACATTTTCTTAATCAAGTCTATCATTGTTGGATATTTGGGCTGGCTCCAAGTCTTTGCTATTGTGAATAATGCCACAATAAACATATGTGTGCATGTGTCTTTATAGCAGCATGATTTATAGTCCTTTGGGTATATACCCAGTAATGGGATGGCTGGGTCAAATGGCATTTCTAGTTCTAGATCCCTGAGGAATCGCCACATTGACTTCCACAATGGTTAAACTAGTTTACAGTCCCACCAACAGTGTAAAAGTGTTCCTATTTCTCCACATCCTCTCCAGCACCTGTTGTTTGCTGACTTTTTAATGATCGTCATTCTAAATGGTGTGAGATGGTATCTCATTGTGGTTTTGATTTGCATTTCTCTGATGGCCAGTGATGGTGAGCATTTTTTCATGTGTTTTTTTGGCTGAATAACTGTCTTCTTTTGAGAAGTGTCTGTTCATGTCCTTTGCCCACTTTTTGATGGGGTTGTTTGTTTTTTTCTTGTAAATTTGTTTAAGTTCATTGTAGATTCTGGATATTAGCCCTTTTTCAGATGAGTAGATTACAATAATTTTCTCCCATTCTGTAGGTTGCCTTTTCACTCTGAAGGTAGTTTCTTTTGCTGTGCAGAAGCTCTTTAGTTTAATTAGATCCCATTTGTTAATTTTGGCTTTTGTTGCCATTGCTTTTTGTGTTTTAGACATGAAGTCCTTGCCCATGCCTATGTCCTCAATGGTAAAGCATAGATTTTCTTCTAGGGTTTTTATGGTTTTAGGTCTAATGTTTAAGTCTTTAATCCATCTTGAATTAATTTTTGTATAAGCTGTAAGGAAAGGATCCACTTTCAGCTTTCTACATATAGCTAGCCAGATTTCCCAGCACCATTTATTAAATAGGGAATCATTTCCCCATTGCTTGTTTTTCTCAGGTTTGTCAAAGATTAGATAGTTGCTGATATGCGGTGTTATTTCTGAGGGCTCTGTTCTGTTCCATTGATCTATATCTCTGTTTTTGTACCAGTACCATGCTGTTTAGGACACTGTAGCCTTGTAGGATAGTTTGAAGTCAGGTAGCGTGATGCCTCCAACTTTGTTCTTTTTGCTTAGGATTGACTTGGTGATGCGGGCTCTTTTATGGTTCCATATGAACTTTAAAGTAGTTTTTTCCAATTCAGTGAGGAAAGTCATTGGTAGCTTTATGGGGATGGCACTGAATCTATAAATTACCTTGGGAAGTATGGCCATTTTCACGATATTGATTCTTCCTGCCCATGAGCATGGAATGTTCTTCCATTTTTTTTTGTCCTCTTTTATGTCATTGAGCAGTGGTTTGTAGTTCTCCTTGAAGAGGTCCTTCACGTCCCTTGTAAGTTGGATTCCTAGGTATTTTATTCTCTTTGAAGCCATTGTGAACGGGAGTATACTCATGATTTTGCTCTCTGTCTCTTATCAGTGTATAAGAATGCTTGTGATTTTTATACATTGAGTTTGTATCCTGAGACTTTGCTGTAGTTGCTTATCAGCTTAAGGAGATTTTGGCCTGAGACAATGGGATTTTCTAGATATACAATCACGTCATCTGCAAACAGGGACAATTTGAATTCCTTTTTTCATAATTGAATACCCTATATTTCCTTCTCCTGCCTAATTGCCCTGGCCAGAACTTCCAACACTATGTTGAATAGGAGTGGTGAGAGATGGCATCCCTTTCTTGTGCCAGTTTTCAAAGGGAATGCTTCCAGTTCTTGCCCATTCAGTATGATATTGACTGTGGGTTTGTCATAGATAGCTCTTATTATTTTGAGATACATCCCATCAATACCTAATTTATTGAGAGTTTTTAGGATGAAGCGTTGTTGAATTTTGTCAAAGGCCTTTTCTGCATCTATTGAGATATTCATGTGGTTTTTGTCTTTGGTTCTGTATATGTGCTGGATTACAATTATTGATTTGAGTATATTGAACCAGACTTGCATCCCAGGGATGAAGCCCACTTGATCATGGTGGATAAGCTTTTTTATGTGCTGCTGGATTCGGTTTGCCAGTATTTTATTGAGGATTTTTGCATCAATGTTCACCAAGGATATTGTTCTAAAATTCTCTTTTTTGGTTGTGTCTCTGCCAGGCTTTGGTGTCAGAATGATGCTGGCCCCATAAAATGAGTTAGGGAGGATTCCCTCTTTTTCTATTGATTGGAATAATTTCAGAAGGAATGGTACCAGTTCCTCCTTGTACCTCTGGTAGAATTCGGCTGTGAATCCATCTGGTCCTGGACTCTTTTTGGATGGTGAGCTGTTGATTATTGCCACAATTTCGGAGCCTGTTATTGATCTATTCATAGATTCAACTTCTTCCTGGTTTAGTCTTGGGAGGGTGTATGTGTCTAGGAATTTTTCCATTTCTTCTAGGTTTTCTAGTTTATTTGCATATAGGTGTTTGTAGTATTCTCTGATGGTAGTTTGTATTTCTGTGGGATATCAGTGATATCCTCTTTCTCATTTTTTATTGCATCTATTTGCTTCTTCTCTCTTTTCTTCCTTATTAGTCTTGTTAGCAGTCTATCAATTTTGTTGATCTTTTCAAGAAACCAGCTCCTGGATTCCTTAATTTTTTGAAGGGTTTTTTGTGTCTCTATTTCCTTCAGTTCTGCTCTGATTTTAGTTATTGCTTCTCTTCTGGTAGCTTTTGAATGTGTTTGCTCTTGCTTTTCTAGTTCTTTTAATTGTGATGTTAGGGTGTCAATTTTGGATCTTTCCTGCTTTCTCTTGTGGGCATTTAGTGCTGTAAATTTCCCTCTACACACTCTTTTGAATGTGTCCCAGAGATTCTGTTATGTTGTGTCTTTGTTCTCATTGATTTCAAAGAACATCTTTATTTCTGCCTTCATTTCGTTATGTACCCAGTAGTCATTCAGGAGCAAATTGTTCAGTTCCATGTAGTTGAGTGGTTTTGAGTGAGTTTCTTAATTCTGAGTTCCAGTTTGATTGCACTGTGCTCTGAGAGACAGTTTGTTATAAATTCTATTCTATTACCTTTGCTGAGGAGTGCTTTACTTCCAAGTATGTGGTCAATTTTGAAACAGGTGTGGTGTGGTGCTGAAAAAAATGTATATTCTGTTGATTTGGGATGAAGAGTTCTGTAGATGTCTATTAGGTCCGCTTGGTGCAGAGCTGAGTTGAATTCCTGGGTATCCTTGTTAACTTTCTGTCTCGTTGATCTGTCTAATGTTGACAGTGGGGTGTTAAATTCTCCCATTATTATTGTGTGGGAGTCTAAGTCTCTTTGTAGGTCACTCAGGACTTGCTTTATGAATCTGGGTGCTCCTATATTGGGTGCATACATATTTAGGATAGTTAGCTCTTCTTGTTGAATTGATCCCTTTACCATTATGTAATGGTCTTCTTTGTCTCTTTTGATCTTTGTTGGTTTAAAGTCTGTTTAATCAGAGACTAGGATTGCAACCCCTGCCTTTTTTTTGTTTTCCATTTGCTTGGTAGATCTTCCTCCATCCTTTTATTGTGAACCTATGTGTGTCTCTGCACGTGAGATGGGTTTCCTGAATACAGCACACTGATGCGTCTTGACTCTTTATCCAATTTGCCAGTCTGTGTCTTTTAATTGGAGCATTTAGCCCATTTATATTTAAAGTTAATATTGTTATGTGTGAATCTGATCCTGTCCTTAATATGTTAGCTGGTTATTTTGCTCATTAGGTGATGCAATTTCTTCCTATCCTCGATGGTCTTTACAATTTGGCATGATTTTTCAGTGGCTGGTACTGGTTTTTCCTTTCCATGTTTAGTGCTTCCTTCAGGAGCTCTTTTAGGGCAGGCCTGGTGGTGACAAAATCTCTCAGCATTTGCTTGTCTGTAAAGTATTTTATTTCTCCTTCACTAATGAAGCTTAGTTTGGCTCGATATGAAATTCTGGGTTGAAAATTCTTTTCTTTAAGAATGTTGAATATTGGCCCCCACTCTCTTCTGGTGTGTAGTGTTTCTGCTGAGAGATCCGCTGTTTGTTTGATGGTATTCCCTTTGTGGATAACCCAACCTTTCTCTCTGGCTGCCCTTAACATTTTTTCCTTCATTTCCACTTTGGGGAATCTGACAATTATGTTTCTTGGAGTTGCTCTTCTCGAGGAGTAACTTTTTGGCATTCTCTGTATTTCCTGAATGTGAATGTTGGCCTGTCTTTCTAGATTGAGGAAGTTCTCTGGGATAATATCGTGCAGGGTGTTTTCCAACTTGTTTCCATTCTCCCCATCACTTTCAGGTACACCAATCAGACGTAGATTTGGTTTTTTCACATAGTCCCATATTTCTTGGAGGCTTTGCTCATTTATTTTTATTCTTTTTTCTCTAAACTTCCCTTCTTGCTTCATTTTATTCATTTTATCTTCCATCACTGTTACCCTTTCTTCCAGTTGATCACATCGGCTCTTGAGGCTTCTGCATTCTTCACATATTTCTTGTGCTTTGGCTTTCAGCTGCATCAGCTCCTTTAAGCACCTGTCAGTATTGGTTATTCTAGTTTTACATTCCACTACATTTTTTTCAAATTTTTAACTTCTTTGCCTTTGGTTTGAAATTCCTCCTGTAGCTTGGAGTAGTTTGATCATCTGAAGCCTTCTTCTCTCAACTCGTCAATGTCATTCTCCATCCAGCTTTGTTCCATTTCTGATGAGGAGGAGGAGAGTTCCATTCCTTTGGAGGAGGAGAGGCACTCTGCTTTTTAGAATTTCCAGTTTTTCTGCTCTGTTTTTTCCCCATCTTTGTGGTTTTGTCTACTTTTGGTCTTTGGTGATGGTGATGTACAGATGGGTTTTTGGTGTGGATGTCCTTTCTGTTTTTTAGTTTTCCTTCTAACAGACAGGACCCTCAGCTGCAGGTCTGTTGGAGTTTGCTAGAGGTTCACTCCAGACCCTGTTTTCCTGGGTATCAGCAGCAGTGGCTGCAGAACAGCGGATTTTTGTGAACGGCGATTGTTGCTGCCTGATCATTCCTCTGGAAGTTTTGTCTCAGAGGAGTACCTGGCCCTGTGAGGTGTCAGTCTGCCCCTACTGGGTGGTACCTCCCAGTTAGACTGCTCGGGGGTCAGGGGTCAGGGACCCACTTGAGGAGGCAGTCTGCCCATTCTCAGATCTCCAGCTGCATGCTGGGAGAACCACTGCTCTCTTCAAAGCTGTCAGACAGAGACATTTAAGTCTGCAGAGGTTACTGATGTCTTTTTGTTTGTCTGTGCCCTGCCCCCAGGGGTAGAGCCTACAGAGGCAGGCATGCCTCCTTGAGCAGTGGTAGTCTCCACCCAGTTCATGCTTCCCAGCTGCTTTGTTTACCTAAGCAAGCCTGGGCAATGGTGGGCGCCCCTCCCCAAGCCTCGCTGCTACCTTGCAGTTTCATCTCAGACTGCTGTGCTAGTGATCAGTGACACTCCGTGGGCATAGGACCCTCTGAGCCATGTGCGGGATATAATCTCCTGGTGCGCCATTTTTGAAGCCCGTCAGAAAAGCGCAGTATTAGGGTGGGAGTGACCCGATTTTCCAGGTGCCGTCTGTCACCCCTTTCTTTGAGTAGGAAAGGGAACTCCCTGACCCCTTGTGCTTCCTGAGGGAGGCAATGCCTTTCCCTGTTTTGGCTCATGCACGGTGCGCTGCACCCACTGTCCTGCGCCCACTGTCTGGCACTCCCTAGTGTGATAAACCCAGTACCTCAGATGGAAATGCAGAAATCACCCATCTTCTGCGTCACTCATGCTGGGAGCTGTAGACTGGAACTTTTCCTATTTGGTCATCTTGGCTGCCACCCCTAAACCTTTCTTTTCATTCTGCAGTTTGGAAACACTGTTTTGGTAGAAACTGCATGGGGATAGTTTGGAGCACGTTGAGGCCTATGGTGATAAAGGAAATATCTCAAGGAAAAAACTTGAAGGAACTTTCTGAGAAACTACTTTGTTATGAGTGCCTTCATCTCAAAGAGTTAAAATTTTCTTTTATTCAGCAGTTTGGAAACACAGTTTTTGTCCATTCCATGAATGGACACTTGGGACCTCGTTGTGGTCAATTGAGAAAAAGTGAATATCCCAGGATAAAAACTAGAAGGCAGCTATCTGAGAAACCATATTGTGATATGTGTATTCATCTTGCACAGTTAAACTTTTCTTCTCTTTCAGCAGTTTGGAAACTCTGTTTTGGCAGAATTTGTGAAGGGATATTTGGGAGAGTTGTGAGGCTTATGGTCAAAAAGGAAATATCTTCAGATAAATACTAGAAAGCAGCTTTCTGGGAAACTGCTATGTGATGTGTTCCGTTTTCTGATAGAGTTAAAACTTTCTTTGTATTCAGCAGTTTGGAAATACTGTTTTTGTAGAAGCTGAAAAGGGGTATTTGGGAGTTCATTGAGGCCAAATCCAAAAAAGCAAATATGTGAGGATAAAATCTAGATTTAAGCTCTCAGTGAAACTGCTTTGTGATGTGTACATTCATCTCAAAGAGTTAAACCTTTCTTTGGATTCATCACGGGAAACACTGTTTTTGTTCATTCTGGGAATGGACATTTGTGAGCTCAATTATGCCAATGGTGAAAAAGCGTATATCCCAGGATTAAATAAGAATGAAGCTATCTGAGAAACCGATTTGTGATGTGTGTATTCACCTCACAGAGTTAAAACTTTCATTTCATTCAGTAGTTTTAAACACTGTTTTGGTAGAATCCACAAAGGATATTTGGGAGTAAATTGAGGCCTATGTTGAAAAAGAAAATATCTTCAGATAAAAATTAGAAAGAAGTTTTCGGAGAAACTGCTTTGTGTTGTGTCCATTCATCTCACAGAGTTAAACCTTTCTTTGGATTCAGCAGTTTGGAATCTCTGTTTTTGTAGAATCCATGAAGTTATTTGGGAGATCATTGAGTCTAAAAGCAAAAAAGTGAATATCCCAGGATAAAAATTAGAAGGAATCTCTCTGAGAAACTGCTTTGTGGAGTATGCATTCATCTGGCACAGTTAAACCTTTCTTTTAATTCAAGAGTTTGGAAACAGTGTTTTTGAAGAATCTGCGACTTGATATTTGGGAGCGCATTGAGGCCTACGGTGAAAAAGGAAATATATTCAGCTAAAAACTGGAAGGAAACTTTCTGAGAAAGTGCTTTGTGATGTGTGCATTCAGCTCACACAATTAAATGTTTCTTTGGATTCAGTAGTTTAGAAGCAATGTTTTTGGAGAATCTGTGAAGAGATATTTGGGAGTTCATTGAGTTCATAGGAGAAAAAGCAAATATCCCTGGATAAAAACTCATAGGAAGATATCTGAGAAACCACTTTGTCATGTGTGCCTTCATGTTTCAGGTATAACACTTTCTTCGCATTCAGCAGTTTGGAAACACTCTTTTTGTAGAATCTCCAAAGGGATATTTGGGAGTGCACTGAGGCCTATGTTAAAAAAGGAAACATGTTCAGATAAAAACTAGAAAGAAGCTTTCAGAGAAATACTTTGTGGTGTGTTCTTCATCTCCAGAGTTAAACCACTCTTTGGATTCAGCAGTTTGTAAACACTGTTTTTGCAGAATTTGCAAAGGGATATTTGAAAGCTCATTGAGGATGAAGGGGAAAACAGGAATATACCTGGATAAAAACTAGAAAGAATATATCTGAGAAACTGTTTTCTGATGTGTGCATTCATCTCGAATATTTCAATCTTTCCTTTCATTCAACAGTATGGAAATAGTGTTGCAGTAGAATCTGTGAAGGGATATTTGGGAGCACTTTGAGGCCTATGGTTAAAAAGGAAATATCTTCAGGTAAACATGGAAAGTAGCTTTCTGACAAACAGCTTTGTGATGTGTGTGTTCATCTCAGAGAGTTAAACCTTTCACTGGATTCAGCAGTTTGGAAATACTGTTGTTCTAGAATCTGCAAAGGGATATTTGGGAACTCTTTTAGGCCATATAGTAAAAAGTGAATATCCTAGGATAAAAATCAATAAGAAGGTATCTGGAAAACCGCCTTGTGAGCTGTGCATTCATCTCTCAGAGTTAAATCTTCCTTTTCTTTCAGCAGTATGGAAACACTGTCTTGGTAGAATCTGCAAAGGGATATTTGGGAGCTCATTGAGGCCTACTGTGAAAAAGGAAATATCTTCAGATAAAAATTAGAAAGAAGCTTTCTGAGAAACTGCTTTGTGATGTGTGCATTCATCTCACAGAATTAAATATGTACATTTTGGAGCTCTTTGTGGCCAAATGCAAAAAAGCACATATCAGAGGATAAAAACTGGATGGAAGCTCTTTTAGAAACCGCCTTTTGATGAGTGCATTGATCTGACAGAGTTAAACCTTTCTCTGGATTCTGCACTTTGCAAAAACTCTTTTGTTAGAATCCATGAAGGGATATTTGGGAGTGCATTAAGGCCTATGGGGAAAAAGGAAATATCTTCAGATGAAAACTAGAAAAAAACTTTCTAAGAAACTACTTTGTGATGTGTTCATTCATCTCACAGACTTAAAACTTTCTTTGTGTTCAGTAGTTTGTAAACATTTATTTTGAGGGATCTGTGGAGGGGTATTTGGGAGTACATTGAGGCCTAGGTTGAAAAAGAAAACATCTTCAGATAAAAACTAGAAAGAAGCTTTCTGACAAACTGCTTTGTGATGTGCTCATTCACCTCACACATTTAAACTTTTCCTTGGATTCAGCAGTTTGGAAAAACTGTTTTTGTCCATTCTGCAAATGGACATTTGGAAACTCATTGTGGCAAATGGCGAAAAAGTCAATATCCCATGATAAAAACTAGAAGAAAACTATCTGAGAAACCCATTGTAGTGTGTGCATTCATCTTAAAGAGTTAAAACTTTCTTTTCATTCAGCAGTTTGGAAACACTGTTTTGGTAGAATCCACGAAGGGATATTTGGGAGCGCATTGAAGCCTATGGTGAAAAAGGAAATATCTTCAGATGAAAATTAGAAAAAAGCTTTCCAGAAACTACTTTGTGATTTGTGCATTCATCTCACAGATTTAAACCTTTCTTTGTGTTCAGTAGTTTGGAAACACTGACTTTGTGAGATCTGTGAAGGGATATTTGGGAGCGCATTGAGACCTAGGTTGAAAAAGGAAATACCTTCAGAAAAAACTAGAAAGAAGCTTACTGAGAAACTGTGAGATGTATGCATTCGTCTCACAGAGTTACACATTTCTTGGGATACAGCAGTTTGGAAACACGGTTTTTGCAGAATCTGTGAAGGGATATTCGATAGCTCCTTGTGGCCATAGGAGAGAGAGCAAATATCCCAGGATAAAAACTATAAGGAAGCTATCTGAGAAAACAGAGAAAACGATTTGTGATGGGTGCTTTCATCTCAGAGAGATAAAAATTTCTTTTCATTCAGCAGTTTGGAAACAATGGTTTGGTAGAATCTGCGAAGGGATATTTGTTAGTGCAATGAGACTTACAGTGAAAAAAGAAATACCTTCAGATGAAAACTCGAAAAATCTTTCTGAGAAACTCCTTTGTGATGTGTACATTTATGTCACAGATTTAAACATTTCTTTGCATTCAGTCATTAGGAACCACTCTTTTTGTAGGATCTGCAAAGTGGTATTTTGGAGCTCATTGAGGCCAAATTGAAACAGCAAACATCCCAGGATAAAAACTTGAAGGAAGATATCTGAAAAACCGCTTTGTGAAGTGTGCATTCATCTCACAGATGTAAAACTTTCTTTTCATTCAGCAGTTTGGAAACAACATTTTTGTCCATTCTGCGAATGGACATATGGGAGCTCATTGAGTCCAAAGGTGAAAAAGTGACTATCTCAGGATAAACGTTAGAAGAAAGCTAAATGAAAAACCGCTTTGTGATGTGTGCATTCATCTCTCAGAGTTAAACCTTTCCTTCCATTGAGCAATGTGGAAACACTGTTTTGGTACAATTTGCCAAGGGACATTTGGGAGTGGATTGAGACCTATGTTGAAAAAGGAAATATCTTCAGATAAAAACTAGAAAGCAGCTTTCTGAGAAACTGCTTTGTGATGTATGCATTCATCTTGCAGAGTTAAACTTTTCTTTGGATTGAGCAGCTTGGAAACACTGTTTTTATAGAAACTGCAAAGAGATATTTGATAGATCTTTGAGGCCATAGGCTAAAAAGTGAATATCTCACGATAAAAACGAGACAGAAGATCTGAGAAGGTGCTTGGTGATACGTGCATTCATCTCACAGAGTTAAACATTTCTTTTCATTCAACAGTTTGGAAGCACTCTTTTAATAGGGGCTGCATAGGGATATTTCAGAGTGCATTGAGGCCTATGGTGAAAAACAAAATATCTTCGGATGAAAACTAGAAAGAAATTATCTGAGAAAATACTTTCTGTTGTGTGCATTCATCTAACAGAGTTAAACCTTTCTTTGGATTCAGTAGTTTGGAAACACTGCTTTTGTATAATCTGTGAAAGCATATTTGATAGCTCATTCAGTCCTTAAAGGAAAAAATGATTATCTCATGATAAAAACTAGAAGGAAAGTACCTGAGAAATGGCCTTGTGATGTCTACATTCACCTCACAGAGTTGAATCTATTTTTCATTCAGCAGTTTGGAAACACTGTTCTGTTAGAATCTGTGAGGCAATATTCAGCAGAGCATTCAGGCCTATGGTGACAAAGGAAATATCTTCAGATGAAAACTAGAAAGAACTTTTCCAATAAACTGCTTTGTGATGTGTGCATTCATCTCACCTATTTAAACTTTTATTTGGATTCAGCAACTTGGAAACATTGTTTTTGTCCATTCTGCAAATGGACATTTGGGAGCTTATTGAAGCCAATGGCAACAAAGCAACTATCTCAGGATAAAAACTAGAAGGAAGATATCTGAGAAACCACTTGGCGATGTGTGCATTCATCTCACAGAATTAAACCTTTCTTTTACATATGCACATGTATACATATTTAACTAACCTGCACGTTGTGCACATGTACCCTAAAACTTAAAGAAAGCATAATTAAAAAAAAGTAGAAAGAATCATTCTGAGAAATTGCTTTCTGGTGTCTGCATACATCTCACAGACTTAAACCATTCTTTGGATTCAGCAGTTTGGAAACACTGTTTTTGTCAATTCTGAACAAGGACATTTGGGAGCTCATTGAGGCCAGTGGTGAAAAAG
The DNA here is from genome assembly GCF_000001405.40 of Homo sapiens. Taxonomy (NCBI): domain Eukaryota; kingdom Metazoa; phylum Chordata; class Mammalia; order Primates; family Hominidae; genus Homo; species Homo sapiens. Next base: position 55,079,022 of record NC_000011.10, on the reverse strand, counting down.
TGAATATCCCAGGATAAGCACTAGAAGGAAGATATCTGAGAAACTGCTTAGTGATGTATACATTCATTTTGCAGAGGTAAAATGTTTTTTGGATTCAGCAGTTTGGAAACACTGTTTTTGTAGAACCTGCAAAGGGATATTTGGGAGCACATTTTGACCTATGGTGAAAAAGGAAATATGTTCAGGTACAAACTTGAAAGAAACTTTCTGAGAAACTGCTTTGTGATGAGTGCCTTCATCTCACAGAGTAAAACCTTTCTTTGAAATCGGCGGTTTGGAAACACTGTTTTTGTCCCTTCTGAGAATGGACATTTGGAAGCTCATTTAAACCAATGGCGAAAAAGTGAATATCCCAGGGTAAAAACTGGAAGGAAGCTATTTGAGAAACCGCTTTGTGATGTATCCATTCATCTCGCAAGTTAAACCATTCCTTTCATTCAGCAGTTTGGAAACACTGTTTTTGTAGAATCTGTGAAGAGATATTTGGGAGTATATTGAGGTCTATGGTGAAAAAGGAAATATATTCAGATAAAAACTAGAAAGAAGCTTTCCGAGAAACTGCTTTGTAATGTGTTCAGTCACCTTGCAGAGTTAAACCATTCTTTGTATTCAGCAGTGTGTTAACACTGTTTTTGTCCATTCAACGAATGGACATTTGGGAACTCATTGAGGCCATGGTGAAAAAGTGAATATCACAGGATAAAAGAAGCAGGAAGTTATCTGAGAAACTGCTTTATTATGTGTGCATTCATCTCGCAGAGTTAAACATTTCTTTTCATTCAGCAGTTTGGAAACACTGTTTTGGTAGAATCCATGAAGGTATACATGGGAGCGCACACACAGATAAACTTTTCTTTTCTTTCAGCCATTTGGAAAATTTGTTTTGGAAGAATCTGTGAAGGGATATTGGGGAGCACATTGAGGCCTATAAAAAATAGGTAATATTTTCAGATAAAAACTAGAAAGAAGCTTTCTGAGAAACTGTTTTGTTTCTCAGATAGCTTTCTTCTAGTTTTTATCCTTGGATATTTGCTTTTCCGCCTTTGGTCTCAATGAGCTCCAAAATGTACATTCATAGAATGGAGAAAAACATTGATTCAAAACTGCTGAATCCAAGGAAAAGTTTAACTCTGTGAGATGAATGCACACATTAAAAAGAAGTTTCTCAGAAAGCTTCTTTCTAGTTTTTATCTGGAGATATTTCCTTTTTTTTCATAGGCCTCAATGCATTCCCAAACATCCCTTCCCAGATTCTACCAAAACAGTGTTTTCAAATTGCTGAATGAAAAGAAAGGTTTGAATCTGTGAGGTGAATGCATACGTCACAAAGCAGTTTCTCACCTATCTTTCTTCTAGTTTTTATCCTGGGATATTTGCTTTTTAGCCATTGGCCTAAATGACTTCCCAAATGTCCTTTCACAGAATGTACAAAAAGAGTGTTTCCCAACTGCTGAATCCAAAGAAAGTTTCAACTCTGTGAGGTTAATGCACTCATCACAAAGCAGTTTCTCAGAAAATTACTTTCTAATTATTATCTGAAGATACTTACTTTTTCACCATAGGCCTCAATGCGCTCCAAAATATCCCTTCACAGATTCTACAAAAACAGTGTTTCCAAATTGCTGAATGAAAAGAAAGGTTTAATTCTGTGACATGAATACACACATCACAAAGCAGTTTATCAGAAAGCTTCTAATTTTTTTCCAAACTGTTGAATGAAAGGAAAGTTTTAACTCGCAAGATGAATGCAGACATCAGAAAGTGGTTTCTCAGATAGCTTCCTTCTAGTTTTTATTCTTGGATATTCACTTTTTCACCATTGGCCACAATGAGCTCCCAAATGTCCATTTGCAGAATGGACAAAACAGTGTTTCCAAACTGCTAAATCCAATGAAAGGTTTAAAGCTGTGAGATGAATGCACACATCACAAATCAGTTTCTCAGAAAGATTCTTCTAGTTTTTATCTGGAGATATTTCCTTTTTCACTGTAGGCCTCAATGCACTCCCAAACATACCTTTGCAGTTTATACCAAAATAGCGTTTCCAAGCTGCTGAATGAAAAAAAAGGTTTAACTCTGTGAGATGAATGCACACACCACAAAGCAGTTTCTCCAATAGCTTCCTTCTAGTTTTTATCCTGAGATATTTGCTTTTTAGTATTGGCCTTAATGAGCTATCAAATATGCTTTCACAGATTGTACATAAACAGTTTTTCCAATGTGCTGAATCCCAAGAAAGTTTAAACTCTGTGAGATGAATGCACACATCACAAAGCAGTTTGTCAGAGAGTTTCTTTCTAGTATTTATCTGAAGATATTTCCTTTTTCATCATACGCCTCCATGGGCTGTCAAATATCCCCTCACAGATTCTACCAAAACTGTGTTTCCAAGCTGTTGAATTGAAAAGAAAGTTTTAATTCTGTGAAATGATTGCACATATCACAAAGTGGTTTCTCAGGTAGCTTCCTACTAGTATTTATGCTGTACTATTCACTTTTTTGCCTTTGGCCTCATTAAACTATCAAATATCCCTTAGCAGATTCTTCATAAACAGTGTTGCCAAACTGCTGAATTTAAACAAAGGTTTAACTCTGTGAGATGAATGTACACATCATAAAGCAGTTTCTCATAAAGCTTCTTTCCAGTTTTATCTGAAGATTATTCTTTTTCACCATTGGCCTCAATGTGCTCCCTATAATACATTCACAGTTTCTACCAAAACAGTGTTTCCAATTTCTGAAAGAAAAGATAGGCTTAACACTGTGAGATGAATGCACACATCACAAAGCAGTTTCTCAAATAGCTTCTTTCTAGTTTTTATTCTTGGATATTATCTCTTTTGCAATTGGTCCCTATGACCTCCAAAATATTCCTTTACAGATTCTACAAAAACAGTGTTTCCAAATTGCTGAATCCCAGGAAAGGCTTAACTGCGTGAGATGAATGCACACATCACAAAGCAGTTTTTCGGAAAATTTCTTTAAACTTTTTATTTGAAGATATTTCCTTTTTCACCATATGCCTGAATGTGCTCCCAAATATCAATTAGCAGATTCTACAAAAACAGTGATTCCAGTCTGCTGAATGAAAAGAAAGGTTTAACTCTGTTAGATGAATGCACTGGCTTCAATGAGCTCCCAAACTCCATTCACAGAATGGACAAAAACTGTGTTACGAAACCACTGAATCCAAAGAAAGGCTTAACTCTATTGGATGAATAAACACATCACAATGCAGTTACTCATTAAGCTTCTTCCTAGTTTTTATCTGAAGATGTTTTCGTTTTCACCATAGGCCTCAAAGTGCTCACAAATATCTTTTCAAAAATTCCACAAAAACAGTGTTTCCAAACTCCTGAATTCAAAGAAAGCTTTACCTCTGTGAGATGAATGCACACATCACAAGGCAGTTTCTCAGAAAGCTTCTTTCTATTTTTTATTTGAAGATATTTACATTTTGACCATAGACCTTAATGCACTACCAAATATCCCTTTGCAGATTCTACCAAAGCAGCATTGCAAACTGATGAATGAAAAGGTTTAACTCTGCAAGATGAGTGTAAACGTGACAAACTGGTTTCTCAGATATCTTCACTGTAGTGATAATCCTAGGATATTCCCTTTTTCACCATTGGCCTCAATGAGCTTCCAAACATCCATTTGCTGAAAGGACAAAAACAGTGTTTCCAAACTGCAGAATCCAAAGAAAGATTTAAATCTGTGAGATTAATGCCCACATCCACAGCAGTTTCTCAGAAACCTTCTTTCTTGTTTTCATCTGAAGATATTTCTTTTTTCACCATAGGCCTCAATGCACTCCCAAATATCACTTTGTAGATACTACAAAAACAGTGTTTCCAAACTGCTGAATGAAAAGAAAGGTTTACCTCTGCTAGAAGAATGCACACATCACAAAGTGGTTCCTCAGGTAGCTGTCTTCTAGTTTTTATCCTGGGATATTCACTCATTTGCCATTGGCCTCAATGAGCCTGCAAATGTCCATTCACAATACAGATAAAAACAATGTTTCCAAATTGAAAAATTCAAGGAAACTTTTAACTGTGAGATGAATGTACACATCACAAAGTAGTTTCTCAGAAAGCTTCTTTCTATTTTTTTATCTTGTTTCCTTTTTCACCATAAGCCTCAAAGCACTACAAAATACCTCTTCACAGATTCTACAAAAACAGTGTTTCCAAGCTCCTGAATGAAAAGAAAAGTTTAACTCTGCGAGATGAATGAACACATCTCAAAGCCGTTTCTCAGAAAGCTTCCTTTTAGTTTTAATCCTGGGAGATTCACTTTCTTGCCATTGGCCTCAAAGAGTTCCCAAAAGTCCATTCTCAGAATGTACAAAAATATTGTTTCCAAACTGCTGAATCCAAAGAAAGTTTCACCTCTGTGAGATGAATGCACACATCACAAAGCAGTTCCTCATAGAGCTTCGTTCTAGTTTTTATCTGAAGATGATTCCTTTTTCACAATAGGCCTCAAAGGGCTCATTAATATCCCTTCGTACATTCCACAAAAGCAGTGTTTCCAAACTGCTGAATGAAAAGAAAGTTTTAACTGAGTAACAAATGCACACATCACAAGATGGTTCCCCAGATAGGTTCCTGCTAGATTTTAACCTGGGATATTCGCTTTTTTGCTATTGGCATCAATGAGCTCCAAAATGTCCATTCACAGAATGGACAAAAACAGTGTTTCCACACTGCAAAATCCATAGAAAAGTTTAAATCTCTGAGATGAATGCACACATCAAAAAGAAGCTTCTCAGAAAACTTTTCTTATTTTTTTCTGAAGATGTTTCCTTTTTCACCATAGGCATCAATGCGTTCCCAAATATTCCTTCACAGATTCTTCAAAAACAGTGTTTCCAAACTGTTCAATGAAAAGAAAAGTTTACCTCTGTGAGATGAATGCATGCATCACAAAGCATTTTCTCTGATTCCTTCCTTCTAGTTTTTATCCTGGGATATTTACTTTCTAGCCATTGGCCTCAATTAGTTCCCAAGAGTACATTTGCAGAATGGACAATAACAGTGTTTCAAAACTGCTGAATCCAAAGAAAATTTTAACTTTGTGAGATGAATGCAACATCACAAAACAGTTTCTCAGAAAACCTCTTTCTAGTTTTTATCTGAAGATGATTCCTTTTTTACCACATGCCTCAATGCACTCACAAATATTCCTTCACAGTTTCTACAAAAACAGTGTTTCTGAACTGCTGAATGAAAAGAAAATTTTCTCTCTCTTCATTGAACACACACATCACAAAACAGTTTGTCAAATAACTTCCTTCTAGTTTTTATCTGGGGATAATTGCTTTTTCACAATTGCCCTCAGTGAGCTCCCAAATTTCCATTCGCAAAATGGACAAAAAGAGTATTTCCAAATGGCTGAATTAAAAGAAAATTTTATCACAGTGAGATGAATGCACACATCACAAAGCAGTTTCTCAGAAAGCTTCTTGCTAGTTTTTGTCTGAAGATGTTTCCTTTTTCACCACAGGCCTAAATGCACTCCAAAATATTCCTCTGCAGATTGTACAAAATCAGTGTTTCCAAACTGCTGAATGAAAAGAAAGGTTTAACTCTGTGAGATGAATGCACACATCACAAAGCAGTTTCTCTGATAGCTGCCTCCTAGGTTTTATCCTGGAATATTCACTTTTCATCATTGGCCTCAGTGAGTTCAGAATTGTTGGTTCACAGTATGGACAGAAACAGAGTTTCCAAACTGCTGAATCCAAAGAAAAATTTAACTTTGTGAGATGAATGCACACATCACAAAGGAGTTTGTCAGAAAGCCTCTTTCTAGCTTTTGTCTGAAGATGTTTAGTTTTTCACCATAGGCCTCAATACACTCTTAAATATGCCTTCACAGATTATACGAAAACAGTGTTTCCAAACTGGTTAATGAAAAGAAAGGGTTAACTGTGAGATTAATGCACACATCTCAAAACGGCTTTTTAGGTAGCTTCCTTTTACTTTTTATTCTGGGATACTTGCTTTTTCACCATTCTCCTCAATGAGCTCCCAAATGTCCATTTGCAGAATGGACAAAAACAGTGTTTTCAAACGGCTGAATCAAAAAAAAAGTTTTAACTCTGTGAGATGAATGCACACATCACAAAGCAGTTTCTAAGAAAGCTTCTTTCCCGTTTTTATCTGAAGATGTTTCCATTTTCACCATAGGCCCCAATGCGCTCCCAAATATCGCTTCGCATATTCTCCAAAAACAGTGTTTCCAAGCTGTTGAATGAAAAGAAATGTTTAACTCTGCTAGATGAATGCACACTTTACAAAGTAGTTTCTCAGATAGCTTCCTTCTAGTTTTTATACTGGTGTATTGCCTTTTTTCCCCTTGGCTTCAGTTAGCTCCCAAATGTCCATTCACAAAATGGACAAAGACAGTGTTTCGAAACTTCTGCTGAATCCAAAGAAAGTTTTAAGTTTGTAAGATGAATGCACACATCACAAAGCAGTTTCTCAGAATGTTTCTTTTTATTTTTTATCTGAAAATATTTGCTCTTTTACCACTTGGCCTCAATGAACTACCAAATATCCCTTGGCAGATGCTTCAAAAACAGTGTTTCAAAAATGTTGAGTCAAAGAAAAGTTTAGCTCTGTGAGATGAATGCACGTATGACAAAGCAGTTCTTCAGGTAGCTTCCTTCTTGTTTTTATCCTGGAACGTTCCCATTTTCACCATTGGTCTCAATGAGCTCCCAAATGTAAATTTGCAGAATGAAAAAACAAAGATTTTATAAACAATGAATCAAAAGAAAAGTTTACCTCTGTGAGATATATGCACATATCATAAAGCAGTTTCTCAGAAATCTTCTTTGTAGTTTTTTTCTGAAGATATTTTCTTTTTCACCACAGAAACAGTGTTTCCAAACTGCTGTATCAAAAGAAAGGATGAACTCTGAGATGAATGCACACATCACAAAGCAGTTCCTCAGAAAGCTTCTTTCTTGTTTCTATCTGAAGAAATTTCCTTTTTAACCATTGACTTCAAAGCACCGAAATATCCCCTCACAGATTCTACAAAAAAGAGTGTTTCCAATCTGCTGAATGAGAAGAAAGTTTTACCTAGGTGAGATGAATGCACACATCACAAAGCAGTTTCTCAGAAAGTTTCTTTCTATTTTTTATCAGAAGATAATTTCTTTTCACTATAGTCCTCAATGCACTCCAAAATATGACTTCACAGATCCTATAAAAAAAGTTTTTCCAAACTGTTGAATGAAAAGAAAGGTTTAAGTCCGTGACTTGAATGGACACATTACAAATAGGTTTCTCAGATAGATTCCTTCTAGTTTTACCCAGTTTATTCAGTTTTACATCATTGTCCTCAGTGGGCTCCCAAATGTCCTTACAAAGAGTGGATAAAACCCTTGTTTCTAAACGGCTGAATCCAAAGAAATGTTAAACTCTGTGAGATGAATGCGCACATCATGAAGCAGTTTCTCAGAAAGCTTCTTTCTAGTTCTTATCTGAAGATAATTTCTTTTTCATCCTAAGCCTCAATGAGCTCTCGAATATCACGTCACAGATTCTACAAAAGCAGTGTTTCCAAACTGGTGAAAGAAGAGAAAGGTAAACTTTGCAGATGAATGCACACATCAGAAAGCAGTTTCTTAGATGGCTTTCTTCTAGTTTTTATCCTGGGATATTCGATTTTTCACTATTGACCTCAATAAACTCCCAAATGTTCATTCGCGGAAAGGACAAAAACAGTGTTTCAAAACTGCTGAATCAAAAGAAGGTTTTAATTCTGTGAGATGAATGCACACATCACAAAGCAGTTTCTCGGAAACTGTGAATATCCCAGGATAAAAGCTAGTAAAAAGCTCTCTGTGAAACTGCTTTCTGATGTGAGCATTCACCTTGAAGAGACAAACTTTCTTTTCATTCAGCAGTTTGGAAACACTCTTTTTGTAGAATCTGCAAAGGGATATTTGGGAACACATTGAGGCATAAGGTGAAAAAGAAAATATCTTCAGATAAAAACTAGAAAGAATCTTTCTGAGAAACTGCTTTATGATGTTTGTATTCATCTCAAAGGGTTAAAGGTTTCTTTTGATTCAGCAACTTGGAAACACTGTTTTTATTCATTCTGCAAAAGGACTTTTGGCAAATCATTTAGGCCAAAGGCAAAAAATCGAATATACCAGGATAAAATCTAGAAGGAATCTATCTGAGGAACCTCTTTGTGATGTGGTATTTGTCTCACATAGTTAAACCTTCCTTTTGATTCAGCAGTTTGGAAACACTGTGTTTGTCCATTCTGCACATGGACATTCGGGAGTGCATTGAGGTTTAATGCAAAAAGTGAATATCCAAGGATTAAAAAGAAGGAAGCTATCTGAGTAAAAGCTTTGTGAGATGTGCCTTCATCTCACAGAGCCAATCCTTTCTTTTAATTCAGCAGTTTTGAAAGTCCTTTTTTGTCCGTTCTGCCAATGGACATTTTGGAGATCATCAATGCCAAGGGTGAAAAAGCAAATATTCCAGGATAAAAAGTATAAGGAAGCAATCTGAGAAACCACTTTGAAATATGTGCCTTCATCTCATCGAGTTAAACCTTTCTTTTGATTCAGCAATTTGGAAACATTCTTTTTGTAGAATTTGCAAAGGGATGTTTGGGAGTGCATTGAGGACTATGGTGAAAAAGAAATTATCTTCCAATAAAAAGTGAAAATAAGCTTTCTCAGAAAGTGCTTTGTGATGTGTGCATTCATCTCACAGAGTTAAACCTTTCTTTTGATTCAGCAGTTTGGAAACACTGTTTTTTTTTCCATTCTGCAAATGGACATTTAGGAGCTCATTGAGGCAAATGGCAAAAAATGGAATCTCCCAGGATAAAAATTAGAAGAAAGCTATCTGAATAACTGCTTTTTGATGTGAGCATTCATCTCTCAAAATTAAACTTTCCTTTTCATTCAGCAGTTTGGAAAAACTGTTTGTGGAGAATCTGCAAAGGGATATTTGAGAGCACATGGAGACCTAGAGTGAAAAAGAAAATATATTCAGATAAAAACTAGAAAGAAGCTTTCTGAAAAACTGCTTTCAGTGTGAACAATCTTCTCACAGGGTTAAAGTTTTCTTTTGATTCAACACTTTGGAAACACCTTTTTTCTCAATTCTGTGAATGAACATTTGGGAGCTTATTGAGGCCAATGGCAAAAAGCTAATATCCCAGGATAAAAACTGGAAGAAAGCTGTCTTAGTAACAACCTTGTTATGTGTGCCACCATCTCACAGAGTTAAAACTGTCTTATGATTCAGCAGTTTGGAAACACTGTTTGTGTCCATTCTGTGAGTGGATATTTGGGAGATCTTTGAGACCAATGGCAAAAAAACAAATATCCCAGGATAAAAACTAGAAGGAAGCTCTCTGATAAACTGCTTTGTGATGTATGCATTCATCTCATAGAGTAAAACCTTTGTTTTCATTCAGGAGTTTGGAAACTCTGTTTTTGTAGAATCTGCAAAGGGATATATGGGAGCGCATTGAGGCTTACATTGAAAGGGAAAATATCTTCAGATAAAAACAAGTAAGAAGCTTTCTGAGAAACTGCTTTGGAGGTGTGCATTCATTTCATTCATTCATTTCATTTCATTTTCCAAGAAAGATTTAAGCCTTTCTTGGAATCAGCTGTCTGGAAACACTCTTATTGTCTATTCTGTGAAAGGATATTTGGCAGCTCATTGAGGCCTATGACATAAAAGCAAATATCCCAAGAAAAAAACTACTAGGAAGCTACTGGAGAAACCACTTTGTGATGTGTGCATTTATCTCACAGAGTTAAAAATTTGATTTCTTTCAGTAGTTTGAAAACACTATTTTTGTAGAATCTGCAAAGGTATATTTGGGAGTGCTTTGAGGACTATGTTGAAAAAGGAAATATCTTCAGATAAAAACTAGATAGAAGCTTTTTGAGAAACTACATTGTGATATGTGCATTCATCTCACAGAGTTAAACCTTTCTTTTGACTCAGCAGTTTGGAAACACTGCTTTTGTCCATTCTACAAATATTCATTCAGGAGATTATTGAGGCCATTGGCAAAAAACCGAATATCCAGGAATAAAAACTAGAAGGAAGGTATCTGAAAAACTGCTTTGTGATGTGCACATTCATCTCACAGAATTAAACCTCACTTTTCCTTCAGCAGGTTCTAAGCACTGATTTTGTAGAATCTGCGAAGCAATATTTGGGGGTGCATTCTCGCCAATGGTGAAAAATAAATTTTAGATAAAAAAGAAAGAATTTTTCTGAGAATCTTCTTTGTGATGTGTGTATTCATCTCACAGAGTTAAACCATTCTTTTATTCAGCAGTTTGGAAACACAGTTTTTGTCCATTTTGCGAATGCACATGTTGGAGCCCACTTAGGCCAATGGTGATAAAGCGAATATCCCAGGATAAAAAGTAGAAAGAAGCTATTGGAGAAAGTGCTTTGTGATGTGTGCATTGACCTCACAGAGTTAAACCTTTCTTTCCATTCAGCAGTTTGGACACACTGTTTTTGTAGAATCTGCAAAGAGATATTTGGGAGTGCATAGAGGCCTAAGGTGAAAAAGTTAACATATGAAGTTAAAAACTAGAAAGAAGTTTTCTAAGAACCTGCTTTGAGAAGTGTGCTTTCCCCTAACAGAGTTAAAACATTCTTTTGATTCAGCAGTTTGGAAACACGTTTTTGTCCATTCTGCAAATGGACATTTGGGAGCTCATTGAGGCCAATGGTGAAAAAATGAATACCCCAGATAAAAACTAGAAGGAAGACGTCTGAGAAACTGCTTTGTGATGTAAGCATTCATCTCACAGAGTTAAGCCTTTCTTTTCATTCAACAATTTGCAAAAACTGTATTCATAGAAACTGTGAAGGGATATTTGGGAGCGCACTGAAGCTTATGGTGAAAAAGGAAACATCTTCAGACAGAAACTAGAAAGAAGCTTTCTGAGAAACTGCTTTGTGATGTGTCCATTCATCTCACAAAGTTAAACATTTTTCTGGATTCAGCAGTTTGCAAACACTGCTTTTGTCCATTCTGTGAGTGTACATTTGGGAGCTCATTGAGGCCAGTGGCGAAAAACTGAATATCCGAGGATAAAAACTGGAATGAAGATATCTCAGAAACTGCTTTGTGACGTGTGCATGTACCTCGCAGAGATAAACTTTGTTTTCATTCAGTAGTCTGGAAACAATGTTTTGGGGGAATCCACAATGGGATATTTGGGAGTGCATTGAGGTCTAGGGTGAAAAAGTAAATATATTCACATAGAAACTAGAAAGAAGCATTCCAATAAACTACATTGTGATGTATGCATTCAGCTGACAGAGTGAAACATGTCTTTGGATTCAGAAGTTTGGAAACACTGTTGTTGTGGAATTTGCGAAGGGATATTTGGGAGCTCACTGAGGCCAAAGGTGAAAAAGAAAATATCCCCAGAAAAGAACTAGAAGGAACCTATCTGAGAAACTGCTTTGTGATGTGTGGATTCATCTCTCAGAGATAAACCCTTCCTTTCATTCAGCAGTTTGTAAACACTGTTTTTGTAGTATCTGTGAAGTTATAATTGGGATCACATTGAGGCATAAGATGAAAAAGGAAATACCTTCAGATATAAACTAGAAAGAAACTTAATGAGAAACTGCTTTGTGATGTGTGCATTCATCTCACTGAGATGAACATTTCTGTGGATGCAGCAGTTTGCATAAACTCTTTTTGTCCTTTCTGCAAATGGATATTTGGGGGCTCATTTGGCTTCAGCCAATGGTGAAAAAGCAAATATTCCAGGATAAAAACCAAAAGGAAGCTATTTGAGAAACAGATTTGTGTGTGTGCATTCACCTCACAGAGTTAAACATTTCTTTTAATTCAGCAGTTTGGAACCACTGTTTTTGTAGAATTTGTGAAGGGATATTTGGGAGCTCATGGAGGCCAAGGGAGAAAAAGTGATTATCCCAGGATAAAAACGAGAAGGAAGCCATTTAAGAGACAGCTTTGTGATGTGTGCATTCTTCTCACAGAGTTAAACATTTCCATTCATTCAGCAGTTTGGAAACACTGTTTTTGTAGAATCTGTGATGTCATAATTTGGAGCACATTGAGGCCAATAGTGAAAAAGGAAACATCTTCAGATAAAAACTAAAAAGAAGCATTCTGAGAAACTGCATTGTGATGTGTGCATTCATCTCACAGAGGTAAAACTTTCTGTGGATTCAAGAGTTTGCAAACACTGTTTTTGTCCATTCTGTGAATGGACATTTGGGAGCTCATTGAGGCCAATGTAGTAAAAGGGAATATCCCAGGATAAAAACTAGAAGGAAGATATAAAGAAGTCACTTTGTGATGTGTGCATTCACCTCGCAGCTGTAAATCTTTCCTGTCATTCAGCAGTCTGGAAACACTGTTTTGGCAGAATCCACAAAAGGATATTTTGGAGCACATTGAAGCCTTGGGTGAAAAAGGAAATATCTTCAGATAGAAACTAGAAAGATTTCTGAGAAACTACTTTGTGATGTGTACATTCAGCTGACAGAGTTTAACCTTTCTGTGGATGCAGCAGTTTAGGAAAACAGTTGTTGTAGAATCTGTGAAGGGATGTTTGGGAGCTCATTGAGGCCAAATTCGAAAAAGTGAATATCCTAGGAAAAAAAACTAGAAGGAAGTTATCTGAGAAACTGCTTTGAGATGTGTGCATTCACCTCTAAGCTTTAAAAAATTCTTTTTATTTATCATTATGTTTACACTGTTTTTGTAGAATCTGTGATGTTATATTTGAGAGCACTTTGAGGCCTAAGGTGAAAAGGGAAATATCTTCAGATAAAAACTAGAAAGAAGCTTTCTGAGAATTGTTTTCTTTTATGTGTGCATTCATCTCACAGAGTTAAATATTTCAGTGAATTCAGCAGTGTGCAAACACTGGTTTTGTCCATTCTGAAAATAGACATTTGGAAACTCATTGAGGCCAATGGCAAAAAAGTGAACATACCAGGATATAAACTAGAAGGAAGCTCTTTGAGAAACCACTTTTTGATGTGTGCATTCATCCCACAGAGGTAAACCATTCTTTTCATTCAGCAGTTTGTAAACTCTGTTTTGGTAGAATCCAAAGGGATATCTGGGAGTGCATTGAGGTCTATGGTGAAAAAGGAAATATCTACTGATAAAAACTAGAAAGAAGCTTTCTCAGAAATGGCTTTGTGATGTGCACATTCACCTAAGAGAAGTAAACATTACTTTGGATTCAGCTATTTGGAAACACTGCTTTTGTCCGTTCTGCAAATGGATATTTTGGGAGCTCATTGAGGCCAATGGTGAAAAAGAAAATATCCCAGGATAAATTTGGAAGACAGCTCTCTGAAATCGTTCTGTGATGTGTGCATTCACCTCGCAGAGTTAAATCTTTATTTTCATGCAGCTGTCTGCAAACACTGTTTTGGCAGAATCTGTGAAGGGATATTTGGGAGTGCATTGAGGCTTATGGTGAAAAAGGAAACATCTTCAGATAAAAATTAGAAAGAAGTTTTCCGAGAAACAGCTTTGTGATGTTTGCATTCAAAATGCAGAGTTAAACTTTTGTTTTTATTCAGCAGTTTGGAAACACTGTTTTGGTGGGATCTGTAAAGGGATATTTGGGAGCACTTTGAGGCTTATGGTGAAAAAGGAAATATCTTCAGATTAAAAACTAGGAAGAAATTTTCTGAGAAACAGCTTTGTGATGTGTCCATTCATTGCACAGACTTAAACCTTTCTTTGGATTCAGCACCTTGGAAACACTGTTTTTGTCCACTCTACCAACGGACATTTTTGGAGTTCCTTCAGGCCAATGGCGAATAAGCAATATCCCAAAATAAAAAGAAGAATAAAGCTATCTGAGAAACTGCCTTGTTATATGTGCATTCATTTTGTTTTTATCCTGGGACATTCACCTTTTTGCCACTTTCCTCAATGAGCTCCAAATCTTCCCTTCCGTGAATGGATAAAAACAGCGTTTCCAAACTGCTGAATCCAGAGAAAGTTTTAACTCTGTGAGATGAATGCAAACATCAGAAGGTTGTTTCTCAGAAACCTTCTTTCTAGTTTTTATCTTAAGACATTTCCTTTTACACCTCAACCCTCAATGCACTCCCAAATATCCCTTCACAGATTCTACCAAAACAGTGTCTCCAAACTGCTGAATCCATAGAACAGTTTACCTGTGTGAGATGAATGCACACATCAAAAAGCAGTTTCCAAGAAAACTTCTTTCTAGAATTTATTTGAAGATATTTGCTTTTTCACCTTAGGCCTCAATGCACTCCCAAATATCCCTTCGCAGTTCCTACCAAGACAGTTTTTTTCAAAAAGCTGAATGAAAAGTTTAACTCTGTGAGATGAATGCACACATCACAAAGCAGTTGGTCAGATATCTTCCTTCTAATTTTTATCTTGGGATACACGCTTTTTTTGCCTTTGGCCTAAATTAGATCCCAAATGTCCATTTGCAAAATGGAGAAAAACAGTGTTTCCAAAAATGCTGAATCCAAAGAAAGATTTAACTCTGTGAGATGAGTGCACATACAACAAAACAATTTCTCAGAAAGCTTCTTTCTCATTTTTATCTGGAGGTATTTCCTTTTTAACCATAGGCCTCAATGCTCTCCCAAATATGCCTTCTGAGATCCTACAAAAACAGTGTTTCCAAACTGCTGAATGAGGAGAAGGTTTAACTCCGATTGATCAATGTACACATCACAAAGCAGTTTCTCAGATTGCTTCCTTGTAGTTTTTAGCCTGGGATATTTTTTTACGCCTGTATCATGAATGAGCTCCCAAATATCCCTTTGCAGATTTTACAAACACAGCATTTCCAATATGCTGAATACAAAGAAAGGTTTAACTCTGTGAGATGAATGCACACATCACAAAGCAGTTTCTCAGAACCCTTCTTTCTAGATTTTATCTGAAGATATTTCTTTTTTCAGCCTAGTCCTCAATGCACTCCCATATGTTCCTTCACAGATTCTACAAAATGAGTTTCCAAACTGCTGAATTAAGAGAAATGTTTAACTCTGAGAGATGAATTCACACATCCAAAGTGGTTTGTCAGATAGCTTCCTTCTACTTTTTATCTTGGGATATTCACTTTTTCACAATTGGCCTCAAAGAGCTACAACAAACCCCTTTGCAGATTCTACAAAAACAGTGTTTCCAATCTACTGATTCCAAAGAAAGGTTTAACTGTGTAAGACGGATGCACACATCACAAAGCAGTTTGTCAGAAAGATTCTTTCTAGTTTTTATTTGAAGATATTTCTTTTTTCACCATAGGCCTCTATGTGCTCCCAAATATCCCTTCGCAGATTCTATGAAAACAGTGTTTCCAAACAGCTGAATGAAAAGTAAGGTTTAACTGTGCAAGATGAATGCACACAACACAAAGCACTTTCTCATATAGCTTCCTCTTGTTTCTTGTTTTTATCCTAGGATATTCACTTTTTTGCCATTGGCCTCAATCAACTTCCGAATGTCCATTCACAGAATGGACAAAAACAGAGTTTCCAAACTGCTGAATAAAAAGAAAGCTTTAACACTGTGAGATGAATACACATATCACAAAGCAGTTTCTCAGAAAGCTTCTTTCTAATTTTTATCTGAAAATATTTCCTTTATTCCCATAGACCTGAAAGTGCTCCCAAATATTCCTTTGCAGATTCTCAAAACAGTGTTTCCAAACTGCTGAATGAAAAGACAAGTAAGTCTGTGAGATGAATGCACACATCACAAAGTGGTTTCTCAGATAGCTTCCTTCTAGTATTTACCCTGGGATATTCACTTTTTTTCCTTTGGCCTCAAAGAGCTCCCAAATAGTGCTTCACAGATACTACAAACAAAGTGTCTCCAAACTACTAAATTCAAAGAGAGTTTTAACCCTGTGTGTTGAGTGGAAACGTTACAAAGCTGTTTCTCAAATGCTTCTTTCTGGTTTTTCTGACGTTTTTATCTGAAGATATTTCCCTATGCACAATTGGCCTCAAAGCCCTCTGAAATATTCCTTCATACATTCTAAAAAACAGAGTTTCCAAAGGGCTGAATGAAACGACAAGTTTAACTCTGTGAGATGAAGGCACACAACACAAACCGATTTCTCAAATAGCTTCCTTGTAGTTTTTATCATGGGATATTCACTTTTTCGCAATTAACCTCAATGAGCTTCAAAATGTTCATTCGCAGAAGAGACAAAAACTGTGTTTCCAAACTGTTGAATCCATAGAAAGTTTAACTCTGTGAGATGAGTGCAAACATCCGAATGCAGTTTCTCAGAAAACTCCTTTCTAGTTTTTATCTCAAGATATTTCCTTTTTCGCCATAGGCTTCAATGCACTTCTAAACATACCTTCTCAGATTCTGCAAAAACATTGTTTCCAAACTGCTGAAAGAAAACTAAGGTTTAACTCTTTGAGTAGAATACACACATCAGAAAGCATTTTCTCTGATAGCTTCCTTCTAGTTTTTATACTGGGATATTCACTTTATCACCATTGGCCTCAATGAGCTCCCAACTGTCCATTCACAGAACAGACAAAAACACTGTTTGAAACTGCTGAATCCAAAGATAGTTTTAATTCTGTGAGACAAATGCAAACAACACAGAGCAGTTTCTCATAAAGCTTCTTTCTAGTTTTTATCTGAAAGCATTCACTTTTTCACCATAGGCCCCAAAGTGCTCCCCAATAGCCCTTCGCAGATACTACAAAAAAATTGTTCCCAAACAGCTGAAAGAGAACGAAAGTTTAACTCTTCCAGATGAATACACACATCACAAAGCAGTTTCTCAGACAGCTTCCTTCTACTTTTTATCCTGGGATATTCACTTTTTCCCCATTGGCCTCAATCAGCTCCCAAATGTCCATTCACAGAATGGACAATATCAGTGTTTAAAAACTGCTGAATCCAAAGAAAGTTTTAACACAGTGAGATGAATACACATCACAAAGCAGTTTGGGAGAATGCTTCTTGCTAGTTTTTATATGAAGATATTTACTTTTTCACCATAGGCCTCAATGAACTCCCAAATATCCCTTCGCAGATTCTACAAAAACAGTGTTTCCAAACTGCTGAATATAAAGAAAAGTGTAAACTTGGAAGATAAATGCACTCATCATAAGGCATTTCCTCAGAGAGTTTCCTTCTACTTTTTATACACTTTTTTGAAATTGGCCTCAAAGAGCTCCCAAAAGTTCACTCAGAGGATGAACAAAAACAGTATTTCCAACCTGATGAATCCAAAGAAGTGTATAACTCTTTGAGATGAATGCGCACATCTCAAAGCAGTTTCTTAGAAAACTTCCTGTGAGTTTTTATCATTAGATGTTTCCTTTATCACTATAGGCCTCAATGCACTCCCAAATATCCCTTGGCAGATTCTATAAAAACAGTGTTTCCAAACTGCTGAATGAAAAGAATGGCTTAAATATGCGAGATCAATGCCCACATCACAAAGCAGTTTCTCAGATGGCTTATCATGGAATATTCACTTTTCTCCCATTGGCCTCCATGAGCTCCCAAATGTCCATTTACAGAATGGACAAAAACAGTGTTTCCAAACTGCTGAATCCAAAAATAGTTTTAAATTGGTTAGTTGAATGCACACGTCACAAAGCAGTTTCTCAGAAATCTTCTTACTATTTTCTATCTGCAGGTACTTCCTTTTTCAACAAAGGCCTAAAAGCGCTCCCAAATCTCCCTTTCCAGATTCTACAAAAAAAGTTGTTTCCAAACTGCAGAATGAGAAGAAAGGTTTAACTCTGCGAGATGAATGTACAAATCACAAAGCAGTTTCTCAAATACCTTCCTTCTAGTTTTTATCTTGGGATATTCCCTTTTTCCCCATTGTCCTCAATGAGTTCCCAATTGTCCATTCACAGAAAGCACAAAAACAGTGTTTCCAAACTACCAAATCAAAGAAAGTTTTATCTCTGTGAGATGAATGCACTCATCACAAAGCAGTTTATCAGAAGACTTCTTTCTAATTTTTACTTGAAGATATTTCATTTTTCACCATAAACCTTAGTGGTTCACAAATATCCCTTTGCAGATTCCACAAATACACTGTTTACGAACTGCTGAATGAAAACAAAGGTTTAATTCTGCAAGATGAATGCACACATCACAAAGTGGTTTCTCGGGTAGCTTCCATCTAGTTTTTATCCTAGGATATTCACTTTTTTGGGCAGTGACTTCAATGAGCTCCCAAATATTCATTGGTAGAATGGACAAAAACAGTGTTTCCAAACTGCTGAATCAAAAGAAACTTTGAAATCTGTGAGATGAATGCACACATCACAAAGTGGTTTTTCAGGTAGATTCTTTGTAGTTTTTATCATTTGATATTCACTTTTTTGCCATTTAAATCAATGAGCTCTGAAATGTCTATTCGCAGAATGGAAATAAACAGTGTTTCCAAACTGCTGAATGAAAACAAAGCTTTAACTCAGTGAGATGAATGCACACATCACAAAGCAGTTTCTGAGGAAGCTTCTTTCCACTATTTATTGGAAGATATTTTCTTTTTTACCAGAGTCTTCAATGCAATCCCAAAAATACCTTGGCAGATCCTACAAAAAGAGTGTTTCAAACTGCTGAAACAAAAGAAAAGTGTAACTCTTTGAGATGAAAACACACATAACAAAGCAGTTTCACACATTACTTATTTCAAGTTTTAACTGAAGATATTTTGTTTTTCACCATAGCCCTCAATGCGTTCCCAAATATTTCTTCTCAGATACTACAAAAACAGTGTTTCCAAACGTCTGAATGAAAAGAAAGCTTTAACTTGGTGAGATGAATGCACACATGACAAAACTGTTTCTCAGATGGCTTCCTTATCATTTTTATCCCGGAATATCTGCTTTTTCATGCTAAGCATTAATGGTCTCCCAAATGTCTACTCACAGAATGGACAAAAACAGAGTTTCAAAACTGCTGAGTTAAAAGAAAGGTTTCACTTTGTGAGATGAAGGCACATGTCTCTAAGCTTTTACTCTGATAGCTTCCTTCTTTTTTATCCTGGGATATTCACTTTTTGCATTAAACATCAATGGGCTCCAAAATGTCCATGTGCAGAATGGACAAATACAGTGTTTCCAAACTACTGAATCAAAAGGAAGATTTAACTATGTGAGATGAATGCACACATCACAAAGAGGTTTCTCAGATAGCTTCATTCTAGTTTTTATCCTGGTATATTCAATTTTTCACCATTGGCAACAATGAGCTGCCAAATGTACTTTCACAGAATGAACAAAAACAGTGTCTCCAAATTGCTGAATCAAAAGATAGTTTTACCTCTTTGAGTTGAATGCAGACATCACAAAGCAGGTTCTCAGAAAGATTCTTTCTAGATTTTATCTGAATATATCTTCTTTTCCAGCTTATGCCACAATGTGCTCCCAAATAGCCCTTTGCAGATTCTACAAAAACAGTGTTTCTGAACTACTGAAAGAAAAGAAAGCTTAATTCTACAAGATGAATGATCACATCACAAAGCAGTTTCACAGATAGGTTTTTTCAAGCTTTTATCCTGGGATTTTTGCTGTTTCTGAGAAACTGCTTTGTGATGAGTGCATTCGTCTCAAAGAATTAAAACTTTCTTTTGATTTAGCAGTTTGGAAACACGGATTTTGTCCATTCTGCAAATGGAAATTTGGAAGCTCTTTGAGGCCAAGGCAAGAAAACGCATATCCCATTATAAACCATAGAATTAAGCTATATGAGAAATCGTATTGTGATGTGTGCATTCATCTGGCAGATTTAAACCTTTGTTTTCTTTCAGCAGTATGAAAACACTTTTTGTCCATTCTGCCAGTGGAAATGTGGGAGGTCGTTGAGGACGAGTTAGTGGATGCAGTGCACCAGCATGGCACATGTATACATATGTAACTAACCTGCACAATGTGCACATGTACCCTAAAACTAAAAGTATAATAAAAAAAAGAATAAAACATAAAAAAAAGAGGCCAACAGCAAAAAATAAATTTTCCCAGGAAAAAAACTAGAAGGAATCTCTCTGGGAAACTGCTTTGTGATGTGTGCATTCATCTCACAGAGTTAAACCTTACTTTTCATTCAGCAGTTTGGAAACACTGCTTTTCTAGAATCTGCAAAGGGATGTTTGGGCTTGCATTGAGGCCTACAGTGAATAAGAAAATGTCTTCAGATGAAAACTAGAAAGAAGCTTTCTAAGAAACTGCAATGTAATGTGTGCATTCAGCTCTCAGAGTGAAATCTTTCTTTTGATTCAGTAGTAGGGAAACATTTCTTTTGTCCATTCTGCAAATGATCATTTGGGAGCTATTGAGGCCAATGGTGAAAAATCAAATATTCCAGGATAAAAACTATAAGAAAGCCTTGTGAGAAACCGCTTTGTGATGTGTGCACTCATCTGCAAAGTTTACTTTTCTCTTCATTCAGCAGTTTGAAAACACTGTTTTTGTAGAATCTGTGAAGTGATATTTGAGAGCACTTTGAGGCTTATGGTGAAAAAAATTATCTTCAGATAAAAAGTACAAAGAAGCTTTCTGAGAAACTGCTTTGTGATGGGTGCATTCATCTCACAAATTTCAACCTTTCTTTGGATTCCACACTTTGGAATCCAAAGTTTTTATCCATTCTATCAAAGGATATTTGAGAGGTCATTGAGGCCAAAGGCCAAAAAGCAAATATCCCTGGATAAAACTAGAATGAAGCTATCTGAGAACCTTCTTTGTCATGTGTGCATTCATATCACAGAGTTAAATCATTTTTTTATTCAGTAGTTTGGAAAATCTTTTTTTGTAGAATCTGTGAAGGTGTATTTGGGAGAGCATTGAGGACTCTGGTGAAAAAGAAAGTATCTTCTAAAAAAATAGAAAGAAACTTTCTGAGAAACCACTTTGTGATGTGTACATTCATTTCACAGAATTAAACCATTCTCTTCTTCCAGCCGTTTGGAAAGACTGTTTTTATAGAATCTGTGCAGCTATATTAGGGAGTGCATTGAGGCCCATGGTGAAACAGGAAATATCTTCAGATAAAAACTCGAAAGAAGCTTTCTGAGAAACTGCTTTCTGATGTTGGCATTCATTTCACAGAGTAAAACGTTTCTTTGGACTCAGCAGTTTAGAAACACTGTTGTAGAACCTACGAAGGGATATTTGGGAGCTCACTGAGGCCAATGGCAAAAAGGCAACTATCCCTGGAAAAAAACTAAAAGGAAGCTATCTGAGAAACTGCTTTGTGATGTGTGCATTCATCTTGCAGAGTTAAACCTTTCTTTTCTTTCAACAGTTTGGAAACACTGTTTTTGTAGTATCTCTGAGGGCATATCTGTGAACACATTGAGGTCTAGGGTGAAAAAGGAAATATCTTCAGGTCAAAACTAGAAAGAAGCTTTCAGAGAAATTCCTTCATGATGTGTGCATTCATCTCACAGAGTTAAACGATTCTGTGGAATCAGTCATTTGCAAAGACTGTTTATGTCAATTGTATGAATGGACATTTGGGGGCTCATTGAGTCCAATGGTGAAACAGCAAATATCCCAGGATAAGAACTGAAAGGAAGCTATCCGAGAAACCACTTTGTGAAGTGTGCATTCACCTCACAGATATAAACCTTTCTTTTCATTCAGCAGTCTGGAAACACTCTTTTCGCAGAATCTGCAAAGAGATATTTCATAGCGCATTGAGGCCTATTGTGAAAAAGGAAATAACTTCAGATAAAAACTAGAACGAAGCTTTCTGAGAAACTTGTGATGTGTACATTCATCTCAGAGAGTTAAACCTTTGTTTTCATTCAGCAGTTTGGAACATTGCTTTTGTAGAATCAGCAAAGTTATATTTGGGAGTGCATTGAGGCCTCTGGTGAAAAAAGGAAATATCTTCAGATAAAAACCAGAAAGAAGCTTTCTTTAAAACAGCTTTGTGATGTGTGTATTCATCCCACAAAGATAAATTTTTCTGTGCATTCAGCAGTTTGCAAACACTGATTTTCTCCATTCTGCAAATGGACATTTGGGAGCTCATTGAGGTCAATGGCCAAAAAAAGAATATCTCAGAATAAAAACCAGAAGTAAGCTCTTCAAGAAAGTACTTTGTGATGTGTCCATTCACTATGCAGAGATATACCTTTCTTTACATTCAGCAGTCTGGAAACACTGTTTTGGCAGAATCCACAAAGGAATATTTAGTAGTGTATTGAGGCCTATGGTGAAAAAGCAAATATCTTCAGAAAAAAAAACTAAAAAGAAGCTTTCAGAGAAAGTGCTTTCAGATGTGTGTCTTCTTCTCACAGAATTAAACATTTCTTTTCATTGGGCAGTGTGGAAACACTGTTTTCATAGAATCTGTGAAGTGACATCGGAGAGTATTTTGAGGCCTATGGTGAAAAAGGACATATGTTCAGATAAAAAATGGAAAGAAGCTTTCTGAGAAACTGCTTTGTGATGTGCACATTAATCTCACAGAGTTAAACCTTTCTGTGGATTCAGCAGTTTGCAAACACTGGTTTTGTCCATTCTGCAAATGGACTTTTTGGAGCTCATAGAGGCCGATGGTGAAAAAACAAATAACCCAGGATAAAAACTAGAAGGAAGCTGTCTGAGAAACCACGTGGTGATGTGTGCATTTATCTCACTGAGTTGAAACCGTCTTTTCATTCAGCAGTCTGGAAGCACTGTTTTGCCATAATCTGCAAAGTGACATTTGGGAGCACATAGAAGCCTATGGTGAAGAAGTAAATATCTTCAGATAAAAACTAGAAAGAAGCTTTCTGAGAAACTGCTTTGTGATGTGTGCATTGATCTCACAGAGTTAATCCTTTCTTTGGGTTCAGCAGTTTGGAAACACTGTTGTTGTAGAATCTATGGAGAGATATTTCAGAGCTCATTGAGGCCAACGACAAATAAGAGAATATCTCAGGATAAAAACTAGAAAGAAGCTTTCTGAGAAACTGCTTTGAGATATATGCATTATTCTCACAGAGTTAAACTTTTCTTTGGGTTCAGCATTTTGGAAACACTGTTGTTTTACAATCTGTGAAGGTATATTTGGGAGCTCTTTGAGGCCAGTGGTGAAAAAACGAATATCCCAGCATAAAAACTAGAAGGAAACTATCTGAGAAACAACTTTGTGATGCATGCATTCACCTCACAGGGAGAAAACTTTCTTTTCATACAGCAGTCTGGAAACACTGTTTAGGTAGAAGCCGTGAATGGATATTTGGGAGCTTATTGAGGACAATGGCAAAAAAAAGTGAATATCCCAGTATAAAAACTAGAAAAATCTATTTGAGAAACCAATTTTTGATATGTGCATTCGTCTTGCAGAGATAAATCTTTCTTTTCATTAAGCAGTTTGGAAACACTGTTTTTGTAGAATCTGTGAAGTTATATTTTGGAGTGTATTGAGGACTATGGTTAAAAGGAAATATCTTCAGAAAAATTCTAGAAAGAAGTATTCTGAGAAAGTTCTTTGCGATGTGTGCGTTCATCTCAGAGAGTTAAATATTTCTGTGGATTCAGCAGTTTGCAAACACTTTTTGTGTCCATTCTGCAAATGGACATTTGGGAACTCATTGAGGCCAATGACAAAAAAGTGAATATCCTTGGATAAAAACTAGATGGAAGCTCTTTGAGAAACCTCTTAGTGATGTGTGCATTCATGTCACAGAATTAAACTTTTCTTTTCACTCAGCAGTTTGGAAAAGCTGTTTTCATAGAATCTATAAAGTGATAACTAGGAGCACATTGAGACCTATAATGAAAAAAGAAATATCCCAGGAAAAAAAAACTAGAAAAAACTATCTTAGAAAACACTTTGTGATATGTGTATTCACCTAACAAACAGAGATAAAACATTATTTTGCTACAGCAGTCTGGAAACACTGTTTTGGCAGAATCCACCAAAGGATATTTGGGAGCACAAACAGGCCTATGGTGAAAAAGGAAATATCTTCAGATAAAAATTAAAAAGAAGCTTTGTGAGAAACTGCTTTGTGATATGTGAATTCATCTCACACAGTTAAAACTTTCCTCACAGATTTCAAACTTTCTGTTGATTCAGCAGTTTGCTAACACTGTTTTTGTACATTCTGTGACTGGACATTTGGGAGCCCATT
This sequence comes from Homo sapiens, assembly GCF_000001405.40. Classification (NCBI taxonomy): domain Eukaryota; kingdom Metazoa; phylum Chordata; class Mammalia; order Primates; family Hominidae; genus Homo; species Homo sapiens. The sequence continues at coordinate 55,054,865 of NC_000011.10, read as the reverse complement.
GAGACCAATGGAGAAAAGGCAAATATCTCAGGATGAAAACCAGAAGGAAGCTATCTGAGAAACTGCTCTGTGATGTGGGCATTCTCCTCACAGAGATAAAACTTTCTTTTCATACAGCAGTCTGGAAATACTGTTTTGGCAGAATCTGGGAAGGGATATTTGGGAGCACATTAAGGCCTATGGTTAAAAACGATATATCTTCAGGTAAAAACTAGAAAGAAGCTTTCTGAGAAACTGCTTTGAGATGTGTGCATTCATCTCACAGAGTTCAAACTTTCTGTGGATTCACCAATTTGGAAACACTGTTGTAGAATATTTGAAGGGATATTTGGGAGCTCCTTGTGGCCAGTGTCAAAAATGCAAATATCCCAGCATAAAAACTGGAAGGAAGCTATCTGAGAAACTGATTAATGATGTTTGAATTCACCTCACAGACAAAGCTTTCTTTTATTCAGCAGTCAGGAAACACCATTTTGACAGAATCTGAGAAGGGATATTTGGGAGCGCATTTAGCCCTATGGTGAAAAAAAAAATATCTTCAGATGAAATATAGAAACAAGTTTTCTGCGAAACTGCCTTGTGATGTAGGCAATAATCTCACAGGGTTAAAACTTTCTGTGGGTTCAGCATTTTGCAAACACAGTTTTCATCCATTCTGGAAATGTATATTTGAGAGCTCATTGAGGCCGATGGAAAAAAATGAATATCCCATGATAAAAACTAGAAGGAAGCTCTATGTGAAACTGCTTTGGGGTGTGTGCATTCATCTCACAGAGTTAAACCTTTCATTTCATTCAACAGTTTGAAAACACTTTTTTCAAATAATCTGCAAAGTGATACTAAGGAGCATATTGATGCCTATGGTGAAAAAAGGAAATCTCTTCAAATAAAAACTAGAAAGAAGCTTTCTGAGAGTCTGCTGTGTGATGTGTGCTTTCATCTCACGGAGTTAAACATTTCTGTAGATTCAGCAGTTTGCAAACACTGTTTTGTTCCATTAGGCGAATGGAAAATTTGGAGTTCATTGAGGCCAAGGCCGAAAAAGGAAATATCCCAGCATAAAAACTAGAAGGAAGCTATGTTGGAAACCACTTTGTGATGTGTGAATTCACCTCACAGAGATAAACTTTTCTTTTCATTCAGCAATCTGGAAACACTGTCTTGGCAGAATCCTCCATGGGATATTTGGGAGCACATTGAGGCCTATGGTGAAAAAGAAAATATATTCTGATAAAAAATAGAAAGACACTTTCTGAGAAACTGCTTTGTTATGTGTGCATTCATCTCGCAGAGTTAAACCTTTCTTTTCATTTAGAAGTTTGGAAAAACTTTGTAGAATCTGTGCAGTGATATCTGTGATCACATTGAGTCCTATGGTGAAAAAGGAAATACCTTCAGATAAAAACTATGAAGAAGCTCTTTGAGAATCTGCTTTGTGATGTGTTCATTCATCTCACAGAGTTAATCCTTTCTATGGATTCAGACATTTGCTAACACTGCTTTTGTCCATTCTGCAAAGACATATTAGGGAGCGCGTTGAGTCCTATGGTGAGAAAGAAAATATCTTCACATAAAAATTAGAAAGTTTCCGAGAAACTGCTTTGTTATATGTGCATTCATCTCCCAGAGTTAAACCTTTCTTTGGACTCAGCAATTTGGAAACCCTGTAGTTTTAGGATCTCCAAAGGCATATTTGGGATCTCATTAAAGTGAATGTCGAAAAAGCGAACACCCAAGGAAAAAAACTAGAGGGAAGCAATCTGAGAAACTGCTTTCTGATATGTGCATTCATCTCACAGAGTTAAATTTTTTTTTCAGTCTTCACTTTGGAAACACTGTTGTTGTAGAATCTGTGAAGGGATATCTGGGAGCTTATTGAGGCCAAATGTGAAAAAGCAAATATCCCATTATAAAAACTGGAAGGAAGCTATCTGAGAAACCACTTTGTGATGTGTGCATTCACTTCACTGAAATAAATCTTTCTTTTAATTCAGCAGTCTGGAAACACTGTTTTTGTCCATTCTGCAAGTGGACGTTTAGGAGCTCATTGAAGCCAATGACAAAGATGTGAATATCCCATTATAAATATTGGAAGGAAGCTATCTGAGATAAAGCTTTGTGATGTGTGTGCGCATTCACCTAGCAGAGTTAAAACCTTCTTTTCATTCAGTAGTCTGGAAACCCTGTTATGGCATGATCTGTGAAGTGATATTTATGATCACATAGAGGCCTACGGTGAAAAAGGAAATCTCTTCAGATAAAAACTAGAAAGAAGCTTTCTGGGAAACTGCATTGTGATATGTGAATTCATCTCACAGAGTTAAACATTTATTTGAATTCAACAGTTGGAAACACTGCTGTTGTAGAATATCTGAAGGTATATTAGGGAACTCATTGAGGTCCATAGCAAAAAAGTGAATATCCCAGGACAAAAAGTTGGGAAATCATCTGAGAAACTGCTTTGTGATGTGTGCATTCACCTCACAGAGTTAAACCTTTCTTTTCATTCAGCAGTTTGGAAAGACTGTTTTTGTGGAATCTGCAAAGGGCTATCTGGGAGCGCATTGAGGCTTATGGTGAAAAATGAAATATCTTCAGATAAAAACTAGAAATAAGCTATCTGAGAAACTGCTTTGCAATATGTGCATTCATCTCACAGACTTAAACCTTTCTGTGGATTCAGCTGTTTGCAAACACTGTTTTTGTCCATTCTGCAAGTAGACATTTCAACGTTCATTGGGGCAATGGCAAAAAATAGAATATCCCAGAATAAAAACTAGAAGGAAACTATCTGAGATACGGATTTGTGATGTGTGCATTCACCTAGCAGAGTTAAAGCCTTCTTTTCATTCAGCAGTCTGGAAACGCTCTTTTGGTAGAATCCACGAAGGGATACTTGGGAGCACATAGAGGCCTATGGTAAAACAGGAAATATCTTCGGATAAAAACGAGAAAGAAGCCTTTTGAGAAACTGCTTTGAGATGTATGCATTCAACTCACATAGTTAAGCCTTTCTTTGGATTCAGCAGTTTGGAAACACTGTTGTTGTAGAGGTGAAAGTATATATGAGAGCTCATTGCTGCCAATGGCGAGAAAGCAAATATCAAAGGTAAAAACTAGAAGGAAGTTTTCTGAGAACCCCTTTGTGATGTGTGCATTCACCTTGCAGAGTTAAAACTTCTTTTTATTCAGCAGTCTGGAAACACCATTTTTGTAGAAATGGTGAAGTAGTGTTTTGGAGTGCATTGAGGCCTATGGTGAAAAAGGAAATATCATCAGATAAAAACTAGAGAGAAGCTTTCTGAGAAACTGCTTGGTGATTTAAGCTTTCATCTCACACCGTTAAACCTTTCTGTGGATTCAGCAAATTGCAAACACTGCTTTTGTCCATTGGGCAAATTGACATTTGGGAGCTCATTGAGGCCAATGACAAAAAAAAGAATATCCCAGGGTGAAATCTGGAAGGAATCTATCATCTGAGAAACCGCTTAGTGATGTGAGCATGCACCTTGCAGAGATAAACCTTTCTTTTCATTCAGCAGTCTGGAAACACTGTTTTTGCAGAATCTGCGATGGGATATTTCGGAGTGCTTTATGGCCTATGGTGAAAAAGGAAATATCTTCACATAAAAAGTAGAAAGAAGCTTTCTGAGAAAATGCTTTATGATGTGTGCATTCTTTTTACAAAGTTAAACCTTTCTTTGGGTTCAGCAGTTTGGAAACACTGTTTTCGTAGCATCTGTGAAGGGAATTCTATGAGTGCATTGATGCCTATGGTAAAAAAGGAAATATATCCAGATAAAACCTAGAAAGAAGCTTTGTGAGAAACTGATTTGTGATGTGCGCATTTACCTCACAGAGTTAAACATTTCTATGGATTCAGCAGTTTACAAACACTGTTTTGTGCATTCTGAGATTGGACATTTTTACCTCATTGAGGCTAATGGCAAAAAAGAAAATATCCCAGGATAAAAACTGGAAGGAAGCTATTTGAGAAATGCCTTCGTGATGTGTGTATTCAGCTCACAAAGGTAAATCTTTTTTTTTTTTTCATTCAGCAGTGTAGAAACACTGTTTTGGCAGAATCTATGAAGGGATACTGGGGAGCTCATAGAGGCCTATGGTGAAAAAGGAAATATCTTCAGATTAAAACTAGAAAGAAGCTTTATGAGAAACTGATTTGTGATGTGTGCATTCATCTTGCAGAGTTAACCCTTCTTTTTCATTCAGCAGTTTGGAAACACTCTTTTCCTAGAATCTGCAAAGTGATCTTGGAGCACATAAAGGCCTATGATAAAAAAGGAAAACTCTTTTTTTTTTGGAGATGGAGTCTTGCTCTGTCACCCAGGCCAAAGTGCAGTGGTGCAATCTTGGCTCATTGCAAGCTCCACCTCCCAGGTTCACACCATTCTCCTGTCTCAGTCTCCTGAGCAGCTGGGACTACAGGTGCCCACCACCATGCCTGGCTAATTTTTTGTATTTTTAGTAGAGACGGGGTTTCACCGTGTTAGCCAGGATGGTCTCAATCTCCTGACCTTGTGATCTGCCCACCTCAACCTCCCAAAGTGCTGGGATTACAGTCTTGAGCCACCGTGCCTGGCCAAAAAAGGAAATCTCTGCAGACAAAAAGTAGAAAGAAGCTTTCTGAGAAACTGCTTTGTGATGTGTTCATTCATCTCACAGGGTTAATCCTTCCTGTGTATTCAGTAGTTTGCATCCACTGTTTTTGTCCACTCTGTGAATGGATATTTGGGAGCTCTTTCAGGTCAAAGGTGAAAAAGCAAATATCCCATGATAAAAACTAGAAAGAAGCTATCAGGAAACTGCTTTGTGATGTGTGCATTCATCTCACAGAGATAAAACTTTCTTTTTATTCAGTAGTCTGGAAACACTCTTTTGGCTGAATCTGTGAAGGGATATTTGGGAGCGCATAGAGGCATATGGTGAAAAAGGAAATAGCTTCAGATAAAACTAGAAAGAAACTTTCTGAGAAACTGCTTTGTGATGTGTGCATTCATCTCACAGAGTTAAACTTTTCTTTGGATTCAGCAATTTGGAAACCCTGTTGTTTTTTAATCTGCAAAGGGATATTTGGGAGCTTTCTGAGGCCATAGGAGAGAAAGGGAATATCCCAGGAAAAAAAAACCAGAAGGATGCTATCTGAGAAACCGCTTTGTGATATGTGCATTCATCTGTCAGAGTTAAACTTTTCTTTTCATTCATCAGTTTGGAAACACTATTTTTGTAGAATCTGAGAAGCTATATTTCTGAGTGCTTTGTGGTCTATGGTGAGAAAGGAAATATCTTCAGATAAAAGCTAGAATGAAGCTTTCTGAGAAAATGCTTTGTGATGTGTGCATTCGTCTCACAGAGTTAATCCTTTCTGTGGAATCAGCAGTTTGGAAACACTGTTTTTGTCCATTCTGTGAAAGGACATTTGGGAGCTCTCTGGGGCCAATGGTGAAATAGCGAATATCACAGGATAAAAACTAGAAAGAAGTGATCTGAGAAACTGCTTTGTGATGTGTGGCATTCACCTCACTGATTTAAACATTTCTTTGCATACAGCTGCCTGGAAATACTGTTTTGACAGAATCCATGAAGGGATATTTGGGAGACCTTTGTGCCCCCTGCTGAAAAAGGAAATATCTTCAGGTAAAAATTAGAAAGAACATTTCTAAGAAACTGCTTTGTGATGTGTGCATTCATCTCACAGAGTTACACTTTTCTTTGGATTCAGTAGTTTGGAAACACTGTTTTTGTAGAATCTGTGAAGGGATATTTGGGAGCTCCTTGAGGCCAATGGCGAAAAAGTGATATGCTAGGATGAAAACAAGAAGGACGCTATCTGAGAAATCAATTTGTGATATAAGCATTCACCTCACAGAGTTAAAACTTGCTTTTCATTCAGCACTCTTGTGACACTGTTTTGGCAGAATACATGAAGGGATATTTGGGAGCCCATAGAGTCCTAAGGAGAAAAAAGAAATATCTTCACAAAAAACTAGAAAGAAGATTTCTGAGAAACTGCTTTGAGACGTGGGTACTCATCCCACATAGGTCAACCTTTCTTTGCAATCTGCAGTTTGGAAACACTGTTATTTTGGAACCTGATAACGTATATTTGGGAGTTCATCAAGGCCAATGACAAAAAAGCAATTATCCCAGGATAAAAATTAGAAGGAAGCTATGTGAGAAACGGCTTTTTGATGTGTGTATTCGTCTCGCAGATTTAAAGCTCTCTTGTCATTCACCAGTTAGGAAAGACTGTTTTCACAGAATCTGCGAACAGATATCTGGGAGTGCACAGAGGCCTATGCTGAAAAAGGAAATATCTTCAGATAAAAACTGGAAAGAAGCTTTCTGAGAAACTGCTTTCTGATGTGTGCATTTAAGTCACAGAGTTAAACCTTACTATCATTCAGTAGCTTGAAAAACAGTTTCTGTTCATTTTGTGAATGGACTTTTAGGAGCTCTTTGACATAAATGGTGAAATAGCTAATATCCCAGGATGAAAATCAGAAGGAATCTACTTGAAAAACTGCTTTGTGATGTGTGCATTCATCTTGCAGATTTAAACCTTTCTTTGGATTCAGGAATTTGGAAACACTGTTTTTGTAGATCCTGTGAGGTTATACTTGGGAGCTTAATGAAGCCAAAGAGGAAAAACTGAATATCCCAGGATAAAAAGCAGATGGAAATTATCTGAGAAACCACCTTGTGATGTGTGCATTCACCTCGCAAAGTTAAACCTTTCTTTGGATTCAACAGTTTGGAAAACTGTTTTTGTAGAATCTGCAAGGTTGTAAAGTCACATTGAGGCCTACGGTGAAAAACGAAATATCTTCAGATAAAAACTACAAAGAAGCTTTCTGAGAAACTGCTTTGTGATTTGTGCATTCACCTCACAGAGCTAATTCTTTATGTGGATTCTGCAGTTTGTAAACACTGTTTTTGTCCATTCTGCAAATGGACATTTAGGAGCCCTTTTTGTCAAATGGCAAAAAAGCAAGTTTACCAGGTTAAAAACTAGAAGGAAGCTATTTGAGAAACATCTTTGTGATTTGTGCATTCATCTCACAGAATTAAACCTTTCTTTTCATTCAGCAGTATTGAAACACTGTTTTTGTAGCATCTGCAAAGGGATATCTGGGAGCACATTGAGGCATATGGTGAAAAAGGAAATATCTTCATATAAAAAATAGAAAGAAGCTTTCTGAGAAACTTCTTTGTGAAGTGTGCATTCGTCTCACAGAGTTACACCTTTCCATGGATTCAGCTGTTTGCAAACAGTGTTGTAGAATATTCGAATTGACATTTGGGAGCTCACTGAGGCCAAAGGTGAAGAAGAAAATATCCCAGGTAAAAAAAATTATAAAAAAGCTATCTGAGAAACCACTTTCTGACATACGCATTCACCACGTATAGTTAAAGCTTTATTTTCATTCAGGTGTCTGGAAACACTGTTTTGGCAGAATCTGGGTAGGGATATTTGGGAGCTTAAAGAGGCCTATGGTGAAAAAGGAAATATCTTCAGATTAAAACTGGAAATAAGCTTTCTGAGAAACTGCTTTGTGATGATGGCATTAGTCTCACAGAGTTAAAACGTTCTGTGGATTCAGAAGTTTGCAAAAACTGTTTTTGTCCATTCTCCAAATGGACATTTGAGAGCTCATTGAGGCCAATGGTGAAAAAACGAATATCCCAGGATAAAAATTAGAAGGAAGTTATTTGAGCAGTTGATTTTGATGTGTGCATTCTTTCTGCAGAGTTAAAACCTTCTTTTCATTCAGTAGTCTGGAAACAGTGTTTTGGCAGAATCTGCAAAGGGAAATTTAGGAGTGCGTTGAGGCCTATGGTGAAAAACGAAATATCTTCTGATAAAAACCAAAAAGAAACTTTCTGAGAAACTGCATTGTGATCTGTGCATTCATATCACACAGTTAAACATTTCGGTGGATTCAGCAGTTTGCAAACATTATTGTAGAATCTGTGAATGGACATTTGGGAGCTAATTGAGGCCAATGGAAAAAGAGGGAACATCCCAGGATAAGAACGAGAAGGAAAGTATCTGAATAACCACTTTGGGGTGTGTGCATTCATCTCATAAAGTTAAGACGTTCTATTCATACAGCAGTCTGGAAATGTTGTCTTGGCAGAATCTGCAAAGGGATATTTTGACAGCATTGAGGTCTATGGTGAAAAAGGAAATATCTTTTTCCATAAAGAAGCTTTCCAAGATACTGCTTTATGATGTGTGCCTTCATTTGACAGATTTAAAACTTTGTTTTGAATCAGCAATTTGGAAACAACATTGTTGTAGAATATGTGAAGGGATATTTCAGAGCTCATTGAGACCATTGGTGAAAAAGTGAATATTCCAGGATGAAAACTAGAAGGAAGCTATCTGAGAAACCACTTTCTGGTGTGTGCAATTATCTTGCAGAGTTAAACCTTTATTTTCCTTCAGCAATTTGGAAACCGTGTTTTCGTAGAATCTGTGAAGGGATATCTGGGAGTGAATTGAGACCTACGGTGAAGAAGGAGTCCAGGCGTGGTGGCTCAAGCCTGGAATCCCAGCACTTTGGGAGGCCAAAGCTGGAGGATCACGAGGTCAGAAGATTGAGATCATCTTGGGTAACACAGTGAAATCCCGTCTCTACTAAAAATGGAATAAATTAGCTGGGCATGGCAGCAGTCACCTGCAGTTCCAGGAAGATATTTGAGAAACTGCTTTGTGATGTGTGCATTCATCTCGAAGAGTTAAAACATTCTTTCCCAATAGCAGTCTGGAAACACTCTTTTCATAGAATCCACGAAGTGATAATTGGGACAGCATAGAGGTCTAAGGTGAAAAAGGAAATATTCTCAGATAAAAATTAGAAAGAAGCTGTCTCAGAAACTGCTTTGTGATGTGGGCATTTATCTCACAGAGGTAAACATTTCTGTGGATTCAGCAGTTTGCAAACACTGTTTTCTTTCATTCTGTGGATGGACATTTTGGAGCTTATCAGGGCCAATGGTGAAAAAGAGAATATCTAGGATAAAAACTAGAAGGAAGCTATCTGAGAAACGGCTTTGTGATGTGTGCATTCACCTCGCAGAGTTAAAACACTCTTTTCTGACAGCAGTCAGGAAGCACTGTTTGGCAGAATCCGCAAAGGGATATTTGGGTGTTCATTGAGGCAAATGGTGAAAAAGGAAATATCTTCAGATAAAAAGTAGAAAGAAGCCTTCTGAGAAACAGCTTTGTGATGTGTGCATTCATCTCACAGATTTAAATCTGTTTTTCGATTCAGCAATTTGAAAACACTGTTGTTGTAGAATCTGCGAAGGGACATTTGGGAGCTCTTTAAGGTCAATGGCAAAAAGGCGAATATCCCAGGTTAAAAACTAGAAGGAATCTATGTGAGAAACCACTTTGTGATATGTGCATTTACCTCACACATTTAAACAATTCTTTGGATTTAGCAGTTTGGAAACACTGTTGTTGTAGAATCTGAGAAAAGATATTTGTGAACTCTTTGAGGTCAATGATGAAAAAGCAAATATCCCAATACAAAAACTAGAATGAAAGTATTTGAGAAACTGCTCTGTGGTGAAAAAGTAAATATCTTCAGAAAAAAACTAGAAAGAAGCTTTCTGAGAAACTGCTTTGTGATGTGCGCATTCATCTCACAGAGTTAAACCATTCTGTGGATTCAGCAGTTTGAAAACACTGTTCTTGTACAATCTGCGAAGGAATATTTGGGAGCTCTTGGCGACCAATAGCCAAAAAGTGAGTATCCAAGGATAAAAACTAGAAGGAAGCCATCTGAGAAACAGCTTTGTGATGTGTGCATTCCCCTCACAGAGTAAAACTTACTTTTCATTCAGCAATATGGAAACACTGTTCTGGCCGATTCCCCGAAGGGATAATTGGGAGTGCAATGAGGACTATATTGAAAAAGGAAATATCTTCAGAAAAAAACTAGACAGAAACTTTCTGAGAAACTGCTTTGTGATGTGTGCATTGAACTCACAGAGTTAAACCTTTCTGTGGATTCAGCAGTTTGCAAACACTGTTTTTGGACTTACTGCAAATGGACATTTTGGAACTCATTGATGTCAATGGCATAAAACAGAATATCCCAGGATAAAAACTAGAAGGAAACTAATTGAGAAACAGATCTGCAATGTGTGCATTCATTTCACAGAGTTAACGTTTTCTGTGGAATCAGCAGTTTGGAAACACTGTATTTGTCCATTCTGCAAATGGACATTTAGGAGCTCATTGAGGCCAATGGCAAAAAAAGTAACTATTCTAGGATAAAAACTAGAAAGAAGCTACTGAGAAACCACTTTGTGATGTGTGCATTCAGCTCGCAGGGTTAAGATTTTCTTTCCTATGGCTGCATAGTATTCCATGGTGTATATGTGCCACATTTTCTTAATCCAGTTTATCATTGTTGAACATTTGGGTTGGTTACAAGTCTTTGCTATTGTGAATAGTGGCACAATAAACATATGTGTGCATGTGTCTTTAAGCAGCATGATTTATAATCCTTTGGGTATATACCCAGTAATGGGATGGCTGGGTCAAATGGTATTTCTAGTTCTAGATCCCTGAGGAATCACCACACTGATTTCCACAATGGTTGAACTAGTTTACAGTCCCACCAACAGTGTAAAACTGTTCCTATTTCTCCACATCCCCTCCAGCACCTGTTGTTTCCTGACTTTTTAATGATCGCCATTCTAACTGGTGTGAGATGATATCTCATTGTGGTTTTGATTTGCATTTCTCTAATGGCCAGTGATGATGAGTTCATGTCTTTTGTAGGGACATGGATGAAGCTGCAAACCATCATTCTCAGCAAACTATCACAAGAACAAAAACCAAACACTGCATGTACTCACTGATAGGTGGGCTTTGAACAATGAGAACACATAGAAACAGGAAGGGGAACATCACACACTGGGGACTGCTGTGGGGTCGGGGGATGGGGGAGGGATAGCATTAGGAGATATATCTAATGCTAAATGACGAGTTGATGGGTGCAGCACACCAACATGACACATGTATACATATGTAACAAACCTGCATATTGTACGCAAATACCCTAAAACTTAAAGTACAATAATAATAAAATAAAATAAAACTTTCTTTTCACACATCTGTCTGAAACACTGTTTTGGCAGAATCCACAAGGAGGTATTTGGGAGTACATTGAGGTTGATGGTGAAAAAGGAACTATCTTCAGAGAAAAACTAGAAAGAAGCATTCTGGGAAACTACTTTGTGATATCTGCATTCATCTCACAGAGTTAAAATTTCTTTTGATTCAGCAGTTTGGAAATACTGTTGTTGTTGAATCAGTGAAGGGGTATTTGAGAGTTCATTTAGGCCAATGGTGAAAAAGCAAATATTCCAGGATAAAAACTAGAAGGAAGCTATCTGAGAAACCACTTTGTGATGTAGGCATTCACGTCACAAAAGTAAAACTTACTTTTCATTCAGCAATCTGGAAACGCTGTTCTGGCAGAATCCCTGAAGGGATATTTGGGAGCTTATTGAGGCCAATGTTGAAAAAAGAAATATCTTCAGATAAAAACTATAAAGAAGCTTTCTGAGAAATGGCTTTGTGATAGGTGCATCGAACTCCAAAGTTACAACTTTCTTTGGATTCAGCATTTTGGAAACCCTGTTTTTGTAGAATATGTGAAGGGATAAGTTTGAGCTCATTGAGGTCAATGGTGAGGAACTGAATATCCCAGGATAAAAACTAGAAGAAAGCTCTTTGAGAAACTGGTTTGTGATGTGTGCATCCATCTCGCAAAGTTAAACCTTTCTTTTCATTGAGCAGTTTCGGAGCACTTTTTTTGTAGAAACTGCGAAGTGATATTTCGGAGTGCTTTGGGTCATATGGTGAAAAAGGAAGTATCTTCAGAAAAAAAACTAGAAAGAGGCTTTCTGAGAAGCTGCTTTGTGATGCGTGCATTCACCTCACAGAGTTAAACCATTGTGAGGATTCAGCAATTTGAAAACACTGTTGTTGTAGAATCTGCGAAGGAATATTTGGGAGTCCTTTGTGACCAATGGTAAAAAAGCCCGGATAAACCCAGGATAAAAATTAGAAGGAAGCTATCTGAGAAACAGCTATGGGACGTGTGCATTCACCTCGCAGAAGTAAAACTTACTTTTCATTCAGCAGTCTGGAAACACTGTTATGGCAAAATCCCCAAAGGGATATTTGGGAGTGCATTGCAGCCTATGGTGAAAAAAGAAATATCTTCAGATAAAAACTAGAAAGAACTTCTGAGAAACTGCTTTGTGATGTGTTCATTCATCTCACAGAGTTAAACCATTCTTTGGATTCAGAAGTTTGGAAACTCTATTTTTCTCCATTCTGTGAATGGACATTTGGGAGTTCATTGAGGCCAATGGTGAAAAAGCATATATCCCAGCATAAAAACTAGAAGGCAGTTATCTGAGAAACTGATTTGTGATGTGTGCATTCATCTCACAGAGTTAAAACTTTCTTTTCATTCAGCAGCTTGGAAACAATGTTTCCTTGAAATCTGCAATGAGATATTTGGAAGAGTATGGAGGACAATGGTGAAAAAGGAAATATCTTCAGATAAAACCTAGAAAGGAGCTTAATGAGAAACTGATTTGGAATGTGTGCATTAATCTCAGAGAGTTAAACCTTTCTTTGGATTCAGCAGTTTGTTAACACTGTTTTTGTTCATTCTGCAAATGGACATTTAGGAGCTCATTGAGGCCAATGGCAAAAAAAAGTGAATAACCCAGGATAAAAACTAGAAGGAAACTATCTGAGAAACCGCTTTGTGATGTGGGCATTCCTCTACCAGAGTTAAATCTTTCTTTGGATTCAGCACTTTGGAAACACTGTTTTTGCCCATTCTTAGAATGGACATTTTGGAACTCATTGTGGCCAATGTTGAAAAAGCAAATATCTCAGGACAAAAACTAGAGGTAAGTTCTCTGAGAAACTGATTCATGTTGTGTGCATTCATCTCACAGAGTTAATTTTTTTTTTTTTTGTTCAGCACTTTAGAAACACTCTTTTCTTAGAATCTGCAGAGAGATATTTGGAAGAGTATGGAGGCCAATGGTGTAAAAGGAAATACCTTCAGAGAAAAACTAGAAAGAAACTTAATGAGAAACTGGTTTGGTATGTGTGCATTCATCTCAGAGAGTTAAACCCTTCTTTGGATTCAGCAGTTTGGGAACACTGTTTTTGTCCATTCTTGGAATGGACATTTGGGATCTCATTGAGGCAAATGGTGAAAAAGCGAATATCCCAGGATAAAAACTAGAAGGAAGCTATCTGAGAAACTGCATTGTGATGGGGACATTCATTTAGCAGAGTTAAACCTTTCTTTTCATTCGCCGGTATGGAAACACTTTTTTTGTGGAATCTGCAAAGGGATATTTGGCAGCTCATTGAGGCCTATGGCGAAAAAGGAAATATCTTCAGATAAAAACTAGAAAGAAGCTTTCTGAGAAAGTGCTTTGTGATGCATTCTTTCATCTCACATAGTTAAACCTTTCTTTTAATTCAGCAGTTTGGAAACACTGTTTTTATCCTTTCTGCGAATGGAAATTTTTGAGTTCATCGAGGCCAGTGATGCAAAAGTGAATATCCTAGGATAAAAACTAGAAAGTAGTTATATGAGAAACTGATTTCTGATGTGTACATTCATCTCACAGGGTTAAAATTTTCTTTTCATTCAGCAGTTTGGAAATACTGTTTTCTTAGAATCTGCAAAGAGATATTTCACAGTGCATTTAGTCTTACAGGGAAAAAGGAAATACATTCAGATAAAAACTAGAAAGAAGCATAATAAAAAATCGTTTGGGATCTGTGCATTCATCTCCAGAGCGTTAAACCTTTCTTTTCATTCATCAGTTTGGAAACACTGTTTTCTTAGAATCTGTGAAGAGATATTTAGAAGCGCATTGAGGCCTATAGTGAAAAAGGAAATATCTTCAGATGAAAACTAGAAAAAGCATTAATGAGAAACTGGTTTCAGATGTGTGCATTCATTTCACAGAGTTACACCTTTCTTTGGATTCAGAATTTTGGTAAAACTGTTTTTGTCAATTCTGCGAATGGACATTTTGGAGCTCTTTGAGGCCAATGGTGAAAAATTGAGTACCCAGGCTAAAAACTGGAAGGAATTTGTCTGAGAAACTGATTTGTTACATGTGCATTCATCTCAAAGAGTTAAGCCTTTCTTTTAATTGAACAGTTTCAAAACAGTTGTCTTAGAATCTGTGAAGAGATATTTTGTAGTGCATTGAGGACTATGGTGAATAGGAAATATCTCCACATTAAAACCACAAAGAAGTTTAATGAGAAACTGCTTTTTGATCTGTGCTTTCATCTCACGGAGTTAAACCTTTCTTTGGATTCAGCAGTTTGGTAACACTGTTTTTGTCCTTTCTGCCAATGAACATTTGGGAGCTCGTTGAGTCCTATGGTGAAAAAGTGAATATTCCAGGATAAAAACTAGAAGGAGGCTCTCTGAGAAATGGCTTTGTGATGTGTGCATTCATCTAGCATAGTTAAACCTTTGTTTTCATTTAGTAGTTTGTAAACACTGTTTTTGTAGTATCTGCAAACGGATATTTGGCAGTGCATAGAGGCCTATGGTGAAAAAAGAAATATCATAAGATAAAAACTAGAAAGAAGCTTTCTAATTAACTGCTTTGTGATGTGTTCTTTCATCTCACAGAGTTAAAACTTCCTTTTGATTCAGCAGTTTGGTAACACTGTTTTTGTCCATTCTGTGAATGGACATTTGAGAGCTTATTGAGACCAAGGGCAAAAAAGTGAATATCCCAGAAAAAAAACTAGAAGCAAGCTAACTGAGAAATCACTTTGTGGTTTGTGTGTTCATCTCACAGAGTTAAAACTATTTTCATTCAGTAGTTTGGAAACGCTGTTTTCTTAGAATCTGTAAAAAGATATTTTGTATTGCTTTGAGGCCTATGGTGAAAAAGGAAATATCTTCAGATAAAATCCAGAAAGAAGCTTAATGAGAAAGTTGTTTGTGATGTGTACATTCATCTCAGAGGTTTAAACAATTCTTTGGATTCAGCAGTTTGGTAACACTGTTTTTGTCATTCTGCGAATGGACATTTGGGAGCTCTTTGAGGCCAAAGGTGAAAAAGTGAATAACCCAGGATAAAAGCTAGAAGGAGGATATTTGAGAAAGCATTTTGTGAAGTGTGCATTTATCTAGCAGAGTTTAGCATTTATTTTCATTCAGCAGTTTGGAAACGCTGATATATTAGAATCTGCAAAGAGATATTTGGCAGAGATTTGAGGCCTATGGTGAAAAAGGAAATATCTTCAGATAAGAACTAGAAAGAAGCTTTCTTACAAACTGCTTTGTGAAGAATTCATTCACTTCACAGAGTTAAAACTTTCTTTGGATTCAGCACTGGGGAACTCACTGAGGGCAATGGCAAAAAGTGAATACACCAGGATAAAAACTAGAAGCAAGTTTTCTGAGAAACTGATTTGTGATGTGTGCATTTATCTCACACAGTTAAATCTTTCTTTTCATTCAGCAGTTTGGAAACAATGATTTCTTAGAATCTGTGAAAGGATATTTTGTAATGCATTGAGGCCCATGGTGAAAACAGAAATATTTTCAAATAAAAACTGGAAACAATCTTAATGAGAAAATAGTTTGGGTTGTGTGCATTCATTTCACAGACTTAAACCTTTGTTCGGATTCTGCAGTTTGGTAACACTTTTTTTGTCCATTATGTAAGTGGAGGTTTGGGAGCCCATTGAGGCCAAAGGTGAAAAAATGAATATCCCAGGATTAAAACTAGAAGGAAGCTATCTGAGAAACCACTTTGTGATGTGTGCATTCACCTAGCAGAGTTAAACTGTTCTTTTCATTCAGCAGTTTGGAAACATTGTTTCTGTCCATTCTGTGATTGGACGTTTGGGAGCTATTTGAGTCCAAAGGAGAAAATGTGAATATCCAGGGATGAGAACTAGAGGAAGTTTTCTGAGAAACCAATTTGTGATGTATGCATTCGTCTCACAGAGTTATAACTTTCCTTCCATTCAGCAGTTTGGAAACACTGTTTTCTTAGAATCTGAGAAGTGATATTTGGAAGACTTTGGAGACCTACAGTGAAAAAGGAAATCTCCTCTATAAAAACAAGAAAAAAGCTTAAAGAGAAACTGGCTTCAGATGTGTGCATTTATCTTAGAGAGTTAAACCTTTCTTTGGATTCAGCAGTGTGGTAACACTCTTTTTGCCCATTCTGCGAATGGACATTTGGGAGCTCATTAATACTAATGGTGAAAAAGTGAATATCCCAGGATAAAAAGTAGAAGGTATCTATCTGAGAAACTGATTTGTGATGTGTGCATTCATCTCACACAGTTAAAACTTTCTTTTCATCAGCAGATTGGAAACACTGTTTTCTTAGAATCTGCAAAGAGATATTTGGTAGTGCATTGAGTCCTATGGTGAAAAAGGAAATATCTTCAAATAAAAACTAGAAAGAAGCTTAATGAGAAACTGGTTTGGGATGTGAGCATTAATCTCAAAGAGTTAAACTTTCCTTTGATTTTAGCAGTTTGGTAACACTGTTTTTGTCCATTCTGTGAATGGACATTTGGGAGCTCATTGAAGCCAATGGTGAAAAAGTGAATATCCCAGGATAAAAACTAGAAGGAAGCTATCTGAGAAACCTCTTTATGATGTGGGAATTTATCTCACAGAGTTAAACGTTTCTTTTCATTCAGCAGTTTGGAACACTGTTTTTGTAGAATCTGCCAAGGGATATTTCACAGCCCATTGAGGCCTATGGTGAAAAAGGAAATATCTTCAAATAAAAACTACAAAGAAGCTTTCTAAGAAACTGCTTTATGATATGTTTATTTATTTCTCAGCATTAAACACTTCTTTGAATTCAGCAGTTTGGAAACTCTGTTTTTGTCCATTCTGTGAATGGAGATTTGGGAGCTCATTGAGGAAAATGGTGAAAAAGCATATATCCCTGGATGAAAACTAGAAGGAAGTTATCTGAGAAACTGATTTGTGAAATGTGCATTCATCTGACAGAGTTAAAACTTTCTCTTCATTGAGCACTTTGGAAATACTGTTTTCTTAGAGTCTGCAAATAGATATTTAGAAGCATATGGAGACCTATGGTGAAAAAGGAAATATCTTCAGATAAAAGGTAGAAAGAAGCTTAATGAGAAACTGGTTTCAGATGTGTGCATTCATCTCAGAGTAAAACCTTTCTTTGGATTCAGCAGTTCAGTAACACAGTTTTTGTCCATTCTTGGAATGGACACTTAGGGGCTCACTGAGGTCAAAGTCTAGAAAGTGACTATCCCAGGATAAAAACTAGAAGGAAGCTATATGATAAGCTGCATTGTGATGTCTCCAATTATCTTGCAGAGTTAACTTTTCTTTTCATTCAGCAGTTTGGAAACACTGTCCTTATAGAATCTGCGAAGGGATATTTGACAGCACATTCAGGCCTATGGTGAAAAAGGAAATATCTTCAGATAAAAACTGGAAAGCAGCTTTCTGAGAAACTGCATTCTGATGTGTTCATTCATCTCACAGGGTTACAACTTTCTATTGATTCAGCAGTTTGGAAATACTGTTTCCTTAGAATCTGCAAAGAGATATTTGGAAGAATATGGAGACTTCTGGTGAAAAATGTAATACCTTCGGATTAAAAAAAAGAAAGAAGCTTAATGAGTAACAGGTTTGGGATGTGTGCTTTCATCTCAGAGAGTAAAACCTTTCTTTAGATTCAGCTGTTTGGAAATACTGTTTTTGTCCATTCTGTGAATGGACTTTTGGGAGCTCATTGAGGCCAATGGCAAAAAAGTGAATATCCCAGGATAAAAACTAGAAGGAATCTATCTGAAAAACTGCATTGTGATGTGTGCATTCATCTTACAGAGGTAAAACATTCTGTTCATTCAGCAGTTTGATAAAACTGTTTTGTAGAATTTGCGAGGTATATTTGGCAGTGCATTAAGGCCTATTGTGAAAAACGAAATAACTTCAGAGAAAAACTGGAAAGAAGATTTCTGAGAAACCGCTGTGGATGTGTTGATTCATCTCACAGAGTTAAACATTTCTCTGGATTCTGCAGTTTGCAAACACTGTTACTGTCCAATCTGCAAGTGGACTATTGGGAACTCTGAGGCCAAGGGCAAAAAAGGGAATATCACACTATAAAAACTAAAAGGAAGTTAACTGATAAACTGACTTGTCATGTGGGCATTCATCTCACAGCATTAAATCTTTCTTTTCATTCAGCAGTTTGGAAACACTCTTTTCTTAGAGTCTATGAAGAGATATTTGGTAATGCATTGGGGCCTAGGGTGAATAGGAAATATCTTCAGATAAAAACTAGAAAGAAGCTTAATGAGAAACTGCTTTGGGATGTGTGCATTCATCTCAGAGAGTTAAAACTTTCTTTGGATTCAGCAGTTTGGTAACACTGTTTTTGTCCATTCTGTGAATGGACATTTGGGAGCTCACTGAGGACAATGGCGAAAAAGAGAATATCCCAGGATAAAAACTAGAAGGAAGGTATCTGAGAAACTGCTTAGTGATGTGTGCATTCAACTCACAGAGTTAAGCCTTTCTTTTCATTCAGCAGTTTGGAAACACTGTTTTTGTAGAATCTGTGAAGGGATATTTGGCAGTGCATGGAGGCCTATGGTGAAAAAGGAAACATCTTCAGATAAAAACTAGAAAGAAGATTTCTGAGAAACTGCTTTTTGATGTGAGCATTCATCTCACAGATTTAAAACTTTCTATGGATTCAGCAGTTTGGAAACACTGTTTTTGTCTTTTCTCAGAATGGACATTTCGGAGCTCATCGACACCGATGGTGAAAAAATGAATATCCTAGGATAAAAACTAAAAGGAAGTTATCTGAGAAACCGATTTGTGATGTGTGAATTCATCTCACAGAGCTAAACATTTCTTTTCATTCAGCAGTTTGGAAACACTGATTTCTTGGAATCTGCGAAGAGATATTTGGTAGTGCATTGGGGCCTCTGGTGAAAAAGGAAGTATCTTCAGATAAAAATTAGAAAGAAGCTTAATGAGAAACTGGTTTGGGATGTGTGCATTCATCTCACAGAGTTAAATTCTCTTTTGATTCAGCAGTTTTGTAACACTGTTTTTGCCCATTCTGTGAATGTACCTTTCAGAGCTGATTGAGGCCAAAGGACAAAAAGTAAATATCCCAACATAAAAACAAGAAGGAAGCTCTCTGAGAAACGGCTTTTTATGTGTGCATTCATCTAGGACAGTTAAAACTTTCTTTTCATTCAGCAGTTTGGGAACACTGTTTTTGTAGAATCTGGGAAAGGATATTTGGCAGCACATTGAGGCTTATGGTGAAAAAGGAAATATCTTGAGATAAAAACTAGAAAGAACCTTTCTGAGAAACTGCTTTATGATGTGTTCATTCCTCTGACAGAGTTAAACCTTTGTTTGAATTCAGCAGTTTGGAAACACTGTTTTTGCAGAATGGACATTTGGGAACTCTTTGGGGCCAATGGCGAGAAAGTGAATATCCCAGGATAAAAACTAGAAGGAAGTTATCTGCAAAACTGATTCGTGATGTGTGCATTCATCTCACAGAGTTAAACATTTCTTTTCATTCAGCAGTCTGGAAAAACTGTTTTCTTAGAATCTGTGAAGAGATATTTGATTGTGCACTGACTCTTATGTGGAAAAAGGAAATGCCTTCAGATAAAAACTAGAATGAAAATTAATGAGAAACTGGTTTGGGATGTGTGCATTCTTCTCAGAGAGTTAAAGCATTCTTTGGATTCACAAATTGGGTAACACTGATTTTGTCCATTCAGAGAATGGACATTTGGGAGTCCACTGAGGCCAGTGGCAAAAAAAAGCAATCATCCCAAGATAAAAACTAGAAGGAAGCTATCTGAGAAACTGCTTTGTGATGTGTGCTTTGATCTCAAAGGCTTAAATCTTTCTATTCATTCAGCATTTTGGAAACACTGTTTTATAGAATATGCAAAAGGATATTTGGGAGCACATTGAGGCCTATGGTGAAAAAGGAAATGTCTTCAGATAAAAACTAAAAAGAAGCTTTCTTAGAAACTGCTCTGTGATGTGTTCATTCATCTCACAGAGTTAAAGCTCTCTTTGGATTGAGTCGTGTGGAAACATTGTTTTTGTCCATTCTGCAAATGAACATTTGGGAACCCATTTAGGCCAATGGCAAAAAGTGAATACCAGAGGTTAAAAACTAGAAGGAAGTTATCTGAGAACCAAATTTGTGATGTGTGCTTTAGTCTCACAGAGTTAAAACATTCTTTTCATTCAGCAGTTTGGAAAAACTCTTTTATTAGAATCTGCAAAGAGATATTTGGAACAGTATTGAGGTCAGCGGTGAAAAATGAAATATATTCAGATAAAAACTAGAAAGAAGCTTAATGAGAAACTGGCTTGGGATGTGTCCATTCATCTCACAGAGTTAAACTTTTCTTTTGATTCAGCAGTTTGGTAAAGCTGCTTTTGTCAATTCTGGGAATGGACGTTTGGGAGCTTACTGAGGCCAAAGGCAAAAAAGCGAATATCCAAGGATAAAAACTAGAAGTAAGCTCTCTGAGAAACGCGTTTGTGATGTGTGCATTGATGTAGCAGAATTCACCCTTTCTTTTCATTCAGCACTTTGGAAACCCTGTTTTTGTAGAATCTGCAGAAGGATATTTGGCAGTGCGTTGAGGCCTATGGTGAGAAGCAGAATATCTTCAGTTAAAAACTAGCAAGGAGCTTTCTGAGAAACTGCTTTGTGATGTGTTCATTCACCTCATAGAGTTAAACCTTTCTTCAAATTCAGCAGTTTAGAAACACCATTTTTGCAAAATGGACATTTGGGAGCTTATTGCAGCCAATGGCAAAAAAACAAATATCCCAGTATAAAAGTTAGAAGGAAGTTATCTGAGAAACCAATTTGTGATGTTTGCATTCAACTCACAGGAATAAACCTTTCTTTTCATTCAGCAGTTTGGAAATACTGTCCTCTTATAATCTGTGAAGAGATATTTGGAAGCATATGGAAGCCAACAGTGAAAAAGGACATACATTCAGATAAAAACTAGAAAGAAGCTTAATGAGAAACTGATTTGGGATGTTTGCATTCACCTCACAAAATTAAACCTTTCTTTGGATTCAGCAGTTTGGTAACTCTGTCTTTGTCCACTCTGCAAATGGACATTTGGGATGTTGCTGAGGGCAAAGGTGAAAAAGCAAATGGCCCAGGATAAAAACTACAATTAAACTATCTGAGAAACTGCTTTTTGATGTGTTTATTCAACTCACAGATTCAAAACCTCTATTTTCGTTCAGCAGTTTGGAAACACAGTTTTTGTAGACTCCACGAAGGGATATTTGGCAGCACATTGTGGCTTATGGTGAAAAGAAATATCATCATATAAAGATTAGAAGGAAGCTTTCTGAGAAACTGCTTTGTGATGTCTTTACTTATCTCACAGAATTTAACCTTTCTTTTGATTCAGCCATTCGCGAACACTGTTTTTGTCTACTCTGTGAATGGACATTTGGGAATTCATTGAGGCCAATGGTGAAAAGGTAAATATCCCAGGACAAAAACTAGAAGGAAGCTGAGAAACCGCTTTGTGATGAGGGCAATAACCTCGCAGAGATAAGCTTTTCTTTTCATTCAGCAGTCTTGAAACACACTTTTGGCAGAATCCATGAAGGGATGATTAAGGATCACAAAGAGGCCTATGGTGAAAAAGTAAATATCTTCAGACCAAAACTTGAAAGAAGCTTTGTGAGAAACTACTTTGTGATGTGTGCATTCATCTCACAGAGTTAAACTTTGTTTGGATACAGCAGTTTGCAAACACTGTTGTTGTCCATTCTGTGAATGGACATTTTGGAGCTCATTAAGGCCAATGGTGAAAAAGTGATTATATCAGGAAAAAATTACAAGGAAGTGATTTGAGAAACTGCTTTGTGATGTATGCATTCATCTCACCTTTCTTTTCTTTCAGCGGTTTGGAAACAGTTTTCATAGAATCTGTGAATGGATATTTTGGAGCACAATGAGGCCTGTGGTGATAAAGGAAATATCTTCAGATAAAAACTATAAAGAAGCTTTCTGAGAAACTGCTTTGTGCTGTGTGCATTCCTCTCATAGAGTTAAATATTTCTTTGGATTCAGCAGTTTGGGAACACTGTTATTGTAGAATCTGCAAAGGGATGTTTGGGAGCTCATTGAGGCCAATGGTGAAAAAGTGAGTATCCCAGGATAAAAACTAGAAGGGAGCTATTTGAGAAATCACTTTGTGATGTGTACATTCATCTTGCATAGTTAAACCTTTCCTTTCATTCAGCAGTTTGGAAACACTGTTTTCATAGAATCTTTGAACGAATATCTGGGAGCGCTTTGAAGCCTATGGTGAAAAAGGAAATATCATCAGAAAAAAACTAGAAGGAATCTTTCTGAGAAACTGCTTTGATATGTGCTTTCCCCTGACAGAATTAAACCTTTCTGTGTATTCAGCCATTTGCAAACACTGTTTTTGTCCATTCGGCAAGTGGACATTTAGGAGCTCATTGAGGCTAACAGAGAAAAAGCAAATATCCCAGGATAAATACTAGAAGTAAGCTATCTGAGAAACAGTTTTGTGATGTGTGCATTCACCTCACAGAGATAAACATGGCTTTTCATTTAGCTGCTTGGAGACACTGTTTTGGAAGAATCCATAAAGGGATATTTGAGAGCACCTGGAGGCCTATGGTGAAAAAGGATATATTTTAAAATATAAACTAGAAAGAGGCTTTCTCAGAAACTATTTGGGATGTGTGCATTCATCTCACCGAGTTAAACCTTTCTTTGGATTCAGCAGATGGAAACACAGTTGTTTTAGAATCTGTGAAGGGATATTCCAGAGCTCATTAAGGTGACTGGTGAGAAAGTGAATATTCCAGGGGAAAAAAAACTAGAAGGAAGCAATCAGAAAAACCAATGTTATGTGGGCATTCATTTCACAGGGTTAAAACTTTCTTTTATATCAGCAGTTTGGAAACACTGTTTTTGTAGAAACTCCAAGTGGATATCTGGGAGTGCTTTGAGGCCTACAGAAAAAAGAAATATCTTCAGATAAAAATTAGATGAAACTTTCTGAGAAACTGTTTTGTGATGTTTGCATTAATCTCATAGAGTTAAAACTTTCTGTGGATTCAGCAGTTTCCAAATGGTGTCTTTGTCCATTCTGCTAATGGACATTTGGGAGCTCTGTGAGTCCAATGGTAAAAAAGCAAATATCCCAGAATAAAAACTGGAAGGAAGCTCTCTGAGAAACTGCTTTGTAATGTGTGCATTCATCTACCAGAAATAAAACTTTCTATTCATTCAGCAGTTTATAAACACTATTTTGGTAGAATCTGTGACGTGATTACTGGCAGCACATGGAGGCTTATGGTGAAAAAGGAAATGTCTTCAGATAAAAACTAAAAAGAAGCTTTCTGAGAAACTACTTTGTGATGTGTACATTCATCTCACAGAGTTAAACCTTTCTTTGCATTCTGCAGTTTGTGAACACTGTTGTGGAATCTGTGAAGCGATATTTCAGAGCTCACAGAGGAAAAAGATGAAAGAGCAAATATTCCAGGAAAAAAATAGAAGAAAGTTATCTGAGAAACCGCTTTGTGATGTTACACCACTCTTTCCATTCAGCAGTTTGGAAACACCTTTTTTTTTTTGTAGAATTTGCAAATTATATTTTGGAGTGCAGTGAGGCCTCCGGTGAAAAAGGAATTATCCTCATATAAAAACTAGCAAGAAGCTTTCTGGGAAATTGCTATGTCATGTGTGCATTCCTCTCACAGATTTAAACCTTTCTGTGGATGCAGCAGTTTGCAAACACTGTTTTTGTCCATTCTATGAATGGGCATTTTGGAGGTCCTTTGGTCAATGGTGAAAAGGAAAATACCCCAGGATAAAACTAGAAGAAAGCTATCTCAGAAACAGCTTTTTGATGTTTGCATTCACCTCAAAGAGAGAAACCTTTCTTTTCATTCAGCAGTCTGGAAACACTGTATTCACAGGATCCATGAAGAAATATCTGGGAACGCATTGAGTCCTATGGTGAAAAATGACATATCTTCAGATAAAAACTAGAAAGAAGCTTTCTAAGAAACTGCTTTGTGATGTGTGAATTCATATCACAGGGTTAAACCTTTCTTTGGATTCAGGAGTTTGGAAACACTGTTGTTTTAGTATTTGTGTAGGGACATGTGGAAGCTGACAGAGCCAAAGGCAAAAAAGTGAACATCCCAGGAAAAAAAAAAAAGTAGGAAGAAGCTATCTGATGAGCCGGTTTGTGATGTGTGCATTCATTTCTCAGATTTAAACCATTCTTTTCATTCAGCAGTTTGCAAACCCTGTTTTTGTAGAATCTGCAAAGTTGCATTTTGGAGCACATTGAGGCCTATGGTGAAAAAGGAAATATCTTCAGATTAAAAATACAAAGAGACTTTATCAGACACTGCTTTTCTATGTGTTCATTCATCTCACAGAGTACAACCTTTCTTTGGATTCAGTGGTTTGGAAACACTGTTGTTGTAGAATTTATGAAGGGACATTTGGGAGCTTAATGAGGCCAAAGGCAAAAAAGTGATTATCTCAGGACAAAAACTAGAAGGAAGCTATTTCAGAAACAACTTTGTGATGTGCATATTCATCTTGCAGAATTAAACATTTCTTTCTATTCAGCAGCTTGGAAACACTGTATTTGTAGAATCTGTGAAGGGATATCTGGGAGTGCACTGAGGCTTATAGTGAAAAAGGAAATATATTCAGATTAAAACTAGAAAGAAGCTTTCTGAGAAACTGCTGTCTGAAGTATGCATTGAAATCACAGAGTTAAAACTTTCTGTGGATTCTGCAGTTAGCTAACACTATTTTTGTCCATTCTGCAAATGGACATTTGGGAGCTCATTGAGGCCAATGGTGAAAAAGACAATATCCCAGGATAAAAATTAGACAAAAGCTATATGAGAAACCACTTTGTGATGTGTGCATTCATCCTGCAGAATTAATCTCTCTTTTCATTCAGCAGTCTGGAAACACTGTTTTGACAGAATACACTAAGTGATATTTGGGAGAGCTTTGAGTTGTATGGGGAAAAAGGAAATATCTTCAGATAAAAACCAGAAAGAAACTTTCTTACAAACTGCTTTTTGATGTGTGCATTCACCTCATAGACTTAAACCTTACTTTGGATTCAGCAATTTTGAAATACTGTTTTTGTCCTTTCTGTGAATGGACAATTTTTGAGCTCATTTGGGTCAATGGCAAAAAAGTGAATGTCCCAGTATGAAAACTTGAAGAAATATATCTGAGAAACTGCTTTGTGATGTGTGCATTTCTCTGGCACAGTTAAACCTTTCTTTTCATTCTGCAGTGTGGAAACACTGTTTTTGTAGAATCTGCAAAGGGATATCTGGGAGTGCATTGAGGCTAATGGTGAAAAAGGAAATATCTTCAGCTAAAAACCAGAAAGAAGTTTTCTGAGAAACTGCTTTTTAAAGTGTCCATTCATCTCACAGAGTTGAAACTTTCTTTTGATTGAGCAGTTTGGAAACAGTCTTTTTGTACAATCTGCAAAGGAATATTTGGGAGCCCTTTGAGGACTCCGGTGAAAAAGAAATATCTTCATATAAAAACTAGACAGAAGCTTTCTGAGAAACTTCTTTGTAATGTGTTCATTCATCCCACAGAGTTAAACTTTTTTGTTGATTCAGCAGTTTGGAAACACACTTGTTGTAGAATCTGTGAAGGGATATTTGGGAGCTCACTGAGGCCATAGGGGGAAAAAGTGAATATCCCAGGATAAAAACTAGAAAAAAGCTATCTAAGAAACCACCTTGTGATGTGTGCATTAAGCTCGCAGTGGTTAAACTTCCTTTTCATTCAGCAGGCTGGAAACACTGTTTTTGTAGAATCTGTGAATGGATATTTGGGAGCCCATTGAGGCCTAGGGATAAAAAGGAAGTATCTTCAGATGAAAACTAGCAAGAAGCTTTCTGAGAAACTGCTTTGGGACAGGTGCATTCACCTCACAAAGTTAAACCTTTCTTTGGATTCAACAGTTTGGAAACACTGTTATTGTCCATTCTGCGAATGGAGATTTGGGAGGTCCTTGATTCCAATGGAGAAAAAGCAAATATCCCAAGATGAAAACTAGAAGAAAGCTATCTGAGAAACCACTTTCTGCTGTGTGCATTCATTTCACCGAGTTAAAAGTTTCTTTACATTCAGCAATTTGAAGGCACTGTTTTGGTAGAAACTGTGAAGGGATATTTGGGAGTGCATTGAGGACTATGGTGAAAAAAGAAATATCTTCCAATAAAAACTGGAAAGAAGCATTCTGGGAAACTGCTTTGTGATGTGCACATTCATCTCACAGAGGTAAACGTTTTTTTTGTATTCAGCAGCATGGAAACACTGTTTTTGTTGAATCTGTGAATGGATATTAGAGAGCTCATTGAGGCCATAGGTGAAAAAGTGAATATCCCATGATAAAAACTAGAAGGAAGGTCTCTGATGAAGGCCTTTGTGATGGTTGCTTTCATCTCACAGAGTTAAACCTTTCTTTTCATTCAACAATTTGGAAACACCATTTTGGTAGATTCTGCAAAGAGATATTTGAGAGCACATTGAGGCCTATGGTGAAAAAAGAAATATCTTCAGATAAAAACTAGAAACAAGATTTCTGAAAAACTGCTTCATGATGTGTGCATTCATCTCAGAAATCCAAATGTTTGTTTGGATTCAGTAATTTGGAAACACTGCTTTTTTCACATCTGCAATGGGATATTTGAGAGCTCATTGAGGGCATAGTGGAAAAAATGAATATCCCACAACGAAAACTAAAAGGAAGGTATCGGAGAAACGGCCTTGTGAAGTCTACATTCATCTCACAGAGTTAAAACTTTCTTTTCATTCAGCAGTTTGGAAACACTCTTTTGGTAGAATCTGTGAAGTTATATTTGGGAGTGCCTTGAGGCCTATAGTGAAAAAGGAAATATCTTCAGATAAAAGCTAGACAGAAGCTTTCTGAGAAACTGCTTTGTGATGGGTACAGAGTTAAAACTTTCTTTGGATTCAGTAGTTTGGAAACACTGTTTTTGTGGAATCTGTGAACAGATATTTTGGAGCTAACTGAGGCCAATGGGGAAAAAGTGAACATCCCAGGATTAAAACAAGAAGGAAGCTATTTGAAAAACAGCTTTGTGATGTGTGCATTCACACACAAAGGTAAAACTGTCTTTTCATTCAGCAATTTAAAAATACTGTTTTTGTAGTATCTAAGAAGGGATATTTGGGAGCAAATTGAGGCCTTTGGTGAAAAGGGAAATATCTTCAGATAAAAACTAGACAGAATTTTTCCAAGAAACTGCTGTATGACTAGTACATTTCTCTCACAGAGTTGAAGTTTCTTTGGATTCAGACGTTTGGAAACACTGTTTTAGTCCATTCTATGAAAGGACATGTCAGACCTCATTGAGGCCAAATTGAAAAAGACAATATCCCCAGAAAAATACTAGAAGAAATCTATGTAAGAATCCGCTTTGTGCTGTTGCTTTCAACTCAAAGTGTTAAACCTTTCTTTTCATTCTACAGTTTGGAAACACTGTTTTGGTAGAATCTGCGAAGGTATATTTGGGAGCTCATTGAGGCCTATGGTGAAAGTGGAAATATCTTCAGATAAAAACTAGTTAGAAGCTTTCTGAAAAACTGCTTTGTGACGTGCGCATTCATCTCACAGAGTTAAACCTTTCTTTGGCTTTGGCAGTTTGGAAACACTGTTTTTGTCCATTCTATGAATGGACATTTGAGAGCTCACTGAGGCCAAAGGCAAAAAAGTGAATATCTCGGGATAAAATCTAGAAGAAAGCTATCTGAGAAACTGCTTTGTGATTTGTGCATTCAATTGACAGAGTTAAAACTTTCTTTTCATTCAGCAGTTGTAAACACTGTTTTGGTAGAATATGCATAAGGGATATTTGGGAACGCATTGAGGCTTATGGTGAAAAAGGAAGTATCCTCAGATAAAAACCAGCAAGAAGCTTTCTGAGAAACTTCTTTTGGACATGTGCATTAGCCCCAAAGAGTTAAACTTTTCTTTGGATTCAGCAGTTTGGAAACACTGTTATTGTTTATTCTGTGAATGGACTTTTGGGAGATCATTGAGGCCAATGGTGAAAAAGGGAATATCCGAGGATGAAAACTAAAAGAAAGCTATCTGAGAAACCACTTTGTTATGTGTGCATTCATCTCACAGAGTTAAACCTTTCTTTTCATTCAGCAGTTTGTAAACACTTTTTTGGTAGTATCTGTGAAGGGTTATCCTCGATGGGAGTGCATCGAGGCCTATGGTGAAAAAAGAAATATCTTCAGATCTAGACTAGAAAGAAACTTCCTGAGAAACTGCTTTGTGATGTGTGCATTTATCTCAAAAATTTAAACGTTTCTTTGGATTCAGTAATTTGGAAAACAAAAGTTTATGTAGCATCTGTGAAGGGATATTTGATAGCTCATTGAGGCCACAGGGGAAAAAGCCAATATCCCAGGATAAAAACTAGAAGGAAGATATCTGAGAAACTGCCAGTGATATCTACATTCATCTCGCTAAGATAAACTTTTTTTCATTCAGCAGTTTGGAAACACTGTTTTGGTAGAATCTGCAAAGGGATATTTTGGAGTTCATTGAGGCCAATGGAGAAAAAGAAAACATCCCAGGACAAAAATTAGAAGGAAACTATCTGAGAAACCTCTTTGTGATGTGTGCATTCATCTCACAAAGTTAAACCTTTCTTTTCATTTAGCAGTTTGGAAACACTGTTTTGGTAGTATCCACGAAGGGATATTTGGGAGTGCATCAAGGCCTATGGTGAAAAAAAATATTTTTAGATCTAAACTGGAAAGAAACTTTCTGAGAAACTGCTTTGTGATGTGTGCATTCATCTCAAAAATTGAAACATTTATTTGGATTCAGTAATTTGGAGAAAAAAGTTTTTGTAACATCTGTGAAGGGATATTTGATAGCTCATTGAGGCCATGGGGAAAAAGCCAATATCCCAGGTTAAAAACTAGAAGGAAGGTATCTGAGAAACCACCTGTGATATCTACATTCACCTCACTGAGATAAAACTTTTTTTCATTCAGCAGTTTGGAAACACGGTTTTGGTAGAATCTGCAAAGGGATATTTTGGAGTTCATTGAGGCCAATGGAGAAAAATAAAACATCCCAGGACAAAAATTAGAAGGAAACTATCTTAGAAACCTCTTTGTGATGCATGCATTCATCTCGCAGAGATAAACCTTTCTTTTCATTTAGCAGTTTGGAAACACTGTTTTGGTAGTATCTATGAAGGTATATTTGGGAGTGCATCAAGGTCTATGGTGAAAAAAAAATATTTTCAGATCTAAATTAGAAAGAAACTTTCTGAGAAACTGCTTTGTGATGTGTGCATTCATTTCAAAAATTGAAATATTTCTTTGGATTCAGCAATTTGGAGAAAAAAGTTTTTGTAGCATCTGTGAAGGGATATTTGATAGCTCATCGAGGCCATGGGAAAAAGCCAATATCTCAGGTTAAAAACTAGAAGGAAGGTTTCTGAGAAACCACCTGTGATATCTACATTCATCTCACTGAGATAAAACATTTTTTCTTCAGCAGTTTGGAAACACTGTTTTTGTAGAATCGGCAAAGGGATAATTTCAAGTTCATTGAGGCCAATGGTGAGAAAGTGAGCATCCCAGGACAAAAACTAGAAGGAAAGTACCTGAGAAACCACTTTGTGATGTGTGCATTCATCTCGCAGAGGTAAACCTTTCTTTTAATTCAGCAGTTTGGGAATAGTGCTTTTTTAGTGTCTGTGAAGAGATACTTGGGAATGCATTGAGGCTTACAGTGAAAAAGGAAATATTTTCAGATAAAAACTAGAAGGAAGCTTTCTGAGAAATTGCTTTGTGATGTGTGCATTTATCTCACATAATTAAAACTTTCTTCAGATTTGGCAGTTTGGAAACACTGTTTTTGTCCATTCTGTGAATGGACATTTGGGAGCACATTGAGGCCAAAGTGAAAAAGCAAATATCCCAGGATAAAAACTAGAAGAAAGGTATCTGAGAAACCGCTTTTCTGCTGTGTGCTTTCAACTCAGAATTAATCCTTTCTTTTCATTCTGTAGTTTGGAAACACTGTTTTTGTAGAATCTACAAAGGGATATTGGGGAGTGCTTTGAGGCCTATGTTGAAAAAGGAAATATCTCCAGATAAAAACTAGAAAGAAGCTTTCTTCTGTGACACTGGTTTGTGATGTGTGCATTCGTCTCAGAGAGTTAAACCTTTCTTAGTATTCAGCAATTTGCAAACACTGTTTTTGTAGAGTCTGCACAGGGATATTAGGTAGCTTATTTAGCCAATGGCAAAAAAGTGAATATCCCAGGATAAAAAATACGAGAAAGCTATCTGAGAAACAGCTCTGCGATGTGTTCAATCATCCCACAGAGTTAAAACATTCTTTCCATTCAGCAGTTTGGAAACACTGTTTTGGTAGTATCCATAAAGGGATATTAGGGAGTGCGTTGAGGAGTATGGTGTAAAAGAAAATATCTTCAAAAGAAAACTAGAAAGAAGCTAAACTGCTTTGTGATGTGTGCATTCATTTCACAGATGTAAAACGTTTTTTTATTCAGCAGTTTAGAAACACTGGTTTTGTAGAATATGAAAAGGGATATTAGAGAGCTCATTGAGGCCAAACGCCACAAAGTGAATATCCCATGATAAAAACTAGAAGGAGTCTAACTGAGAAACCCCTTTGTGATGTATGCATTCATCTCACACAGGTGAACATTTCCTTGTGTTCAGTAGTTTGGAAACACTGTTTTTGTGAATCAGCAAAGGGATATTTGGGAGTGCATTGAGACATCTGTTGAAAAAGGAAATATATTCACATAAAAACTAGAAGGAAGATATGTGACACACTGCTTTGTGATATGTGCATTCGTCTAACAGATTTAAAATTTTCTTAGGATTCAGCAGTTTGGAAACTCTGTTTTTGTACAATCTGAGGAAGGATATTAGATAGCTCATTGAGGCCAATGTCGAAAAAGTGAATATCCCAGAATAAAAAGCACAAGAAAGCCATGAGGGAAACAACTTTATGATGCATGTATTCATCATGCTGAGTTAGATCTTTTTTTTCATTCAGCAATTTCGAATCACTGTTTTGGTAGAAACTGCAAAGGGATGTTTTGGAGTGCATTGAGGCTTATGGTTAAAAAGGAAATACCTTCAGATAAAAATTGAAAGAAACCTTCTGAGGAACTGCTTTGTGATGTGAGCATTTATCTCACAGAGGTAAACCTTTCTTTGGATTCAGCAGGTTGGAAACACTGTTTTTGTAGAATCTGAGAAGATATTAGATAGCTCATTGAGGCCATAGGTGAAAAAGTGAATATCCCAGGATAAAATCTAGAAGGAAGCTGTGTGAGAAACTGCATTGTGCATTCATCTTCCAGAGTTATACCTTTCTTTTCTTTCAGCAGTTTGGAAACACTGTTTTTGTAGAATCTACAAAAGGATATTAGGGAGTTCATTGAGGCCTAAGGTGAAAAAGGAAATATCTTCAGATAAAAACCAGACAGAAGCTTTCTGAGATACTGCTTTGTGATGTGTGCATTCATGTCACATAGTTAAACCTTTCTTTGGATTCAGCAGTGTGGAAACACTGTTTTTGTCCTTTATGCAAAATGAAACTTGGGAGATCATCGAGGCCTAAGGTGAAAAGGTGAATATACCAGGATAAAAATACAAGAAAGCTATCTGAGAAACCACATTGTGATGTGTGCATTCCTTTTGCAGAATTTATCCTTTCTTTTCATTCAACAATTTTGAAACTCTTTTTTGGTAGAATCTGTGAATGGATATTTGGGAGTGCAATGATGCTTATGGTTAAAAAGAAAATATCTTTAGATAAAAACGTTAAGGAAGATTTCTGAGAAACTGCTTTGTGATGTGTGATTTTATCTCACTGAGGTAAACCTTTCTTTGGATTCAGCAGTTTGGAAACACTGCTTTTGTAGAAAGTGAGAAGAGATATTTGATAGCTCTTTGAGGCCATAGGTGAAAAAGCTAATATCTCAGGATAAAAACTAGCAGGAAGCTGTCTGAGAAACTGCACTGTCATGTGTGCATTCATCTCCCAGAGTTAAACCTTTCTTTTCATTCAGTAATTTGTAAGCAACATTTTGGTAGAATCTTCCTAGGTATATTTGGGAGTGCATTGAGGCCTGTGGTGAAAAAGGAAATATCTTCACATAAAAACTTGAAAGAAGCTTTCTGAGAAACTGCTTCGTGATGTGTGTATTCCTCTCACAGAGTTGAAGTTTTATTTGGATTCAGCAGTGTGGAAACACTTTTTTTGTTTTTTTTCTGCGATGGGATATTTGATAGCTCATTTAGGCCATAGGTGAAAAGGTGACTATCCCAGGACAAAAACTAAAAGGAAGCTATGTGAGAAACTGACTTGTGATGGGTACATTCATCTCATAGAAGTAAACATTATTTTTCATTCAGCTGTTTGTAAACACTGCTTTGGTAGGAACTGCATATGGATATTTCAGAGTGCTTTGGGGCCTATGGTGAAAAAGGAAATATCTCAGATAAAAATAAGAAATAAGCTTTCCAAGAAAATGCTTTGTGACATGTGCATTCATCTCACAGAGTTAAAACTTTCTTTGGATTCACCACTTGGAAAAGTTGTAGAGCTGCGAAGGGATATTTGGGAGCTCGCTGAGGCAATAGGGCAAAAAGTGAATATCCCAGGATGAAAACTAGAAGGAAGCTATATGAGAAAGTGCCTTGTGATGTGTGCATTCATCTTACAGAGTTAAAACTTTTTTCATTCAGCAGTTTGGAAACACTGTTTTGGTAGAATCCTTAAGGTATATTTTGGAGTGCATTGAGGGCTATGGTGAAAAATGAAATATCTTCAGATTAAAACTAGAAAGAAGCTTTCTGAGAGACTGCTTTGTGATGTGTACATTCATCTCACAGAGTTAAACCTTTCTTTGAATTCTGTAGATTGGAAACATTGTTGTTGTACAATTTCTGAAGGGATACTTTGGAGTTCATTTAGGCCATAGGGGAAAAAGTGAGTATCCCTTGTTAAAAACTAGGAGGAAACCATCTGAGAAATTGCCTTGAGATATGTGCATTCATCTCAGAGAGGTAAAACTTTCTTTCATTCAGCAGTTTGGAAACACTTTTTTGGTAGAATCTGTGAAAGGATATTTGGGAGTGCCTTGAGGCCAACTTTGAAAAAGGATATATCTTTTTTTTTCTTTTTTTATTATTATACTTTAAGTTTTAGGGTACATGTGCACATTGTGCAGGTTAGTTACATATGTATACATGTGCCATGCTGGTGTGCTGCACCCATTAACTCGTCATTTAGCATTAGGTATATGTCCCCATGCTAGCCCTCCCCCCATCCCCCCACCCCACAACAGTCCCCAGAGTGTGATGTTCCCCTTCCTGTGTCCATGTGATCTCATTGTTCAATTCCCACCTATGAGTGAGAATTTGCAGTGTTTGGTTTTTTGTCCTTGTGATAGTTTACTGAGAATGATGATTTCCAATTTCATCCATGTCCCTACAAAGGACATGAACTCATCATTTTTTATCGCTGCATAGTATTCCATGGTGTATATGGGCCACATTTTCTTAATCCAGTCTATCATTGTTGGACATTTGGGTTGGTTCCAAGTCTTTGCTCTTGTGAATAATGCCGCAATAAATATACGTGTGCATGTGTCTTTACAGCAGCATGACTTATAGTCCTTTGGGTATATACCAAGTAATGGGATGGCTGGGTTAAATGGTATTTCTAGTTCTAGATCCCTGAGGAATCGCCACACTGACTTCCACAATGGTTGAACTAGTTTACAATCCCAACAGTGTAAAAGTGTTCCTATTTCTCCACATCCTCTCCAGCACCTGTTGTTTCCTGACTTTTTAATGATTGCCATTCTAACTGGTGTGAGATGGTACCTCATTGTGGTTTTAATTTCCATTTCTCTGACGGCCAGTGATGATGAACATTCTCTCATGTGTTTTTTTGGCTGCATAAATGTCTTCTTTTGAGAAGTGTCTGTTCATGTACTTCACCCACTTTTTGATGGTGTTGTTTGTTTTTTTCTTGTAAATTTGTTTGAGTTCATTGTAGATTCTGGATATTAGCCCTTTGTCAGATGAGTAGGTTGCGAAAATTTTCTCCCATTTTGTAGGTTGCCTGTTCACTCTGATGGTAGTTTCTTTTGCTGTGCAGAAGCTCTTTAGTTTAATTAGATCCCATTTGTCAATTTTGTCTTTTGTTGCCATTGCTTTTGGCGTTTTAGACATGAAGTCCTTGTCCATGCCTATGTCCTGAATGGCAATGCCTAGGTTTTCTTCCAGGGTTTTTATGGTTTTAGTTCTAACGTTTAAGGCTTTAATCCATCTTGAATTGATATTTGTATAAGGTGTAAGGAAGAAATCCAGTTTCACCTTTCTACATATGGCCAGCCAGTTGTCCCAGCACCATTGATTAAATAGGGAATCCTTTCCCCATTGCTTGTTTTTCTCAGGTTTGTCAAAGATCAGATAGTTGTAGATATGCGGCATTATTTCTGAGGGCTCTGTTCTGTTCCATTGATCTATATCTCTGTTTTGGTACAAGTACCATGCTGTTTTGGTTACTGTAGCCTTGTAGTATAGTTTGAAGTCAGGTAGAGTGATGCCTCCAGCTTTGTTCTTTTGGCTTAGGATTGATTTGGCGATGCAGGCTCCTTTTTGGTTCCATATGAACTTTCAAGTAGTTTTTCCCAATTCTGTGAAGAAAGTCATTGGTAGCTTGATGGTGATGGCATTGAATCTATAAATTACCTTGGGCAGTATGGCCATTTTCATGATATTGATTCTTCCTACCCATGAGCATGGAATGTTCTTCCATTTGTTTGTATCCTCTTTTATTTCCTTGAGCAGTGGATTGTAGTTCTCCTTGAAGAGGTCCTTCACTTCCCTTGTAAGTTGGATTCCTAGGTATTTTCTTCTCTTTGAAGCAATTGTGAATGGGAGTTCACTCATGATTTGGCTCTCTGTTTGTCTGTTGCTGGTGTATAAGGATACTTGTGATTTTTGTACATTGATTTTGTATCCTGAGACATTGTTGAAGTTGCTTATCAGCTTAAGGAGATTTTGGGCTGAGACAATGAGGTTTTCTAGATATACAATCATGTCATCTGCAAACTGGGACAATTTGACTTCCTCTTTTCCTAATTGAATACCCTTTATTTCCTTCTCCTGCCTGATTGCCCTGGCCAGAAATTCCAACTCTGTGTTGAATAGGAGTGGTGAGAGAGGTCATCCCTGTTTTGTGCCAGTTTTCAAAGGGAATGCTTCCAGTTTTTGCCCATTCAGTATAATATTGGCTGTGGGTTTGTCATAGATAGCTCTTATTATTTTGAAATACGTCCCATCAATACCTAATTTATTGAGAGTTTTTAGCATGAAGGTTGTTGAATTTTGTCAATGGCCTTTTCTGCAACTATTGAGATAATCATGTGGTTTTTGTCTTTGGCTCTGTTTATATGTCAGATTACATTTATTGATTTGCGTATATTGAACCAGCCTTGCATCCCAGGGATGAAGCCCACTTGATCATGGTGGATAAGCTTTTTGATGTGCTGCTGGATTCGTTTTGCCAGTATTTTATTGAGGATTTTTGGCCATCAGTGTTCTGTATTCAGGAAACCCATCTCACGTGCAGAGACACACATAGGCTCAAAATAAAAGGATGGAGGGAGATCTACCAAGCCAATGGAAAACAAAAAAAGGCAGGGGTTGCAATCCTAGTCTCTGATAAAACAGACTTTAAACCAACAAAGATCAAAAGAGACAAAGAAGGCCATTACATAATGGTAAAGAAATCAATTCAACAGGAAGAGCTAACCATACTAAATATATATGCACCCAATAAAGGAGCACCAAGATTCATAAAGCAAGTCCTGAGTGACCTACAAAGAGACATAGACTCCCACAAATTAATAATGGGAGATTTTAACACCCCACTGTGAACATTAGACAGATCAATGGACAGAAAGTCAACAAGGATACACAGGAATTGAACTCAGCTCTGCACCAAAGAGACCTAATAGACATCTACAGAACTCTCCACCCCAAATCAACACAATATACATTTTTTTCAGCACCACACCACACCTATTCCAAAATTGACCACATACTTGGAAGTAAAGCTCTCCTCAGCAAATGTAAAAGAACAGAAAGTATAACAAACTCACTCCAGACCACAGTGCAATCAAACTAGAACTCAGGATTAAGAATCTCACTCAAAACCACTCAACTACATGGAAACTGAACAACCTGCTCCTGAATGACTACTGGGTACAGAACGAAATGAAGGCAGAAATAAAGATGTTCTTTGAAACCAATGAGAACAAAGACACAACATACCAGAATCTCTGGGATGCATTCAAAGCAGTGTGTAGAGAGAAATTTATAGCACTAAATGCCCACAAGAGAAAGCAGGAAAGATCCAAAATTGACACCCTAACATCACAATTAAAAGAACTAGAAAAGCAAGAGCAAACACATTGAAAAGCTAGCAGAAGGCAAGAAATAAGTAAAATCAAAGCAGAACTGAAGGAAATAGAGGCACAAAAAACCCTTCAAAAAATTAATGAATCCAGGAGCTCTTTTTTTGAAAGAATCAACAAAATAGACCGCTAGCAAGACTAATAAAGAAAAAAAGACAGAAGAATCAAATAGACGCAATGAAAAATGATAAAGGGGATATCACCACCGATCCCACAGAAATACAAACTACCATCAGAGAATACTACAAACACCTCTATGCTAATAAACTAGAAAATCTAGAAGAAATGGATAAATTCCTCGACACATACACCCTCCCAAGACTAAACCAGGAAGAAGTTGAATCTCTGAATAGACCAATAACAGGATCTGAAATTGTGGCAATACTCAATAGCTTACCAACCAAAAAGAGTCCAGGACCAGATGGATTCACAGCCGAATTCTAGCAGAGGTACAAGGAGGGGCTGGTACCATTCCTTCTGAAACTATTCCAATCAATAGAAAAAGAGGGAATCCTCCCTAACTCATTTTATGAGGCCAGCATCATTCTGATACCAAAGCCGGGCAGAGACAGAACCAAAAAAGAGAATTTTAGACCAATATCCTTGAAAAAGTATATATCTTCAGGTAAAAAGCAGAAAGAAGCTTTTTGAGAAAATGCTTTGTGATGTGTGCAATTATCTCACAGAGTTAAACCTTTCTTTGGATTCAGCAGGTTGGAAACACTATTTTTGTAGAATCTGAGAAAGGATATTAGATAGCTCATTGAGGCCATAACTGAAAAGGCAAATATCCCAGGATAAAAACAAGAAGGAAGCTATCTGATAAACCTCTTTGTGATGCGTGCAGTCATCTCACAGAGTTAAACCTTCCTTTCAGTTCAGCAGCGTGGAAACACTATTTTGGTAGAATCTGTGAAGTGATATTTGGGAGTGCATTGAGAACTATGGTGATTTCTGAGCAACTGCTTTGTGACATGCGCATTCATCTAAGAGAGTTAAACCTTTCTTTGGATTCAGTAGTTTTGAAACACTGTTTTTCTCCACTCTGCAAATGGACATTTGGCAGCTCATTGAGGCCAATGGGGAAAAAGTGAATATCCCAGGATAAAAACTAGAAGGAAGCTATCTGAAAAACCACTTTGTGATGTGTGCATTCATCTTGCAGAGTTAAACCTTTATTTTCATTCAGCAGGTTGGAAACACTGTTTTCATAGAAACTGCAAAGGAATATTTGAGAGCACAATGAGGCTTATGGTAAAAAGGAAATATCTTCAGTTGAAAACTACAAACAAGCTTTCTGAGAAACTTTTTTGTGATGTGCGCATTCATCTCACAGTGTTAAAACTTTGTTTGGATTCAACAATTTGGAAACACTGTTGTTGTAGAATGTGTGAAGGCATATTTTGGAGCTCATTGAGCCCATCGGAGAAAAAGTGAATTTTCCAGGATAAAAACTAGAAGCAGACTATCTGAGAAACCGCTTTGTGATGTGTGCATTCATCTCACAGAGGAGTTAAAACTTTCTTTTCATTCAGCAGTTTGGAAACACTGTTTTGGTAGAATCTGCAAAAGTATACATTGGAGTGCCTTGAGGCCTATGGTGAAAAAGAAATAACTTCAAATCAAAACTAGAAAGAAGATTTCTGAGAAACTGCTTTGTGATGTGTGCATTCATCTCACAGATTTCAACATTTCTTTAGATTCAACAGTTTGTAAACAGAGTTTTAGTAGAATCTGCATGGGGATATTTGATAGCTCATTGAGGCCATGGGTGAAAAAGGAAATATCCCAAGACACAAACTAGAAGGAAGGTATCTGAGAAACCACTTTGGATGTATCCATTCATCTTGCAGAGTTAAACCTTTCTTTTCATTCACCATTGTGGAAACACTGTTTTCCTAGAATATGAGAAGAGAAATTTGACAGCTCTTTTAGGACTATGGTCAAGGAAATATCATCAGGTAAAAACTGGAAAAAAATCTTTCTGAGAAACTTCTTTGTTATGTGTGCATTCATCTCAAAAAGATAAATATTTCTTTTGATTCATCAGTTGGGAAACATTGTTTTTCTCCATTCTGCATATGGACATTTGGGAGCTCATTCAGGCCAAAGGCAAAAAAAGCAAGTATTCTAAGAATTAGAACTAGCAGAATGCTATCTGAATGAAAAGAAGTTTATCTCTGTGAGATGAATGCACACATCCCAAAGCACTTTCTCACATAGCTTATTCTAGTTTTTATCCTGGGATATTTGCTTTTTCACCTTTGGCACAAATGAGCTTCCAAATATCCCTTTGCAGATTCTACAAAAACAGTGTTTCCAAACTCCTGAATGAGAAGATAGTATTAAGTCTATGAGATGAAAGCACACATCACAAGGCAGTTTCTCAGATAGCTTCCTTCTGGTTTTTATCCTGGGATATTCATTTTCTGGCCATTGTCCTCAATGAGCTCCCAAATGTCCATACACAGAATGGACAAAAACAGTGTTTCCAAACTGCTGAATCCAAAGAAACGTGTATCTCTGTGAGATGAATGCACATTTCACCAAGCAGTTTCTCAGAAAGCTTCTTTGTAGTTTTTATCTGAAGATATTTCTTTTTCACCCTAGGCCCCAACGAGCAACAAAATATAAGTTTGCAGCCCCTACAGAAACAGTGTTCCCAAACTGCTCAATGAAAAGAAAGGTTTAACTTTGGGAGATCAAGGCACACATCACACAGAAGTTTATCTGATAGCTTTCTTCCTGTTTCTATGCTAGAATATTTGTTTTCTCACCTTTGGCTTCAATGGCCTCCCAAATATCCCTTCCCAGATTCTACAAAACCAGTGGTTCCAATCTGGTAAATGCAAGGAAATGTTTTACTCTCTGAGAGGTATGCTCACATCACAAAGCTGTTTCTCGGAAATCTTCTTTATAGTTTTCATCTAAAGATATTTCCTTTTTCACCAGAGGCCTCATTGCACTCTGAAATATCCCATCACAGTTTCTACCAAAATAGTGCTTCCAAACTGCTGAATGAAAAGACAGGTTTATCTCTAAGAGATGAAAGCACACATCACAAAGTGGTTTCACATATAATTCCTTCTAGTTTTTGTCCTGGACTTTTCACTTTTTTGCCTTTGGTCTCAATGAATTCCCAAATGTCTCTTTGCAGATTCTACAAAAACAGTTTCCAAACTGCTGAATCCAAAGAAAGGTTGAACTCTGTGATATGAATGCACAGATCACCAAGTAGTTTCTCAGAAAAGTTCTTTTTAATTTTAATCTGAAGATATATTTCCTTTTTCACTATAGGCCTCATTGCATGCCCAAATATCCCTTTGCAGATTCTACAAAAAGTTTTTCCAAACTGCTGAATGGAAAGAAAGTTTTAAATCTGCACAATGATTGCACCCAGAACTAAGCAGTTTCACAGATAGCTTCCTTCTAGTTTTTATCCTGGGATATTCGTTTTTTCACCATTGACCTCAATGCACTCCCAAATGTCCCTTCATGGATTTGCCAAAACAGTGTTTCCAGACAGCTGAATGAAAAGAAAGTTTTAACACTATGAAGTGAATGCACACATCATAAAGCAGTTTCTGCAATAGCTTCCTTCTAATTTGTATCCTGGGATATTCATTTTTTCAGCATTGGCATCAAAGAGCTCCCAAATGTCCATTTGCAGAATGGACAAAAACAGTGTTTGCAAGTGGCTGAATCCACAGAAATGATTACCTCCGTAAGGTGAAGACACACATCACAGAGCAGTTTCACAGAAAGCTTCTTTCTAATTTTTATCTGAAGTTATTTCCTTTTTCACCATAGGCCTCAATGCACTCCCAGATATAACTTCATAGATTCTATGAAAACAGTGTTTCCAAACTGCTGAAAGAAAAAAAAGGTTTAATTCTGAGAGTTCAATACACATATCACAAAGTGGTTTCTGAGATAACTTCCTTCTAGTTTTTGTCCAGGGATGTTTTCTTTTCACCATTGACCTCTCAAATATCCATTCACAGAATGGACAAAAACAGTGTTTGCAAACTACCGAATACACAGAAAATTTGAACTCTGTGAGTTGAATGCCCACTTCAAAAAGCATTTTACAAAAAGCTTCTTTGTACTTTTTACCTGAAGATATATCCATTTTCACCGTAGGCCTCAATGCACTCTCAGATATCACTTCTCAGATTCTATAAAAACAGTGTTTACAAACTGCTGAATGTTGTTATAAATGTGAGAGATGAATGCACACATCACACAGCGGTTTCTCAGATAGCTTCCATTTTTTTCCTGGGATATTCAGTTTTTCATCTTTGGCCTCATTAAGCTCCCAAATACCCCTTCACAGATTCTACAACAGTGTTTCCAAATTGTTAAATCCAAAGAAAAGTTTAACTCTGTGAGATGAATGCGCACATCACAAAGCAGTTTCTCAGAAAGATTCTTTCTAGCTTTTATGGGAAGATATTTCCTTTTTCACCATAAGCCCCAAGGTGCTCCAAAATTTCCCCTCATGGATTCTGCCAAAACAGTGTTTCCAGACTACTGAATGAAAAGGAAAGTTTCTCTCAGTGAGGTGATTGCACACATCACAAAGCAGTTTCTCAGATTGCTTCCTTCTAGTTTTTATCCTGGGATATTCACTTTTTTACCATTGTCCTCAATTAGCTCTGAAATGTCCATTCGCAGAATGGAAAAAAACAATGTTACCATACTGCTGTATCCAAAGAAAATTTAACTCTGTGAGATGAATGCTCACATCTCAAGGCAGCTCCACATTAAGCTTCTTTCTAGTTTTTATCTGAAGATATTTCATTTTACACTGTAGGCTTCAATGCGCCACCAAAAATATCTGCAAAGGGATATTTAGGATCTCATTGAGGCCAATGGAGAAAAAGTGATTATCACAGGATAAAAGCTAGAAGGAAGTTATCTGAGAAAGTGATTTGTGATGTGTGCATTCATCTCACAGAGTTAAACCTTTCTTTTCATACAGCAGCTTGGAAACACTATTTTCTTAGAATCTTTGAAGGAATACTTGATAGCACATTGAGGATTATGGTGATTAGGAAATATCTTCAAATAAAAACTACAAAGAAGCTTAATGAGAAACTGCTTTTGGGATGTGTGCATGTATCTCACAGAGTTAAACCTTCATTTGGATTCAGCAGTTTGGAAAATCACTCTTTGTCCATTTTGCGAATGGACATTTGGGAGCTCATAGAGGCCAATGGTGAAAAAGTGAATATCCCAGGATAAAAATTGGAAGGAACTTATTGGAGAAACTGATTTCTGATGTGTGTATTCATCTCACAGAGGTAAAACTTTCTTTTCATTCAGCAGTTTGCAAACACTCTTTTCTTATAATCTCTGACAAGATATTTGGAAGAGTATGGAAGCCTA
Source organism: Homo sapiens (assembly GCF_000001405.40). Lineage (NCBI taxonomy): Eukaryota > Metazoa > Chordata > Mammalia > Primates > Hominidae > Homo > Homo sapiens. The sequence continues at coordinate 55,012,719 of NC_000011.10, read as the reverse complement.
TGCTGAAAAAGGAAATATCTTCAGAAAAAAACTGGAAAGAAGTTTAATGAGAAACTTGTTTGGGATGTGTGTGCTCATCTCACAGAGCTAAACCTTTCTTTGGATTCAGTAGTTTGATAACAATGCTTTTGACAATTCTGTGAATGGACATTTGGGAGCTCAATGAGGCCAATGGCAAAAAAGGGAATATGCCAGGATAAAAACTAGAAGGAAGCTCTCTGAGAAACCACTTTGTGATGTGTGCATTCATCTCACAGAGTTAAACCCTTCTTTTCATTCAGCAGTTGGGAAACACTGCTTTTGTAGAAACTGTGAAAGGATATTTGGCAGCACATTGAGGCCTATGGTGTAAAAAGAAATATCCTTAGATAAAAACTATCAAGAAGTTTACTGAAAAATTGGTTTGTTATGTGTTCATTCGTCCCACAGAGTAAAACATTTTTTAGGATTCAGCAGTTTGGTATCACTGTTTTTGTCCATTCTGCAAGTAGACATTTGGGAACTCATTGAGGCCAAAGGTGAAAAGGCAAATATCCCAGGATAAAAACTAGAAGGAAGCTCTGTGAGAAACCACTTTGTAATGTGTGCATTCAGCTCACAGATTTAAACCTTTCTTTTCATTCAGCAGTTTGGAAACGTTGTTTTCTTAGAATCTACAAAGGGATATTTGGTAGCGCATTGAGGACTATGGAGAATAGGATATATCTTCAGATAAAAACTAGAAAGAAGCTTAATGAGAAATTGCTTTGTGATGTGTGCATTCATCTCACAGAGTTAAAGCTTTCTTTGGATTCTGCAGTTTGGTAATACGGTTTTTGTCCATTCAGCATAGGATATTTCAGAGCTTATTGAGGCCAATGGTGAAAAAGCGAATATCCCAGGGTAAAAACTGAAGGAATCTCTCTGAAAAACCACTTTATGATGTCTGCATTCATCTCGCAGAGCTAAACCTTTCTTTTCATTCAGCAATTTGGAAACACTGTTTTAACAGATGCTGTGAAAGGATATTCTGCAGCACTTTGAGGCCTATGGTGAAAAAGGAAATATCTTCAGATAAAAACTAGAAAGAAGCTTTCTGAGAAACTGATTTGTGATGTGTTCATTCATCTCACAGAGTTAAAAGTTTCTCTGGATTCCGCAGTTTGGAATCAATGTTTTTGTCCATTTTGTGAATGGACATTTGGGAGCTCATTGATGCCAATGGAGAAAAAGCGAATATCCCAGGACAAAAACTAGAAGGAAGTTATCTGAGAAACCTATTTGTGATGTGTGCATTCATTGCACAGAGTTAAAACTTTCTATTCATTTAGCAATTTGGATACACTGTTTTCCTAGAATCTGCGAAGAAATATTTGGAAGAGTATGGAGGTCTATGGTAAAAAAGGAAATATCTTCAAATAAAAAATAGAAGGAAGCTTAATGAGAGACTGGTTTGGAATGTGTGCATTTATCTCAGAGAGTTAAACCCTTCTTTAGATTCAGCAGTGTGTTAACACACTTTGTGTCCATTCCGTGAATGGACATCTGGGAGCTCAATGAGGTGAATGGTGAAAAAGTGAATATCCCGGGATAAAAACTAGAAGGAAGCTGTCTGAGACTCTGCTTTGTGAAGTTTACATTCACCTAGCTGAGTTAAACCTTTCTTTTTACTCAGCAGTGTGGAAACACTGTTGTTGTAGAAACTATGAATGGATATTTGGTAGTGCTTTGAGGCATATGGTAAAAAAGGAATTATCTATAAATAACAATTAAAAAGAAGCTTTCTGAGAAACTGCTTTGTGATGTGTTCATTCATCTCAGAGAGTTAAACCTTTCTTTGAATTCAGCAGCTTGAAAACACTTTTTTTGTGCATTCTGCAAATGGACAATTTGGAGTTCATTGAGGCCAAAGGTGAAAATGCTAATATCCCAGGATAAAAACTAGAAGGAAGCTGTCTGAGAGACCGATTTGTGATGTGTGCATTCACTGCACAAAGTTAAACCTTTATTTTCATTCAGCAGTTTGGAAACACTGTTTTTGTAGAAACTGTGAAATGATATTTGGCAGTGCATTGAGGCCTATGGTGAAAAAGGAAATATCTTTAGATAAAACTGAGCAAGATTCTTTCTGATAAACTACTTTGTGATGCGTTTATTCATCTCACAGAGTTAAACCTTTTTTTTCAATACAGCAGTTTGGAAACTGTTTTGGTCCTTTCTGCGAATGGACATTTGGGATTTCCTTGAGGCCAATAGCAAAAAAGCAAATATCCCAGGATAAAAACTAGAAGGAAACTATCTGAGAAACTGCTTTGTGATGTGTGCATTCATGTCTAAGATTTAAAGCATTCTTTTTATTCAAGAGTTTGGAATCACTCTTTTTGTAGAATCTTTGAAGGTATATTTTGCAGTGCATAGAGGACTATGGTGAAAAAGGAAATATTTTCAGATAAAAACTACAAAGAAGCTTTCTGAGAAACTGCTTTGTGGTGTGTACATTCATCTAACAGAGTTCAACCTTTCCTTGGATTAAGCAGTTTGCAAACACTGTTTTTGTCCATTCTTAAAATGGACATTTTGAAGCTCATTGAGGACAATGGCAAACATGCATATATCTAAGGGTAAAAAATAAAGGGAAGCTATTTGAGAAACTGCTTTGTGTTGTGTGTATTCATTTCACAGAGTTAAATTTTTATTTTCATTCAGAAATTTGGAAACAATGTTTTCATAGATTCTGCAGAGGGATATCTGGGAACACATTGAGGCCTATGGTGAAAAAGGAAATATCTTCAGATAAAAACTAGAAAGAAGCCTTCTGAGAAACTGCATTGTCATGTGTGCATTCATCTCACAGTGTTCAAACTTTCTGTGGATTCAGTTGGTTGCAATCACTGTTTTTGTCAGTTCTGTGAATGGACTTTTTGGAGTTCTTTCAGATCAATGGTGAAAAAGCAAATATCCAAGGAAAAATCTAGTGGGAAGCTATTTGAGAAACTGCTTTGTGAAGTGTGCATTCATCTCGCAGAGACAAACCTTTCTTTTCCTTCAGCAGTCCAGAAACACAGTTTTGGCAGAATCCATGAAGGGATATTTGGGAGTGCCTTGAGGCCTATGATGAAAAAGGAAATATCTTCAGGTAAAAACTACAAAGAAGATTTCTGAGAAACTGCCTTGTGATGTGTGCATTCACCTCGCAGAGTTAAAGCTTTCTTTTCATTCAGCAGTTTTGAAACACTGTTTTCAGAGAATCTGTGAAGTGATATCTGGGAGTGCATTGAGGCTTATGGTGAAAAAGGAAATAACATCAGATAAAACCTAGAAAGAATCTTTCTGAGAAACTGCCTTGAGATGTGTGCATTCATCTCACAGAGTTCAACCTTTCTTTGGATACAGCAGTTTGTAAACACTGTTGCCTTAGTATCCATGAAGGAAAATTTGGGAGCATAAGTAGGCCAAAGGGAAAAATGGACTATCCCAGAATAAAAACTAGAAAGAAGCTATCTGAGAAACAGCTTTGTGATGTGTGCATTCACCTCTCAGTGGTGAAAAGTCCTTTTCATTCAGCAGTTTGGAAACATTGTTTTTGTAGAATCTGCAAAGATATATATTGGAGCCCTTAGAGGCCTATGGTAAAAAGGAAATAACCTCAGATGAAAACTAGAAAACAGCTTTCTCAGAAACTACCTTGAGATTCGGGCATTCATCTCACAGAGTTAAACCTTTCTTTGGATTCAGCAGTTTAGAAACACTGTTGTTGTAGAATCAGCGAAGGGATATTTTGGAGCTCATTGAAGCCAAAGGCAAAAAAGTGAATATCCCAGGATAAAATAGAGAAGGAAGCTATCTGAGAAACTTCTTTGTGATGTGTGCATTCACCTCATAGAGATAAAACTTTCTTTTCATTTAGGAGTCTGGAAAAACTGTTTTGACAGAGTCCGCGTAGGAATATATGGGTGTGTACTGAGATCTGTGGTGAAAAGGAAATATCTTCAGATAACAAATAGAAAGAAGCTATCTGAGAAACTGCTGTGGGATGTGTGCATTCATCTCACAGAAGTAAACCTTTCTTTGTATTCAGCAGTTTGAAAACACTGTTGTTGTAGAATCTGTGAAGGGATATTTGGGAGCTCATTGGGGCCAATGGTGAAAAATCAAATATCCCAGGAAAAAAAAAACTAGAAGAAATCAATCTGAGAAACTACGTTGTGGTGTGTGCATTCATCTCACAGAGTTAAACCTTTCTTTTCATTCAGTAATTTGGAAACACTGTTTTCATAGAATCTGTGAAGGGATATCAGGGATCACATTGAGGCCTATGGTGAAAAAGGAAATAACTTCAGATAAAAACTAGAAATAAACTTCCTGAGAAACTATTTTATGTTGTGTGTATTCATCTCATAAAGTTAAATCTTTCTTTGGATTCAGCAGTTTGAAAACCCTGTTGTTGTAGAATCTGCAAAGGGATATTTGGGAGTTCATTCAGGCCAATATCGAAAAAGCCAACATCCCGTGATAAAAACTTGAAGGAAGCTATGAGTTAAAACTTTATTTTCATTCAGCAATCTGTAAACACTGTTTTGCCAGAACTTGCCAAGGGATATTTGGGAGTGCTTTGAGGGCTATGGTGAAAAAAAAAATCTTTGGATAAAAACTAGAAAGATGCTTTCTGAGAAAAAGCTTTGTGATGTGTGCATTCACCTCACAGAGTTAAAATTTTCTATGGATTCAGCAGTTTTGAAACAGCATTGTTGTGTAATCTGTGAAGGGATATTTGGGAGCTTAATGAGGCCAAAGGGGGAAAAAAACTATCCCAGGATAAACACTAGAAGGAAGCTACCTGAGAAACTGATTTGTGATGTTCGTGTTCACCTCACACATTTAAAACTTTCTTTTCATTTAGCAGTCTGGAAAAACTGTTTTGGCAGAATCCACAAAGGGATATTTGGGAGCACACTGAGGCCTATGGTGAAAAGGAAATATCTTCAGATAAAAATTAGAAAGGATCTTTCGGAGAAATGCTTTATGATGTGTGCATTCATCTCACAGAGTTAAACCTTACTTTCCATTCAGCAGTTTGAAAACACTGTTGTTTTAGAATCTGTGTAGGGAAATTTGGGAGCTTAGTGAGGCCAAAGGGGAAAAATGGACCTTCCCAGAATAAAAATTAGAAGGAAGCTGTCTGAGAAACCGCCCTGTGATGTGTGCATTCTTCTATCAGAATTAAAACATTCTTTTCACTCAGAAGTTGGGAAACATTGTTTTTCTTCAATCTGCAAAGGTCTATATTGGAGTGCATAGAGGCCTACGGTGAAAAAGGGAATATCTTCAGATAAAAACTACAAAGAATCTTTCTGAGAAACTGCTTTGTGATGTGTGCATTCATCTCACAAAGTTCAACTTTCCTATCAATTAAGCAGTTTGCAAACACTGTTTTTGTCCATTCTGAAAATGGATATTTTGAAGTTCATTGAGGCCAATGGCAAAAACACGAATATCCCAGGATAAAAACTACAGGGAAGCTCTTTGAGAAACTGCTTTGTGATGTGTGCATTCATCTAGCAGAATTAAACCTTTCTTTTCATTCAGGACTTTGGAAACACTGTTTTTGTAGAATCTGCAAAGGAATATCTGGGAGCCCTTTGAGGCCTACAGTGAAACAAATATCTTCAGATTTTTTTTTCAGATTTTCAGAAAGCTTTCTGAGAAACTATATTGTGATGTGTGCACTCATCTCAAAGATTTCAAATTTTCTGTGGATTCAGTAGTTTGCAAACACTGTTTTTGTCCATTCTGCAAATGGACATTTGGGAATTCTTTCAGATAAATGGCAAAAAAAGGGAATATCCCATCATAAAATCTCAAGGAAAGCTATTTGAGAAACAGCTTTGTGATGTGTGCATTCATCTCACAGAGATAAATATTTCCTTAGATTCAGCAATCTGGAAACACTGTTTTGGCAGAATCAGCAAAGGGATATTTGGGAGCACCTTGAGGCCTGTGGTGAAAAAGGCCATATCTTGATAAAAAGTTCAAGGAAGCAATCTAAGATACTGCTTTGTGAAGTGTGAATTCCGTTGGAAGAGTTAAAACTTTCTTTGCATCCAGCAGTCTGGAAAAACTGTTTTTGGCAGAATCCATGAAGGGATATTTGGGAGCGCATTGAGGCCAGGGTGAAAAAGAAATCTTCAGATAAAAACTAGAGAGAAGCTTTCTGAGAAACAGCTTTGTGATGAGTGCTTACATGTCACAGAGTTAAAATTTTCTGTGGATTCTGCAGTTTGCAGACACTGTTTTTGACCATTCTTCAAATAGATATCTGAGAGATCATTGAGTCCAGTGGTGAAAAAGGGAATATCCCAGGATAAAAACTGGAAGGAAGCTATCTGAGAAATCGCATGGTGATGTGTGCATTCACCATGCAGAGATAAACATTGTTTTTCATTTAGCAGTCTGGAAACACTGTTTTGGCAGAATCCCCGAAGGGTTATTTGGGAACGCATAGAGGCTGATGGAGATAAAGGACATATTTTCAAACAAAAACAAGAAAGAAACTTTCTGAGAAACTGCTTTGTGAAGTGAGGATTCAACTCGCAGAGTTAAACCTTTATTTTCATTCAGCAGTTTGGAAACAATATTTTTGTAGAATCTGCAAAGTGATATCTAGGAGTGCATTGAGGCCTATGGTGAAAAACGAAATAACCTCAGATAAAAACTACAAAGAAGCTTTCTGAGAAACTACTTTCACATGTGTGCATTCATCTCACAGAGTTAAACCTTACTTTGGATACAGCAGTTTGAAAACTCTGTTGTTGTCCATTCTGCGTATGGACATTTGGGAGCTCATTGAGGCCAATGGCAAAAAAGGGAATATCCCAGGATAAAAACTAGAAAGAAACTATCTGAGAAACAGTTTTGTGATGTGACATTCACCTCGCAGAGATAAACGTTGCTTTTCATTTAGCAGTCTGGAAACACTGTTTTGGCGGTATCCATGAAGGGATATTTGGGAGCACCTATAGGCCTATGATGAAAAAGGAAATATTTTCAGATAAAAATTAAAAGGAAGTTTTCTCAGAAACTTCTTTGTGATTTGTGCATTCATCTCACAGAGTTAAACCTTCCTTTGGATTCAGCAGTTTGGAAGCATCGTTGTTGTAGAATCTGTGAAGGGATACTTGAGAGCTCATTGAGGCCAATGGAGAAAAAGTGAATATCCTAGGACAAAAACTAGAAGAAATCAATCTGAGAAACTGCTTTGTGATGTGTGCATTCACATTGTATGGATAAAACTTTCTTTTCACTTAGCAGTCTGGAAAAACTGTTTTGGCAGAATCCCCAAAGGGATGTTTTGGAGCTCACTGAGGCCTATGGTGTAAAGGAACTATCTTCAGATAAAAGAAAGAAACTCTCTGAGAAACGGCTCTGTGATGTGTGCATTCATCTCACAGTGTTAAACCTCTCTTTGGATTCATCAGTTGGAAAAAACTGTTGTTGTAGATTCTGCAAAGGGATATTTGGGAGCTCACTGAGGCCAATGGCGGAAATGCAAATATTCCAGGAAAAAAAAACTAGAAGAAATTAATCTGAGAAACCTCTTGGTGATGTGTTCATTAGTCTCACAGAGTTAAACATTTCTTGTCATTCAGCAATTTGGAAACACTGTTTTTGTAGAAAGTGTGAAGGGATATCTGGAGTGCATTTGAGGCCTACAGTGAAAAAGGAAATATCTTCTGATAGAAACCACAAAGAAGCTTTCACAGAAACTGCTTTGTGATGTGCGCATTCATCTCACAGAATGAAACCTTTCTTTAGATTCAGCAGTTTGAAAACCCCGTTGTTGTAGAATCTGCAAACGGATATTTGGGAGCTCCTTGAGACCAATGACAAGGAAGCCAATATCCCAGGATAAAAATGGGAAGAAAGCTATCTGAGCTACTACTTTGTGATGTGTGCATTCACCTCAAAGAGTTAAAACTGTCTTTTCATTCTGCAATCTGTAAACACTGTTTTGGAAGAATTCACGAAGGGATATTTGGGGTCTGTGGTAAAAAGTCTTCAGATAAAAATTAAAGGAAGTTTCTGAGAAACAGCTTTGAGATGTGTGCATTCACCTCACAGAGTTAAACCTTTCTTTGGATTCAGCGGTTTGGAAACATTGTCATTGTAGAATCTGTGAAGGGAAATTTGGGAGCTAAATTAAGCAAAAGGGGAAAAACCAACTATCCCAGGATAAAAACTAGAAGGAAGCTATTTGAGAAACCACTTTGTGATGTGTGCATTCCTCTCACAGAGTTAAACCTTTCTTTTCATTCAGCAGTTTGGAAACACTGTTTTCGTAGAATCTGCGAAGTGGTATCTGGGAGTGCATTGAGGCCTATGGTGAAAAAGGAAATATCTTCAGATTAAAAGTGGAAAGAAGCTTTCTGAGAAACTGCTTTGTGATTTGTGCATTCATCTCACTGTGTTAAAACTGTCTGTGGATTCAGCAGATTGCAAATACTGTTTTTGTCCATTCTGCAAATGTACATTGGGGAGCTCATTGAGGCCAATGATGAAAAAGTGAATATCCCCAGATAAAAACTAGAAGAATGCTATTTGAGAAATCGCTTTCTTAAGTGTGCATTCACCTCGCTGAGATAAAAAGTTCTTTTCACTCAGCAGTCTGGAAACACTGTGTTGGCAGTTTCTGTGAAGTTATATTTGGGAGCTCATTGAGGCCTATGTTCAAAAAGGAAATATGTTCAAATGAAAATTAGAAAGAAGCTTTCTCAGAAACTGCTCTGTGATGTGTGCATTCATCTCATAGAGTAAACTTTTGATTCAGCAGTTTGAAAACACTGTTAATTTAGAATATACAAACGGATATTCAGGAGCTCATTTAGGCCAATGACGAAAAAGAAAATATACTAGAAAAAAATAGAAGAAAGCAATCTGAAAAACCACTTTGTGATGTGTGCATTCATTTCACAGAGTTAAACATTTCTTTTTTTCAGCAGGTTGGAAACACTGTTATCGTAGAATCTGCAAAAGGATAACTTGGAGTGCTTTGAGGCCTACGGTGAAAAAGGAAATAGCTTCAGATAAAACTAGAAAGAAGCTTTCTGAAAAACTGCTCTGTGATGTGTACATTCATCTAACAGATTTCAACTTTTCTTTGGATTCAGCAGTTTGAAAACACTGTTTTTGTCCCTTCTGCTAATGGAAATTTGGGAGCTCATTTAGTCCAAAGGTGAAAAAGTGAATATCCAAGGATAAAAACTACAAAGAAGCTATCTGAGAAAAACCTTTGTGATGTGTGCATTCACCTTACAGAGTTAATATTTTCTTTTCATACAGTAGTTTGGCATACTGTACTGGCAGAATCCACAAAGGGATGTTTGAGAATGCAATGAGGCCTATGGTGAAAAAGAAAATACTTTCAGGTAAGAACTAGAAAGAAGCTTTCAGAAAAACTGCTTTGTGATGTGTGCATTCATCTCACAGAGGTAAACCTTTCTTTGGATTCAGCAGTTTGGAAACACTCTTTTTGTCCATTCTGCGAATGGACACTTTGGAGGTCATTGAGTTCAAAGGTGAAAAAGCGAATATCCCAGAATAAAAACTAGAAGAAAGCTATCTGAGAAACCACTTTGTGATGTGTGCATTCATCTCACAGTGTTAAACTTTCTTTTCATTCAGCATTGTGGAAACACTGTTTTCATAGAAACTTCAAAGGGATATCTGGAAGGGCATTGAGGCCCATGGTGAAAAAGGAAATATACTCAGATAAAATCTAGAAAGAAGCTCTCTGAGAAACTGCTTTGTGATGTGTTCATTCAGCTCACAGAGATAATCCTTTCAGTGAAATCAGCATTTTGCAAACACTGTTTTCACCCATTCTGCAAAAGGACATTTGATAGTTCATTAACAACAATGGTGAAAAAGTGAATATCACAGGAGAAAAACTAGAAGGAAGCTATCTGAGAAACCACTTTGTGATGTGCATTCACCTGGAAGAGTTAAAACTTTCTTTTCATACAGTAGTTTGGAAACACTACTTTGGCAGAATCCGTGAAGGAACATTTGGAATTACATAGAGGACTATGGTGATAAAGGAAATATCTTCAGAAAAAAACAAGATAGAAGATTTACGAGAAAGTGCTTTGTGATGTGTGCATTCATCTCTAAGAGTTGAACCGTTCTTTGGATTCAGCAGTGTAGAAACACTGTTTTTGTCCGTTCTATGAATGGACATTTGGGAGATCATTGAGGCCAAGGAGAAAAAGTGAATATCCAAGGATAAAACTTAGAAGAAAGCTATCTGAGAAACTGCTTTGTGATGGGTGCATTCAAATCACAGAGTTAAACCTTTCTTTTCATTCAACAGTTTGGAAACACCGTTTTGGTAGAATCTGTAAAGGGATATTTGGGAGAGCACGGAGGCTTATGGTGAAAAAGGAAATATCTTCAGACAAAAAGTAGGAAGAAGCTTTATGAGAAACTGCTTTATGATGTGTGCATTCACCTAACAGTGTTAAACCGTTTTTTGGATTCAGCAGTTTTCAAGCAATCTTTTTGTAGAATCCGCGAAGGGATATTAGACAGCTCATTGAAGCCAAAGGCCAAAAAGTGAATATCCCATGAAAAAAATTAGAAAGAATCTATCTGAAAAACCACTTTGTGATATGTGCATTCATCTCACAGAGTTAAACCTTTATTTTCATTCAACAGGTTGGAAACACTCTTTTTGTAGAAACTGCAAAGGGATATTTGGGAGCGCATTTAGGCTTATGGTAAAAAGGAAATATCTTCTGTTGAAAACTAGAGAGAAGATTTCTGAGAAACTGCTTTATGATGTGTGCATTCATATCACACAGTAAAACCTTTCTTTGGATTCACCAGTTTGGAAACACTGTTATTGTAGAATGTGCAAAGGGATATTTGGCAGCTCATAGAGGCCATCTGGGAAAAAGCGAATATCCCAGTATAAAAACTAGAAAGAAACTACTTGAGAAACCACTTTGTGATGGATGCATTCATTTCGCAGAGTTAAAACATTCTTTTCATTCAGCAGTTTGGAACCACTGTTTTGGTAGACTCTGTGAAGCTATATATAGGAGGGCTTTGTGGCCTATGGTGAAAAAGGAAATAACTTCAGATCAAAACTAGAAGGAATCTTTCTGAGAAACGGCTTTGTGATGTGTGCATTCATCTCACAGATTTCAACATTTCCTTGGATTCAACAGTTTGTAAACACTGTTTTAGTAGAATCTGCCAAGGGATATTTGATAGCTCATTGAGGCCATAGACAAAAAAGTGAATACCCCAGGATAAAAACTAGAAGGAAGCTATCTGAGATACCGCTTTGTGATGTATCCATTCATCTAGCAGAGTTAAACCTTTCTTTTCATTCAGCATTGTGGAAACACTGTTTTCATAGAATATGCAAAGAGAAATTTCAAATCATTTTTAGGGCTATGGTAAAAGGAAATATTTTCAGATAAAAAGTAGAAATAATCTTTCTGAGGAATTGCTTTCTGATGTGTGCATTCATCTCATAGAGATAAACATTTCTTTTGCTTCATCAGTTGGGAAACACTGTTTTTGTCCATTCTGTGAATGGATATTTGGGAGCTCATTCAGGCCAAAGGTGAAAAAGCGAGTATTTCAGACAACTCCCTTCTAGTTTTTATCCTGGGATATTCGCGTTTTTGCCATTGTCCTCAATGAGCTCCCAAATGTCCATTTGCAGAAAGAACAAAAACAGTGTTTTCAAACTGCAGAATCAAAAGTAATGTGTATATCTCTGTGAGATGTGAGATGAATGCATCTTTCCAAAGCAGTTTGTCAGAAACCTTCTTTGTAATTTTTAGCTGAGGATATTTCTTTTTCACCATAGTCCACAATGCACAACAAAATATAACTTTGCAGATCCTACAAAACTGTGTTTCCAAACTGCTGAATGTTAAAAAAATTTTAACTTTTGGAGATCAAGACACACATCTCAGAGAGGCTTCTCCGATAGTTTCCTTCTGTTTTTATGCTAGAATATTCACTCTTTGCCTTTGGCCTCAATGACCTCCCAAATATTCCTTTGCAGATTCTACAAAAACAATGTTTCCAAACTTGTGAATACAAAAAAGGTTTTAACTCTGTGAGTGGAATGCACACATAACAAAGCTGTTTCTCAGAAAACTTCTTTCTAGTTTGCATCTGAAGATAGTTCCTTTTTCACTATAGGACTCAAAGCATTCCCATATATCCATTCACAGATTTTAAAATACAGTGTTTCCAAACTGCCAAATGAAAATAAAGGTTTAACTCTGTGAGATGAATGCACACATAACAAAGCGGCCTCAGATAGTTTCCTTCTAGTTTTTATCCAGGGATATTTGTTTTTTTGCCATTGGCTTCAATGAGCTCCCAAATGTCCATTGACAGAATGGACAAAAACATGGTTTCTAAACTGCTGAATCCAAAGAAAGGTTTAACTCTGTGTGATGAATGCACACATCTCAAAGCAGTTTCTCAGAAAGCTTCTTTCTAGTTTTTATCTGAACATATTTCATTTTTCACCATAGGCCTCAATGGTCTCCCAAAAACCCCTTCGCAGATTTTACAAAGTAGTGTTTCCAAACTGCTGAATTAAAAGAAAGCTTAACTCTGTGAAGTGAATGCACATATAACCAAGTGGCTTCTCAGATAGTTTCCTTCTAGTTTTTATCCTGGGATATTTCCTTTTTTGCCTTTGGCTTCAATGAGCTCCTAAATACCCCTTTGCAAATTCTACAAAAACAGTGTTTCCATACTGCTGAATCCAAAGAAATGTTTAACTCTGTGTGATGAATGTCCACATCACAAAGCAGTTTCTCAGAAAGATTCTTTCTAGTTTTTTACTGAAAATAATTTCTTTTTCAACATAGGCATGAATGCGTGCCCCAATATCCCTTTGCAGATTCTACAAAAACAGTGTTTCAAAACTGCTGAATGAAAACGAAGGTTTAACTCTGTGAGATGAATGCACAAATCACAATGTGGTTACTCAGACAGGTTCTTTCAAGTTTTTATCCTGAGATATTCACTTTTTCACCATTGGCCTCAATGAGCTGCCAAATGTCCATTCATAGAATGGACAGAAACAGTGTTTCCCAAATGCTGTATCCAAAGACATGTTTAACTCTGTGACATGAAAGCACACATCACAAAGCAATTTGTCAGAAGGCTTCTTTCTAGTATTTATATGAAGATATTTCCTTTTCCACCATAGGCTTCAATGCACCCCCATATATCATTTTGCAGATTCTACCAAAATGTGTTTAAAACTACTGAATGAAAAGAAACATTTAACTCTGTCAGATGAATGCACACATCACAAAGCATATTCTTAGATAGCTTATTCTAGCTTTTATCGTGGGATATTTACTTTTTCACCTTTGGCCCCAATGAGCTCCCAAATATCCCTTCACAGATTCTACAAAAACAGTGTTTCCAAACTGCTGAATGAAAAACAAGTTAACTCTGAGAGATGAATGCACACATCCCAAAGCGGTTTGTCAGATATCTTTCTTCTACTTCTTATCCTGTGATGTTCACTTTTTCACCATTGGTTTCAATGGTCTCCCAATTGTCCATTCTGCGAAAGGGACAAAAACAGTGTCTCCAAAATGATGAATCAGAAGAAAGGTTTAACTCTGTGAGATGAATGCACACATTACAAAGAAGTTTCTCTGAATGCTTTTTTCTAGTTTTTATCTAAAGATAGATCCTTTTTCACCATAGGCCTCAATGCACTCTAAAATATCCCATCACAGATTCCACCAAAACAGTGTTTCCAAACTGCTGAATGAAAAGAAAGGTTTAACTCTGTGAGATGAATGCACACATAACTAAGTGGTTTCACATATATCTTCCTTCTAGTTTTTATCCCAGGCTGTTCACTTTTTCGCATTTGGCCTCAATGAGCTCCTAAATGTCCCTTTGCAGACTCTACAAAAACAGTGTTTCCTTACTGCTGAATAAAAGGAAAGGTTTAACTCTGCAAGATGAATGCACACATAACCCAGGGATTTCTCAGGTAGCTTCCTTCTAGTTTTTATCCCAGGATATTTGCTTTTTCACCTTTGGCCTCAATGCACTCCCAACTACCTCTTCACAGATTCGACAAAAACAGTGCTTCCATACTATTGAATCCAAAGAAACATTTAAGTCTGTGAGATGAAGGCACACATCTCAAAGCAGTTTCTCAGAATGCTTCTTTCTACTTTTTAACTGAAGATATTTTCTTTTTCACCATAGGCCTCAATGCGGCCCCCGAAATCCCTTCGCAGTATCTATGAAAACAGTGTTTTCAAACTGCTGAATTGAAAGGAAGGTTTAACTCTGTGAGACGAATGCACACATCATAGAGCAGTTACTCAGCTAGCTTCCTTTGAGTTTTTATCCTGGGATATTCACTTTTTCACCACTGTCATCAATGAGCTGCAAATTGTCCAAATGTTTCCAAAATGCTGAATCCAAAGAAAGGTTTAAATCTGTGACATGAAAGCACACATCACCGAGCAGTTTCTCAGAAAGCTTCTTTCTGGTTTTTATCTGAAGATATTTCCTTTTTCGCCATAAGCTTCAATGCACCTCCACATACCCCTTCACAGATGATTGTACTAAAATGTGTTTCCAAACTGCTGAATGAAAAGAAACGTTTAAATCTGTGAGATGGATGCACACATAACAAGACAGTTTCTCAGATAGCTTCCTTCTAGTTTTTATCCTGAAATATTCACTTTTTTGCTTTTGGCCTCAATGAGCTCCAAAATATCCCTTTTTGTATTCTACAAAAACAGTGTTACCAAACTGCTGAATCAAAAAAAATGTTTAAGTCTGTGAGATGAATGCACACATCACAAAGCAGTTTCTCAGAAAGCTTCTAATTTTTTTCTGAAGATATTTCTTTTTTCACCATAGGCCTCAATGCACAACCAAATATCTCTTTGCATATTCTACAAAAACAGTGTTTCCAAACTGCTGAAAGAAAAGAAATGTTTAACTCTGCTAGATTGATGCACACATAACAAAACTGTTTCTCAGATTTTTCCTTCTGGTTTTTATCCTGGGATATTTGCTTTGTTTACCGTTGGCCTCAATAAGCCCACAAATGTCCAGTTCCAGAATGGTTAAAACAATGTTTCCAAACTGCTGCAACCAAGGAAAGTCTTACTGTCTGAGATGAATGCACACATCCCAAGCAAGTTTCTCATTAAGCTTCTCTCTGGTTTTTATCGTGGGATATTCACTTTCTCAAAGCATTTTGCTTAATTAAGCTCCCAAATATTTCTTCCCAGATTCTACAAGAACAGTGTTATCAAACTGATGAATCCAAAGGAAGGTTTAACTCTATAAGCTGAATGCACACATCACAAAGCAGCGTCTCAGAAAGTTTCTTTCTAGTTTTTTTCTGAAGATATTTCCTTTTCCACCATAAGCCTCAATGCCCTCCAAAATATCCCTTCACAGATTCTGCCAAAACAGTGTTTCCAGAATGCTGTATTAAAGGAAAGTTTTAACTCTCCTAGGTGAAAGCACACCTCAGAAAGCCGGTTCTCAGATAGCTCTTTTCTAGTTTTTATCCTAGGATATTTGCAGTTTCATCATTGGCCTTAATGAGTTTCCAAATGTCCATTTGCAGAATGGACAAAAATAGTGTTTGCAAACTGCTGAATCCACAGAAAGTTTTAACACTGTGAGAAGAATTCATTCATCACAAAGCAATTTCTCATAAAGCTTCTTTCTAGTTTTTATCTGAAGATAGTTCCTTTCTCACCTTAGGCCTCAATGCACTCCAAGATATCACTTCGAAGATTCTACAAAAACAGTGTTTCCAAACTGCTGAATGAAAAGAAAGGTTTATCTCTGAGAGGTGAATGCACACATCACAAAGCAGTGTCTCAGATAGCTTCCAGCTAGTTTTTTTCCTGGGATATTTGCTTTTTTGCCATTGACCTCATTAAGTTCCAATATATCCCTTCACAGATTCTTCAACAAAAGTATTTCCAAATTGCTGAATCCATAGAAAGGTTTAACTCTGTGAGATGAATGCACACATCACAAAGCAGTTTTTCTGAAAGCTTCTTTCTAGTTTTTATCTGAAGGCATTTCCTTTTTCACCATAGTCTTCTATGCGTTCCCAGATATCACTTACTATATTTTACGAAAACAGTTTTTCCAAACTATTGAATGAAAACAAAGTTTTAACTCTGTGACCTGAATGCACACATCACAAAGCAGTTTCTCAGGTAGCTTCCTTCTAGTTTTTATTCTGGGATATTTGTTTTTCGCCATTGGCCTCTATGAACTCCCAAATGTCCTTTCACAGAATGCAGAAAAACAGTTTTAACAAATGGCCGAATCCATAGAAAAGCTTAACTCTGTGAGATGAATGCACATATGACAAATCAACTTCTCAGAAAGCTTATTTATTGATTTATTTTATGATATTTCATTTTTCACCATGGACCTCAATGCGCTCCCAGGTATACCTTTACAGATTCTACAAAAACATTGTTTCCAAACTGCTAAATAAAGGCAAGGTCTAACTCTGAGATATGAATGCACACATCACAAAGCAGTTTCTAGTTTTTTTTTTCCTGGGATATTCACTTTTTCACCATTGTCATCATTAAGATCCAAGATATTGCTATGCAGATCCTACAACAACAGTGTTTCCAAAATGCCAAATCCAAAGAAAGGCTTAACTCTGTGAGATGAATGCACACATCACAAAGCAGTTTCTCAGAAAGCTAGTTTCCAGCTTTTATCTGATGATATTTACTTTTTCACCTTAGGCCTCAATGTGCTCCCACATATCACTTTGTGGATTCTTCCAAAGCAGTGTTTCCAGACTGCTGTATGAAAAGAAAGTTTTAACTCTGTGAGGTGAATGCTCCATTCATAAAGCAGTGTCTCAGGTAGTTTTTATTAGTTTTTATCCTGGGATATTCGGTTTTTTGCCATTGGCCTCAATGAGCTCCCAAATGTCTATTCACAGAATGGGCCAAAACAATGTTGGCAAACTGCTGAATCCAAAGAAATATTTAACTCTGTGTGATGAATGCACACATCACAAAGCAGTTTCTCAGAAAGCTTCTTTATAGTTTTTATGTGAAGTTATTCCCTTTTTCACAATTGACCTCTTTGCACTCCCAAATATCCCTTAGCTGATTCTGCCAAAACAGCGTTTCCATACTGCTGAATGAAAGGAAAAATTTATCTCTGCCAGGTGAATTCCCACATCACAAAGCGATTTCTCATATAGCTTCCTTCTAGTTTTCATCCTGGGATATTTGCTTTTTTTCCATTGGCCACAAAGGGCTCCCAAATGTCCATGGGCAGAATGGACAAAAACAGTGTTTGCAAATTGCTGAATCCACAGAAGCTATCAATCTGTGAGATGAATGCACACATCACAAAGCATTCTTTCAGAAAACTTCTTTCTAGTTTTTACCTGAAGGTATTTTTTTCACCATAGACCACAATGTGCTCCCAGATATCCGTTCACAGATTATACGTAAACAGTGATTCCAAACTGCTGAATGAAAAGAAAGGTTTAACTCTGTGAGATGAATGCACACACCACAAAGCGGTTTCTCAGATAGCTTCTTTCTAGTTATTATCTTGGGATATTCACTTTTTCTCCTTTGGCTCCAACTAGCAGCCAAATGTGCATTCATGGAATAGACAAAAGCAGTGTTTATGACTGCTGAATCCACAGAAAGGTTTAACTCTGTGAGATGAATGCTCAAAACACCGAGTAGTTTCTCATAGAACTTCTTTCTAATTTTAAACTGAATATGTTTCCTTTTTCACCACAGATCTCAAAGTAAGTGCTCCAAGATATCACTTTGCAGATACTATGAAAACAGTGTTTCCAAATTGCTGAATGGAAAGAAAGGTTTAAATCTGCAAGAGTAATGCACACAACAGAAAGAGTTTTCTCAAAGGGCTTCCTTCTAGTTTTTATCCTGGGATATCCGTTTTTTGCATTTGCCTCATTAAGCTCCCAAATATCCCTACCCAGCTTCTAAAAAAACAGTGTTTCTAAACTGCTGAATCCACAGAAAGTTTTAACTCTGTGAGAGAAATGCACACATCACAAAGCATTTTCTAAGAAAGCTTCTTTCTAGTTTTTATCTGAACATGTTTTCTTTTTCACCATGGGCCTCTAGGTGCTCCCAAATATCCCTTCTCGGATTCTGCCAAAACAGTGTTTCCAGACTGCTGAATGAGAAGAAAAGTTTAAATCTGTGAAGTGAATGTACACATCAAAAAGCAGTTTCTCAGATAGCTTCATTTTATTTTTTATCCTGGGATTTTCCATTTTTGGACATTGTCCCCAGTGAGCTCCCAAATGTCCAATCGCAGTATGGACAAAAATAGTATATGTGAACTGATGAATCTACAGAAAGTTTTAACTCTTTGAGATGAATGCACACATCACAAAGCATTTTCTCAGATAGCTTCTTTCTAGTTTTTATCTGAAGATAATTCCTTTTTTCACCATAGGCCTCTATACACTCCCAAATTTCCCTTCATGGATTCCGCCAAAAGAGTATTTCCAGGTTGCTGAATGAAAAGAAAGGCTTTTCTCTGCGAGGTGATGTACACATCACAAAACAGTTCCTCAGATAGATAGCATGTTTCTTGTTTTTATCCTGGGATATTCGCTTTTTGGCCATAGGCTGCATTGGGCTAGCTAACGTCCAATCACAGAGTGGACAAAAACAGAGTTTGCAAACTGCTGAATCCACAGAAAGGTTTAACTCTGTGAGGTGAATGCACACATCACAAGGCAGTTTTTCAGAATGCTTCTGGTTTTATCTGAAGATATCTCCTTTTTCACCATAGGACTAAATGTGCTCCCAGATATCCTTTCACAGATTCTATGAAAACCGTGTTTCCAAACTGCTGAATGAAAAGAAACGTTTTAACTGTGTCAGATTAATGCACACATCATGAGGCAGTTTCTCAGATAGCTTCCTTCTAGTTTTTCTCTTGGGCTATTCGCTTTTCCACCTTTGGCCTCAGTGAGCTTCAAAATAACCCTTTGAAGATTCTAGAACAGTGTTTCCAAACTTCTGAATCCAAAGAAATGTTTAACTTTGTGAGATGAATGCACACATCTCAAATCAGTTTCTTAGAAAGCTTCTTTCTGGTTTTTATGTGAAGATATTATTTCTTTTTTCACCATAGGCTTCAATGTGCTCCCAAATATCCCTTTGCAGATTCTGTCAAAACAGTGTTTCCAGACTGCTCTATGAAAAGAAAGTTTTAACTCTGCGAGGTAAATGCACACATCACAAATCAGTTTCTCAGATATCTTCCTTCTAGTTTTCTTCCTGAGATATTTGCTTTCTCGCCTTTGGCATCATTAAGCTCACAAATATCCCTTCACAGGGTCTGCAACAACAATGTTTCCAAACTGCTGAATCCACAGAAAGGTTTAACTCTTTGAGACAAATGCACACACCACAAAGCAGTTTCTCAGAAAACTTCTTTCTAGTTTTTATCTGAATATATTTGCTTTTTCACCACAGGCCTGAATGCAGTCTCAAATAACCCTTCACAGATTCTGCCAAAACGGTGTATCCAGACTGCTGAATGAAAATAAAAGTTTACCTAGGGAAGATGAATGCAAAAATCACAAAGCGGTTTCTCAGGTAGCTGCCTTCCACATTTTATACTGGGATATTCACTTTTTCACCATTGGCCTCAATAAGTTCCCATATGCCCATTCACAGAATGGACACAAAGAGTCTTTGCAATTTGCTGAATCCATAGAAAGGTTTAACTCTGTGAGATAAATGTACACATAGAAAAGCATTTTATCAGAAATCTTATTTTTAATCTGAAGATATTTCCTTTTTCACCATAGGCCTCTATGCATTCCCAAATATAACTTCGCAGATTCTACGAAAACAGTGCTTCCAAAGTGCTGAATGAAAAGAATGTTTTACATCTGAGAGATGAATACGCAAATCAAAAAGCGGTTTCTCAGATAACTTCCGTCTTGTTTTTTTCCTGGGATATTCTGTTTTTCCACTTTGGCCTCAATAAGCTCCCAAATATCCCTTCACAGACTCTACAACAACAGTGTTTCCAAACTGCTGAATGCAAAGAAAGGTTTAACTCTGTGAGATGAATGCATGCATCACAGAGCAGTTTCTCAGAAAGCTTCTTTCTGGTTTTTATCTGAAGACATTTCCTTTTTCACTCTTGGCCTCAATGTGCTCCCAAATATCCCTTTGCAGATTCTGTCAAAACAGTGTTCCCAGACTACTGCATGAAAAGAAAAGTTTATCTCTGTGAGTTGAATGCACACATCCCAAAGCGGTTTCTCAGATTGATTCCTTCTAGTTGTTATAATGGGATATTGTCTTTTTCACCACTGGCATCAATGATCTCCCACACATCCCTTTGCAGATTCTACAATAACAGTGTTTACAAACTGCTGAATCTAATGAAAGGTTTATCTCTGTGAGATGAATGCACACATCACAAAGCAGTTTCTCAGAAAGATTCTTTCTAGATTTTATCACAAGATGTTTCCATTTTCACCACAGGCCTCGATGTGCTCCCAAATGTCCATTCATAGAAGGGACAAAAACAGTGTGTGCAAATGGCTGTTTCCACAGAAAGGTTTAACTCTGTGAGATGAATGCACACATCACAAAGCAGTTTTTCAGAAAGCTTCTTTCTAGTTTTTACCTGAAGATATTTCCTTTTACCCTATAGGCCTAAATGTGTTCCAAAATATCCCTTCATGTATTCTGCCAAAATATTGTTTCCAGACTGCTGAGTAAAGAAAAGTTTATCTCTTAGAGGTGAATGCACACATCACAAAGCAGTTGCTCAGATAGCTTCCTTCTAGTTTCTATCTATCCTGTGATGCTCGTTTTTTCTCGATTGGCCTCAATTTGCTCACAAATGTCCATTCCCAGAATGGACAAAAATAGTGTTTGCAAATCCACAGAAACGTTTAACACTATAAGGTGAAAGTAAACAACAAAAAACAGTTTCTCAGAAAGCTTCTTTCTAGTTTTTATCCGAAGAGATTTCCTCTTTCGCCATAGGCCTCAGTGGGCTCCCAGATATCTCTTCACAGATTCTATGAAAAAAGTGTTTCCATACTGCTAAATGAAAAGAGAAGTTTAATTCTGTAGGATGAATGCACACATAACCAAGTAGTTTCTCAAATAGTTTCCTTCTGGTTTTTATCTTGGTATATTCGTGTTTTCATCATTTGCCTCAATGAGCTCCCAAATATCCCTTCGCAGATTCTGCAACAGTGTTTCCAAACTCCTGAATCCAAAGAAAATTTTAACCCTGTGAGATGAATGTACACACCACAAAGAAGTTTCTCAGAAACAATCCTTCTAGTTTTTGTCAGAAGATATTACCTTTTTCACCATAGGAATCAATGCGCTCCAAAACATCGACACACGGATTCTGCCAAAACAATATTTACAGACAGCTGAATGAAAAGAAAGCTTTAACTCTATGAGATGAATGCATACATCACAAAGCACTTTTCAGATAGCTTATTTTAGTTTTTCTTTTTATTATTATTATACTTTAAGTTTTAGGGTACATGTGCACAACGTGCAGGTTTGAAACATATGTATACATGTGCCGTGTTGATGTGCTGCACCCATTAATTCGTCATTTACCTTAGGTATATCTCGTAATGCTATCCCTCCCCCATTTCCCCTACCCTATGAGAGACCCCAGTATGTGATGTTCCCCTTCCTTTCTCCAAGTGTTCTCACTGTCCACTTCCCACCAATGAGTGAGAACATGTGGTGTTTTGTTTTTTCTCCTTGCAAAAGTTTGCTGAGAATGATGGTTTCCAGCTTCATCCATGTCCCTACAAAGGACATGAACTCAACACTTTTTATGGCTACGTAGTATTCCATTGTGTATACGTGCCACATTTTGCTCATCCAATGTATCATTGTTGGACATTTGGGTTGGTTCCAAGTCTCTGCTATTGTGAATAGTGCCACAATAAACATGCGTGTGCATGTGTCTTTATAGCAGCATGATTTATAATACTTTGGGTATATACCCAGTAATGGGATGGCTGGGTCAAATGGTATTTCTAGTCCTAGGTTCCCGAGGAACTGCCACACTGACTTCCACAACGGTTGAAATAGTTTACAGTCTCACCAACAGTGTAAAAGTGTTCCTATTTCTCCACATCCTCTCCAGCACCTATTGTTTCCTGACTTTTTAATGATCTCCGTTCCATCTGGTATGAGAAGTTATCTCCTTGTGGCTTTGATTTGCATTTCTCTGATGGCCAGTGATGATGAGCATTTTTTCATGTGTCTTTTGGCTGCATAAATGTCTTCTCTTGAGAACTGTCTGTTCATAACCTTTGCCCACTTGTTGATGGGGTTACCTGTCTTTTTTCTTGTAAATTTGCTTGAGTACATTGTAGATTATGGATATTAGTCCTTTGTCACATGAGTAGACTGCAAAAATTGTCTCCCATTCTGTAGGTTGCCTGTTCACTCTGATGGTAGTTTATTTTGCTGTGCAGAAGCTCTTTAGTTTAATTAGATCCCATTTGTCAATTTTGGTTTCTGTTGCCATTGCTTTCGGTGTTTTAGACATGAAGTCCTTCCCCATGCCATGTCCTGAACGGTATTGCCTAGGTTTTCTTCTAGGGTTTTGATGGTTTTAGGTCTAACATGTAAGTCTTTAATCCATCTTGAATTAATTACTGTATAAGGTGTAAAGAAGGCATCCAGTTTCAGCTTTCTACATATTTCTAGCCAGTTTTACCAGCACCATTTATTAAATAGGGAAACCTTTCCTCATTGCTTGATTTTGTCTGGTT
Organism: Homo sapiens; assembly: GCF_000001405.40. Taxonomy (NCBI): domain Eukaryota; kingdom Metazoa; phylum Chordata; class Mammalia; order Primates; family Hominidae; genus Homo; species Homo sapiens. The sequence continues at coordinate 54,989,867 of NC_000011.10, read as the reverse complement.
TGTCAAAGATCAGATAGTTGTAGATATGAGACATTATTTCGGAGGGTTCTGTTCTGCTCCATTGGTCTACATCTCTGTTTTGGTATTAGTACCATGCTGTTTTGGTTACTGTAGCCCTGTAGTATAGTTTGAAGTCAGGTAGAGTAATGTCTCCAGCTTTGTTCTTTTGGCTTAGGATTGACTTGGCAATGCAGGCTCTTTTTTGATTCTTATGAAGGAAATAGAGACACAAAAAGCCCTTCAAAAAATGAATGAATCCAGCAGCTGTTTTTTTAAAAAGATCAACAAAATTGATAGACCGCTAGCAAGACTAATAAAGAAGAAAAGAGAGAAGAATAAAATAGATGCAATAAAAAATGATAAAGGGGATATCACCACCAATCCCACAGAAATGCAAACTACCATCAGAGAATACTATAAACCCCCTTATGAAAATAAACTAGAAAATCTAGAAGAAATGGATAAATTCCTCAACACATACACCCTCCCAAGACTAAACCAGGAAGAAGTTGAATTCTGCATAGACCAATAACAGGCTCTGAAATGGAGGCAATAATTAGTAGCTTACCAACCAAAAACAGTCCAGGATCAGATGGACTCACAGCCAAATTCTACCAGAGGTACAAGGAGGAGCTGGTACCATTCCTTCTGAAATTACTCCAAACAATGGAAAAAGAGGGAATCCTGACTAACTCATTTTATGAGGCCAGCATCATCCTGATACGAAAGCCTGACAGAGACACAACAAAAAAAAAGAGAATTTTAGATCAATATCCTTGATGAACATTGATGTAAAAATCCTCAATAAAATACTGGCAAACCGAATCCAGCAGCACTTCTAAAAGCTTATCCACCATGATCAAGTGAGCTTCATCCCTGGGATGCAAGGCTGGTACAACATATGAAAATCAGTAAATGTAACCCAGCATATAAACAGAAACAAAGACAAAATCTACATGACTATGTCAATAGTTGGAGAAAAGGCCTTTGACAAAAATTCAACAACCTTTCATGGTAAAAACTCTCAATAAATTAGGTATTGATAGGACGTATCTCAAAATAATAAGAGTTGTCTATGACAAACACACAGCCAATGTCATAATGAATGGACAAAAACTGGAAGCATTCCCTTGGAAAACTGGCACAAGACAGGGATGCCCTCTCTCACCACTCCTATTCAACATAGTGTTTGAAGTTCTGGCCAGGGCAATCAGGCAGGAGAAGGAAATAAAGGGTATTCAATTAGGAAAAGAGGAAGTCAAATTGTCCCTGTTTGCAGGTGACGTGATTGTATATCTAGAAAACCCCATCGTCTCAGCCCAAAATCTCCTTAAGCTGATTAGCAACTTCAGCAAAGTCTCAGGATATAAAATCAATGTACAAAAATCACAAGCATTCTTATACACCAATAACTGACAAACCGAGAGCCAAATCATGAGTGAACCCCCATTCACAATTGCTTCAAAAAGAATAAAATACCTAGGAATCCAACTTATAAGGGACTTGAAGGACCTCTTCAAGGAGAACTACAAACCACTGCTCAATGACATAAAAGAGGATACAAACAAATGGAAGAACATTCCATGCTCATGGGTAGGAAGAATCAATATCCTGAAAATGGCCATACTGCCCAAGGTAACTTATAGATTCAATGCCATCCCCTTCAAGCTACCAATGACTTTCTTCACAGAATTGGAAAAAACTACTTTAAAGTTCATATCGAACCACAAAAGAGCTTGCATCGCCAAGTCAATCTTAAGCCAAAAGAACAAAGCTGGAGGCATCACACTACCTGACTTCAAACTATACTACAAGGCTTCAGTAACCAAAACAGCATGGTACTGGTACCAAAACAGAGATATAGATCAATGGAACAGAACAGAGCCCTCAGAAATAATGCCACATACCTACAACTATCTGGTCTTTGACAAACCTGAGAAAAACAAGCAATGGGGAAAGGATTCATTATTTAATCAATGGTGCTGGGAAAACTGGCTAGACATATGTAGAAAGCTGAAACTGGATCCCTTCCTTGCAGCTTGTACAAAAATCAATTCAAGATGGATTAAAGACTTAAACGTTAGACCTAAAACCAGAAAAGCCCTAGAAGAAAACCTCGGCATCACCATTCAGGACATAGGCATTGGCAAGGACTTCATGTCTAAAACACCAAAAGCAATGGCAACAAAAGCCAGAATTGACAAATGGGATCTAATTAAACTAAATTGCTTCTGCATAGCAAAAGAAACTACCATCAGAGTGAACAGGCAACCTACAAAATAGTTTTTATCTGAATATATTTTCTTTTTCACCATAGACCTCAATGCACTTCCAAATATCTCCTCGTGGATTCTGCCAGAACAGTTTTTCCAAACTGCTGTATGGGATTTTCACTTTTTGGCCATTGGCCTCAATGAGCTCCCACATGTCCATTCACACAATTGAAATAAACAGTGTTTTCAAACTGCTCAATGAAATGAAAAGTGTAACTCTGTGAGATGAATACAGACATCACAAAGCAATTTCCCATAAAGCTTCTTTCTAGTTTTTGTCTGAAGATATTTCCTTTTTCAGTGCAGGCCTCAATGCGCTTCCAGAAATCCCTTCACCGATTCTACGAAAACAGTGTTTCCAAGGTGCAGAATGAAAAGAAAGGTTTAAATCTGCGTAATGAATGCACACATCACAACACGGTTTCTCAAGTAGCTTTCGTCTAGTTTTTATCCTGGGATATTCACTTTTTCCATTTTGGCCTCAAGGATCTCCCCAATAGCCCATTGCAGATTCCACAACAAGAGGGTTTGCAAAATGATGAATCCACAGAAGTGTTTAACTCTGTGAGATGAATGCCCACATTGCAAAATCGTTTCTTGGAAAGCTTCCTTTTAGTTTTTATGTGAAGATATTTCCTTTTCCAGCAGAGGCCTCCATGCAATCCCAAAGATAACTTTGCAGATTCTACAAAAACCCTTTTTCTATACTGCTGAATGAAAAGCATATTTTAACTCTGAGAGGTGAATGCACACACAACAAAGCAGTTTTTCAGACAACTTCCTTTTAGTTTTTATCCTGGGATATTCTCTTTTTTGCCATTGGCCTCAATGAGCTCCAAAAATAACCCATCACAAATTCTAAAACAACAGCGTTTCCAAACTGCTGAATCCAAAGAAAGGTTTTATTTTGTGTTATGAATGCACACATCACAAAGCAGTTTCTCAGAAGTTTCTTTCAAGTTTTTATCTGAAGATATTTCCTTTTTCACCACAGGCCTCGATGCGCTCCCAGATAACCCTTCACAGATATTATGAAAACAGTGTTTCCAAACTGCTGAATGAAAAGAAAAGTTTAACTCTGTGAGTTGAATGCACACATCACAAAGCAGTTTCTCAAATAGCTTACTTCTATTTTTTATCCTGGGGTATTCACATTTTCACCATTGGCCTCAATGAGCTCCCAGATATCCCTTCACAGATTCTTCGAAAACAGTGTTTCCAAACTGCTGAAAGTTTAACATTTTTGCCATTGGCCTCGATGAGCTCCCAGATGTCCATTTGCAGAATGGACAAAAACAGTGTTTCCAAACTGCTTAATCCAAAGAAATGTTGAATTATGTGAGATGATTTCTCACAGCACAAAGATGTTTCTCTGAAAGCCTCTTTCTACTTTTTATCTGAAGATATTTCCTTTGCCTGCAGAGACTTCTATGAACTCCGAAATATTATTTTGCATATTCTACAAAAACAGTGCTTCCAGACTGCTGTATGAAAAGAAAGTTTTTACTCTGGGTGGTGAATGTGCATATCAAAAAGTTGTTTCTCAGGTAGCTTCTTTCTAGTTTTTATCCTGGCATATTTGCTTTTTCACCATTTGCCTCAATGCACTCCCAAATGTCCATTCACAGAATAGACAAAGACAGTTTTTCCAAACTGCTGATTCAACAGATATTTACTTTTTCACCACAGTCCTCAATGCGCTCCCAAATATCCCATCAAGCATTCTGCCAAAACAGTGTTTCTGGACTGCTGAATGAAATAAATGGTTTAACTCTGTGAGGTGAATGCCCACATAACAAAAAGTGGCTTCTCAGATGGCTTCCTTATACTTTTTATCCTGGGATATTGGCTTTTTCACCATGGGCCTTAATGAGGTCCCAAATATACCTTTGCAGATTCTACAACAACAATGTTTCCAAACTGTTGAATGCAAGAAATGTTTAACTCTGTGAGATGAATACACATATCACAAAGCAGTTTCTTAGAAAGCTTCTTTCCAGTTTTATTCTGCAGATATTTACTTTTTCTCCATAGGCCTCAATGCACTCCCTAATATCCCTTAATGGATTCTGCAAAAACAGTGTTTCCGCACTACTGTATGAAAAGGAAGGCTTATCTCTGTGAGGTTCATGTAGCTTCCTTCTAGTTTATATCCTTGGATATTCGCTTTTTTGCCATTGCCCTCAATGAGTTCCCAAATGCCCATTTGCAGAATGGGCAAAAACCATGTTTGCAAACTGCAGAATCCATAGAATGGTTTAACTCTGTGAGAAGAATGCACACATCACAAAGCAGATTCTCAAAAAGCTTCTTTCTAGTTTTTATCTGAAGTTATTTCCTTTTTCATCATAGGCCTCCATGTGGTGATAAATATCACTTTGTGGATCATGCCAAAATAGTGTTTCCAGACTGCTGAATGAAAAAGAAAGATTTATCTCTGTGAGATGAATGTACACATCACAAAATGGTTTCTCAGATAGCTTCCTTCCAGTTTTTGTAATGGGATATTTGCTTTTTCACATTTGTCCTCAATGAGCTCCCAAGTATCCCTTCACAGATTGTAAAACAACAGTGTTTCCTAATAGGTGAATCCAAAGAATGGTTTAACTCTGGGAGATGAATGCACACATCACAAAGCAGTTTATCAGGATGCTTATTTCTAGTTTTTATCTGAAGATATTTTCTTTTTCACGGTAGGCCTTAAAGCACTCCCAGATAGCACTTCGCAGATTCAATGAAAACAGTGTTTCCAAACTGCTGAATGAAAAGAAAGCTTTAACTCTGTGTGATGAATGTACTCATCACAAAGCAGTTTCTCGGATTGCTTCCTTCTAGTGTTTTTCCTCTGAGATTTGCTTGTTCACCATTCCTCTTAATGAGTTCCCAGATATGCCTTCTCAGATTCTATAAATACAGTGTTTCCAAACTGCTGAGTCCAAAAATTGTTTAACTGTGTGGGATGAATGCACACATCACAAAGCAGTTTCTGAGAAACATTTTTTGTAATTTTTATGTGAAGGTATTTTCTTTTTCACCATAGGTCATAATGCGCTCACAAATATCCCTTTGCGGAATGGACAAAAAAGTATTTGCAAATGGCCGAATCCACAGAAAGGTTTAACTCTGTGAGGTGAATGCTCACATCACAAAGTAGTTTCTCAGAAAGCTTACTTCTAGTTTTTATCTGAAGGTATTTTCTTTTTTCACAATAGGCCTCAATGCACTCCCAAATATCCCTTCATGGATTCTGCTAAAACAGTGTTTACAGACTGTGGAAAGAAAAGAAGGTTTTAACTCTGTGAGGTGAATGCACACATGACAAAGAGGTTTCTCAGATAGCTTCCTTCTGTTTTTTCTCCTTGGATATTCCCTTTTTCATTACTGGCCTCAATAAGCTCTCAAGTGTTCATTTACAGTATGGAAAAACAAAAACAGTGTTTGCAAACTGCTGAATCTACAGAAAGGTTTAACTGTGTGAGATGAATGCACACATCACAAAGCAGTTTCTCAGAAAACTTCTTTCTAGTTTTTATCTGAAGGTATTTCCTTTTTCACCATAGGCCTTAATGCAATCCCAGATATCACTGTGCAGATTCTACAAAAACAGTATTTCTAAACTGCTGAATCCAAAGAAAGGTTTCACTCTGCAAGATGAACGCACACATAGCAAAGCAGCTTCTAAAAAAGCATCTTTCTAGGTTTTATCCGAATATATTTTCTTTTTCACCACAGACATCAATGCTCTACAAAATATCCCTTTGTAGATTCTACCAAAACAGTATTTCCAAACTGCTGAATGAAAAGAAAGGTTTATCTCTGTGAGATGAATGCACACAACACAAAGCCATTTCTCAGATAACTGCCTTCTAGTTTTTATCCTGGGATTTTGGCTTTTATGGCGTTGGCCTCAATGAGCTCCCAAATATCACTTTGCAGGTTCTACAAAAACAGTGTCTCTAAATTGCTAAATCCAAAGAAAGGTTTACCTCTCAGAGATGAATGCAGACATCACGAAGCAGTTTCTCCAAGAACACCTTTCTAGTTTTTATCTGAAGATATTTCCTTTTTCACCATAGGCCTCTAGGTGCTCCCAGATATCACTTCACAGTTTCTATGAAAAGAGTGTTTCCAAACTGCTGAATGAGAAGAAAGGTTTAACTCTGAAAGCTGAATGCACACATCACAAAGCAGTTTCTGAGATAACTTCCTTCACGTTTTTTTGCTGGTTATTCCGTTTTTCCCCATTAGCCCCATTAAGCTCTCAAATATCCCTTCACAGATTCTACAACAACATTGTTTCCAAAACGCTGAATCCAAAGAAAGGCTTAATTCTGGGAGACGAATGCAAACATCAAAAAGCAATTTCTCAGAAGGTTTCTTTCTAGTTTTTATCTTAAGATATTTCCTTTTTCATGTTAGGCCTCAATACACTCCCACATATCCCTTCTCGGATATTGCCAAAGCAATGTTTCCAGACTGCTGAATGAAAAGAAAGGTTTAACCCTGTGAGATGAATGCACAAGTCAGAAAGCAGTTTCTCAAAGAGCTTCCTTCTAGTTCTTATCCTAAGAAATTTCCTTTTCCCCCATTGGCCTTATTGAACTCCAAAATGTCTATTTGCAAAATGGAAAATAACATGGGTTTCATACCACTGAATCCACAGTCATGTATAATTTTGTGAGATGAATGCGCACATCACTAAGCACTTTCTCAGAAAGCTACTTTCATTTTTTCTCTGAAGAGATTTCCTTTTAAACAGAGTCCCTAATGCACTCTAAAATATAACTACGCTGATTCTACAAAACAGTGTTTCCAAACTGCTAAATGGAAAGAAAGGTTTATCTCTGCATGGTGAATGCACACATCACAAAGCGGTTTCTCAGATAGCTTCCTTCTAGCTTTTTTTTCCCCAGGATATTCACTTTTTTGGCCTTTGGCCTCAATGAGCTCCCAAATGTGCATTTGCAGATCGGGCAAAACTACTGAATCCACACAAATATTTAATTCTGTGAGATGAATGCACAGATGAATAAGCACTTTCTCAGAAAGCTTCTTTCTAGTTTTTATCTGTGGATATTTCCTGTTTAACCATAGTGCTCAATGCACTCCCAAATATCTCTTCACAGATCCTTCCAGAACAGGGTTTCTTGACTGCTAAATGAAAAGAAAAGTTTATCTCTGTGAGGTGAATGCACACATCGCAAAGAAGTTGCTCAGATTGCTTCTTTCTAGTTTTTATCCTGGTATATTTGCTTTTTCATATTTGCCTCATTGAGTTCCCAAATGTCCACTCACAGAATGTACAAAACTGTATTTGCAGACTACTGAATCCACAGAAATATTTAACTCTGTGAGGTGAATGCACACATCAAAAAGCAGTTTCCCAGAAAGCTTCTTTCTAGTTTTTATCTGAAAATATTTCCTTTTTCACCATAGGCCTCCATGCGGTCCCAGATATCACTTCGCAGATTCTACAAAAAGAGTGTATCCAAACTGCTGAATCAAAAGTAAGATTTATCTCAGAGAGATGAATGCACTCATCACAAAGCAGTTTCTCAGATGGTGTCCGTCCAGTTTGCATCATGGGATATTCACTTTTTCGCCTTTGGCCTCAATGAGCTCCCAAATATCACTTTGCAGATTCCACAACATTTTCCAAACTGCTGAATAAAAAGAAAAATTTAACTCTGGGTGATGAATGCACATATCACAAAATAGTTTCTCAGAAAGCTACTTTCTTGTTTTTATCTGAAGATATTTCCCCTTTAGCATAGGCCTCAATGGGCTCCCAAATATCCCTTCATGGATCCTGCCAAAACAGTGTTTCTGGATGGATGAATGAAAATAAAGTTTTACCTCTGTGAGTTGAATGCACACATCACAAAGTGGTTTCTCAGAGAGCTTCTTTCTTGTTTTTTTTCCTTGGATATTCACTTTCTCACCTGGGCCTCATTAAGCTCCCAAATATCTCTTCACGATTCTACAAAAACAGTGCTTCCAAACTGCTGAATGAAAAGAAAGGTTTATCTCTGCAAGATGAATGCACACATCACAAAGCAGTTTTTCAGATAACTTCCTTCTAGTTTTTATCCTGGGATATTCACTCTTTTGCCTTTGGCCTCAATAGCTCCAAAACGTCCATTCACAGAATGGGCAAAAACAGTGTTTTCCAACTGCTGAATCCACAGAAAATTTTAACTCTTTAAGATGAATGCACACATCAGAAAGCATTTCCTCAGAATGCTTCTTTCTATTGTTTATCTGAAGTTATTTTCTTTCTCACCATAGGCCTCAATGCGCTTCAAATATCCCCTCACAGATTCTGCCAAAACAGTGTTTCCAGACTGCTATATACAAAGAAATTGTTAACTCTGTGAGGTGAACGCACACATCACAAAGTGGTTTCTCAGATAGACTCTTTCTAGTTGCTATCCTGGGATTTTTACTTTTTCACCATTGGCCTCAATGAACTCCAAAATGTCCATTCGTAGAATGGAAAAAAAAACAGTGTTTCCAAACTGCTGAGTGGAAAGAAAATTTTAACTCTGAGAGATGAATGCACCCATCAGAAATTAGTTTCTCAGAAATCTTCTTTCTAGTTTTTATCAGAAGGTATTTCCTTTTTCACCATAGGCCTCTAAGTATTCCCAAATATCCCTTTGCTGATTGTGCCAAAACAGTGTTTCCAGACTGCTGAATGAAAGAAAGGCTTATCTCTGTGAGGTGAATGCATACATCACATAGCGTTTTGTCAGATAACTTCCTTCTAGTTTTTATCCTGTGATATTCGCTTTTGTGCCATTGGCCTCAAAGGAATCCCAAATGTCCATTTACAGAATGGACAAAACAGTTTTGCAAACGGCTGAATCCACAGAAAGTTTTGATCCTGTGAGGTGAATGCACACATCACAAAGCAGTTTGTCAGAAAGCTTCTTTCTACTTTTTATCTAAAGATATTTTCTTTTCCAACATAAGCCTCAATGTGCTCCCAGATATCCCATTGCAGAATCTATGAAAACAGTGTTTTTAAACTCCTGAAAGAAAAGAAATGTTTAACTCTGTGAGATGAATGCACACATCACAAAGCGGTTTATCAAGTAGCTTCCTTCTACTTTTTATTCTGGGATATTCTCTTTTTACCCATTGACCTCAAAGAGCTCCCAAATGTCCATTCACAGAAAGGACAAAAACAGTGTTTTCAAACTACTGAATGCACAGAAAGGTTGAACTCTCTGAGATGAATGCACACATCACAAAGCAGTTTCTCAGATACCTTCCTTCTAGTTTTTCCCTTGGATATATGCTTTTTCACCATTGGCCACAATGAGCTCCCAAATGTCCATTCGCACAATGGACAAAAACAGTGTTTCCAAACTGCTAAATCCACAGAAAGTTTTATGTCTGTGAGATGTATGCATACATCACAAAGCAGTTTCTCAGAAAATGCACTCCCAAATATAACCTCGCAGATTCTATGAAAACAGTTTTTCCAAACTGCAGAATGAAAATAAAGGTTTCAGTCTTAGGGATGAATGCATACATCACAAAGCGGTTTCTCAGATAGCTTTCTTCTAGTTTTTTTCCTGGGATATTCACTTTTTTGCCATTGGCCTCAATGAGCTCCCAAATGTCCATTTGCAGAATGGGCAAAAACAGTGTTTTCAAGCTTCTGAATCCACAGAAAGGTTTAACTCTGTGAGATGAATGCCCAGGTCACTAAGCACTTACTCAGAAAGCTTCTTTCTTGTTTTTATCCGAAGATATTTCCTTTTTAACCATAGACTTCCATGTGCTCACAAATATCCCTTCATGAATTCTTTCAAAACAGTGTTTCCAGACTGCAGAATGAAAAGAAAAGTTTATCTCTGTGAGGTGAATGCACACATCACAAAGCGGTTTCTCAGATAGCATCCTTCCAGTTTTTATCTTGGGATATTTTCTCTTACAACATTGGCTTTAATGAGCTCCCAAATGTCCATTTGCAGAATGGACAAAAACAGTGTTTGCAAACTGCTGAATCTGCAGAAATGTTTAATTCTGGGAGGTAAATTCACACATCACAAAGCACTTTCTCAGAAAGCTTCTTTCTAGTTTTTTTCTGAAGATATTTGTTTTTAACCATAGTCCTCAATGTGCTTCCAAATATAAGTTCACAGATTCTACAATAACAGTGTTTCTAAAATGCTGAATAAGGGGAAAGCTTTATCTCTGCGAGGTGAATGCACACATCACAAAGCAATTTCTCAGATAGTTTCATTCTAGTTTTTATCCTGGGATATTCCCTATTTTGCCGTTTTCCTCAATGAGCTCCCAAGTGACCATTCACACAATGGACAAAAACTGCATTTGCAAACTGCTGAATCCGGAGAAAGGTTGAAATCTGTGAGATGAATACACAGATCACAAAGCAGTTTTTCAGAAAGCTTCCTTCTAGTTTTTATCCGAAGATATTTCCTTTTTCACCGTAGGCCTGAATGCGCTCCCAGATATCCCTTCGCACATTCTATGAAAAGAGTGTTTCCAAACAGCTGAATGAAAAGAAAGGTTTAACTCTCTGAGGTGAATGCACACATCACAAACCAGTTTCTCTGATAGCTTTATTCTAGTTTTTGTCCTACAATATTCATTTTTTCACCATTGGCTTCAAAGAATTCCTAAATATCCCTTTGTGGATTCTACAACAGCAGTGTTTCCAAAATGCTGAATCCAAAGAAAGGTTTAACTCTGGCAGATGAATGCACACATCACAAAGCTGTTTCTAAGAACGTCTTTTCTAGTTTTTATCTGAAGATGTTTACTTTTTCGCCATAGTCTGTGATGTACTCCCAAATATCCTTTCCCGGATTCTGCCAAAATAGTTTTTCCAGACTGCTGTATGAAAAGAAAATTTTAACACTGTGAGGTGAATCCACACATCACAAAGCAGTTTCTTAGATAGCTTTTTTCTACTTTTTATCCTGGGATATTCACTTTTTCACCATTGGCCTCGAGTAGCTACCAAATCTCCATTTGCAGAATGGACAAAAACAGTGTTTGCAAGTTGCTGAATCCACATAAAGTTTTAGCTCTGTGAGATGAATGAACACTTCACAAAGCAGATTCTCAGAAAGCTTCCTTCTAGTTTGTATCTGAAGATATTTCCTTTTTCACAATAGGCCTCAATGTGCTTCCAGATATCACTTTGCAGATTCTTCGACAACAGTGTTTTCAAACTGCTGAATGAAAAGAAACATTTAACTTGCAAGATGAATGCTTACATCACAAAGCGGTTTCTCATACAGCTTCATTCCAGTTTTTATCCTGGGATATTCATTTTTTTTCCATTGGCCTCAAAGAGCTCCAAAATGTATACTTGCAGAGTGGACAAAAACAGTGTTTGCAATCTGCTCAATCCACAGAAAGTTTTAATTCTGTGAGATGAATGAACACATCACAAAGCAGTTTCTCAGAAAGCTTCTTTCTAGTTTTTATCTGAAGTTATTTAGTTTTTCACCATAGGTCTCAAAGCACTCCCAAATATCCCTTGGCAGATTCTGCCACAACAGTGTTTCCAGATTGCTGTATTAAAAGAAAGTTTTAACTATGCGAGGTGAATTCACACTTCACAAAGTGGTTTCTCAGCAGATAGCTTCTTTCTATTTTTCATCCTGGGATATTCACTTTTTTGCCATTGGCCTCAATGAGCCCCAAATGTCCATTCGTAGGATGGACAAAAACAGTGTCTGCAAATTGCTGAATCCATGGAAAGGTTTAACTCTGTGAAATGAATGCACACATCACAAAGCAGATTCTCAGAAAGCTTCTTTGTAGTTTTCATCTGAAGATATTTCCTTTTTCACCATAGGCGTCAATGCACTCCCAAATATCACCTTGCAGATACTTTGAAAACAGTGTTTTCAAACTGCTGAATTAAATGAAAGGTTCAACTCTGCAAGATGAATGCACACGTCAGAAAGCCGTTTCTCACAGAGGTTCCTTCTCCTTTTTATCCTGGGATATTTATTTTTTTCCATTGGCCTCATTGATCTCCCAAATGTACATTTGCAGAATAGACCAAAACAGTGTTTACAAACTGCTGAATCCACTAGAAAGTTTAAAATAAAGTTGTAATTCTGAGAGATGAAAGTACACATCACAAAACGGTTTTGCAGATCGTCTCCTTCTAGTTTTTTTCCTGGGATATTTGGTTATACGACTTTGGCCTCATTAAGCTCCCAAACATCCCTTCACAGATTCTACAATGACAGTGTCTCCAAACTGCTGAATCCAAAGAAAGGTTTAACTTTGTGAGAGGAATGGACACATCACAATGCAGTTTCTCAGAAAGCTTCTTTCTAGTTTTTACCTGAAGATATTTCCTTTTTCACTATAAGCCTCAATGCACCACCAGATATCCCTTAGTAGATTATAGGAAAACAGTGTTTCCAAACTGCTGAGTGAATAGAAAGGTTTAACTGTTCAAGATGAATGCACATATTGCAAAGTGGTTTCTCACATAGCTTCCTTCTAGTTTTATCCAGGGATATTCGCTTTTTCACTGTTGACCTCAATGCGTTCCCAAATATCCCTACACAGTTTCTACAACAACAGTGTTTGCAAAATACTGAATTTACAGAAAGTTTTAACTCTATAAGAAGAATGCACACATCCCAAAGCAGTTCCTCAGAAAGCTTCTTTCTAGTTTTTATCTGAAGATATTTCCTTTTTAACCATATGCCTCAATGAGCTCCTAAATATCCCTTCACAGATTCTGCCAAAAGAGTGTTTCCACATTGCTGAATGAAAAGAAAGTCTTACCTCTGTGAGATAAATGCACACATCACAAAGTGGTTTCTCAGATACATTCCTTCTAGTTTTTATCTTGGGATTTTCACTTTTTCACCACTGGCCTCAATGTGTTCCCAAATATCCCCTCACAGATTCTACAACAACAGTGTTTCTGATTTGCTGAATCCAAAGAAAGGTTTAACTCTGAGATGAATCTGCATATCACAAAGCAGTTTCTCAGAAAGCATCTTTATAGTTTTTATCTGAAGATATTTCCTTTTTCACTACATGCTTCAATGCACTCCCAGATATCCCTTTGCAGATTCTATGAAAAGAGTATTTCCAAACTGTTGAGTGAAAAGAAAGGATTAACTCTGTGAAATGAGTGCACACATCATAAAGCAATTTCTCAAATAGCTTCCTTCTAGTTTTTTTCCTGGGATATTCGCTTTTTTGCCATTGGCCTCAAAGCATTCCCACATTTCCCTTTGCAGATTCTACAACAACAGTGTTTCCAAACTGCTGAATCTACAGAAGGTTTAACTTTTGAGATGAATGCACACGTCTCAAAGCAGTTTCTCAGAAAGCTTCTTTGTACTTTTTATATGAAGATATTTCCTTTTTCACCATAGGACTTAATGCACTCCCAGTTATCACTTCACAGTTTCTATGAAAAGAGTGTTTCCAAATTGCCGAATGAAAAGAAAGGTTTAACTCTGTGAGATGAATACACACATCACAAAACAGTTTCTCAGAAAGCTTCTTTCTTGCTTTTATCAGAAGTTATGTCCTTTTTCATCAAAGACCTCAATGCACTCAGAAGTATCCCTTCCTGGATTCTGCCAAATCAGTGTTTCCAGGCTGCTGAATGAAAAGATAGGTTTATTTCTGTGAGTTGAATGCACACATCACAAAGCAATTTGTCAGAGAGCTTCCTTCCAGTTTTTATCCTGGGATATTCTCTTTCTCACATTGGCCTCAATGAGTTCCCAAATGTCCATTCACAGAATGGACAAAAACAGTTTTTGCAAACTGCTGAATCCACAGAAAGTTTTAACTCTGTGAAGTGAGTGCACACATGACAAAGCAGTTTCTCAGGCAGCATCTTTATAGTTTTTATCTGAAGATATTTCCTTTTTCACTATGGGTCTCAATGTGTTCCCAGATATCACTTCACAGATTCTACAAAAACGGTGTTTCCAAACTGCTGAATGAAAAGAAAGGTTTAACACTGCAAAATGAATGCACACATCTCAAAGCAGTTTCTCAGAAAGCTTCTTCTTGTTTTTATCTGAAGATATTTCCTTTTTCACCATAGACCTCAATGCACACCCAAATATCCCTTCACAGATTATGCCTAAACAGTGCTTTCAGACTGCTGTATGAAAAGAAACGTTTATCTCTGCGATGTGAATGCAAACATCACAACGTGTTTTGTCAGATAGCTTCCTTCCAGTTTTTGTCCTGGGATATTGTCTTTTTTGCAATTGGCCTCAATGAGCTTGCAAATGTCCTTTCACAGAAAGGACAAACACAGTGTTTGCAAACTGCTGAATCCACAGAGAGGCTTAACTCTGTGACATAAATGCACACATCATAAAGGACTTTCTAGAAAGCTTCTTTTTAGATTTTATCTGAAGTCATTTCCATTTTTGCCATTGGCCTCAATACGCTCCCAGATATCCCTTAACAGTTTCCACGAAAACAGTGTTTCTAAACTGCTGAATGAAATGAATTATTTAAGTCTTTGAGATGAATGTACACATCACAGGACGGTTTCTCAAATATCCTCCTTCTAGTTTTTATAATTGGGATATTTGCTATTTCACCATTGGCCTCAATGATTTCCCAAATATCTGTTCTCAGATTCTAAAACAAATGTTTTTCCAACTACTGAATCTAAAGAAATGTTTAACTCTATGAGATGAATGCACACATTAAAAACAGTTTCTCAGAAAGCTTCTTTCTAGTTCTTATCTGAAGATATTTTCTTTTTCACCATAGGCCTCTATCCATTCCCAAATATCCCTTGGTAGATTCTGCCAAAACAGTGTTTCCTGACAGCTGAATGAAAAGAAAGGTTTATCTCTGAGAGGTGAATGTACACATCACAAAGCTGTTCCTCAGATAGCTTTCTTCTAGTTTTTATCCTGGGATATACTCTTTTTCACCATTGGCCTCAAAGAGCTTCAAAATATCTCTTCAAGGATTCTACAACAACAGTTTTCCATACTACTGAATCCACAGAAACTTTTAACACTGTGAGATGAATGCACACATCACAAAGCAGTTTCTCAGAAAGCTTCTTTCTTGTTTTTTTCTGAGGATGTTTCCTTTTTCACCATAGGCCTCAACGCACTCCCAAATATCCCTTCCTGGATTCTGCCAAAACAATGTTTCCAGACAGCTGAATGAGAAGAAGTTTTTAACACTGTGAGGTGAATGCACACATCACAAAGCAGTTTCTCAGCTTGCTTCCTTTCATTTTTTATCATGGGCTATTCTCTTTTTCACCTTTGGCTTCAATGAGCTCCCAAAAATCCATTCACAGAATGGACGAAAACAGTTTTACCAAACTGCTGAATCCAAAGAATGGCTTAACTATTTTGGATGAATGATCACATCACAAAGCAGTTTCTCAGAAAGCTTCTTGCTAGTTTTTATCTGAAGATATACCTTTTTTCACCCAAATGCACTACCAATTGTCTCTCTGCAAATCCTAAGAAATCAGTGTTTCGATCCTGCTGAATGAAATGAAAATTTTAACTCTGTGAGATGAATGCACACATCATGAATTGGTTTCTCAGATAAGTTCCTTCCAATTTTTATCCTGGGATATTTGCTTTTTCACCGTTGGCCTCAATGAGTTCCCAAATGTCCATTCCAAGAATGGACAAAAACTGTGTTTCCAACCTGCTGAATACAAACACAAGTTTAACTCTCTGAGATGAATGCACACATCCCAAACCATTTTCTCGTTATGCTCTTTCTAGTTTTTATCTGAAGACATTCCCTTTTTCACCATTGGCCTTCATACTCTTCCAAACATCTCTTTGTAGATGCTAAGAAAACAGTGTTTCTAAACAACTGAATGAACAGAAAGATTTAACTCGATGAGATGAATGCACACGTCATGAATTGGTTTCCCTGACATCTTCCTTCTAGTTTTTATGCTGGGAAATTTGCTTTTTCACCACTGGCCACAATGAGCTTCAAAATGCCCTTTAGCAGAATGGACAAAAACTGTGTTTCCAAACTACTGAATCCAAAGAAAGGTTTAATTCTCTGAGATGAAGGCACACATCACAAAGAAGTTTCTCATTAAACTTCTTTCCAGTTTTTATCTGAAAATACTTCCTTTTTCACCATAGGCCTGTATAGTCTTCCAAATATCTCTTGGCAGATTTTAAGAAAACACTATTTCCAAACTGCTGAATAAAAAGAAAGATTAAACTCTGTGAGATGAATGCACACATCATGAATCGTTTTCCATGAAAACTTCCCTCTAGTTTTTATCCTGGGATATTCACTTTTTCGCCATTGGCCTCAATGAGCTCCAAAATGTCCATTCACAAAATGGACAAAAACAGTATTTCCAAACTGCTGAATCCAAAGAAAGCTGTAAATCTGCAAGAAGAATGAACACATCACAAAGCAGTTTCTCAGAAAGTTTCTTGCTAGTTTTTATCTGAAGATATTTCCTTTTTCACCATGGTCCTCAATGCGTTACCAAATGTCTCTTCACAGATTTTAAGGAAACAGTGCTTCCAAACTGCCAAATGAAAAGAAAGTTTTAACTCTGTGAGATGACTGCACACATCACAATCTGTTTCTCAGATAACTTCCTTCTAGTTTTTTGTCCTAGGATATTTTCTCTTTTGCCATTGAACTCAATGAGCTCCCAAATGTCTATTCACAGAATAGACAAAAACAGTGTTTCCAAACTGCTGAATCCAAAGAAAGGTTTAACTCTCTGGGATGAATGGACACATCACAGAGCAGTTTCTCAGAAAGTTTCTTTCTAGTATTTATCTGAAGATATTTCCTTTTTCAACATACACCTAAATGCGCTGCCAAATATCTCTTCACAGATTCTAAGAATGCAGTGTTTCCAAACTGCTGAATCCAAAGAAAGGTTTAACTCTGTGAGATGAATTCACAGATCACAAAATGGATTATCAGAAAGCTACTTTCTAGTTTTTATCTGAAGATATTTCCTTTGTCACCATGGTCCTCAAAGGGCTGCCAAATATCTCTTTGTGGATTCTAAGAAAATGGTGTTTCCACAGTGCTGAATGAAAAGAATGCTTTAACTCAGTGAGATGAATGCACACATCCAAAAACAGTTTCTCATTAAGCTTCTTTCTTGTTTTTTTCTGAAGATATTTCAATTTTCATAATAGACCTCAATGCAATACCAAATATTTCTTCGCAGATTCTAAGAAACAGTGTTTCCAAACTGCTGAATGAAAAGAAAGGTTATATCAGTGAGATGAAGGCACACATCACAAATCCGTTTCTCAGATAACTTCCTTGTAGTTTTTAACCATGGGATATTCGCTTTTTTTCCATTGGCCTCAATGAGCTCCCAAATGTCCATTCACAGAATGGACAAAAACAGTGTTTCCAAATTGCTGAATCCAAAGAAAGATTTAACACTGTGAAGTGAGTGAACACCTCACAAAGCAGTTTCTCAGAAAGTTGGTCTCTAGTTTTCATCTGAAGATATCTTTTGTTCAACATCGGCATCAATGCCCTGCCCAATATCCCTTTGCAGATTCTACAAAAACGGTGTATTCAAACTGCTGAATGCAAAGAAAGTTTCAACTCTGTGAGATGAATGTGTACATCACAAAGCAGTTTGTCAGATTGCTTCCTTCTAGTTTTTATCCTGGGACATTCACTTTTTAGCCATTGGCCTCAAAGAGCTCCCAAATGTCAACTCACAGAATTGACAATAACAGTGTTACCAAACAGCTGAATTCAAAAAAGGTTTAACTCTGTGAAGATGAATGCACACATCCTAAACCAGTTTCTCATTAAGTTTCTTTCTATCTTTGATTTGAACATATTTCTTTTTTGACCATAGGCCTCAATGCACTACCAAATACCTCTTCGCAGATTCTAAGAAACCCATGTTTCCAATCAGCTGAGTGAAAAGAAAAGTTTAAATCTCTGAGATGAATGCACACATCACAAATCGGTTTCTCAGATAATTCCTTCTAGTCTTTATCTTGGGATATTTAGTTTCTCATCATTGGCCTCAAGGAGCTCCCCAATGTCTATTGGCAGAATAGACAAAACAGTGTTACCAAACTGCTGAATCAAAAGAAACTTTTAACACTGTGAGATGAATGCACACATCCCAAAGCAGTATCTCATTAAGCTTCTTTCTAGTTTATATCTCATGATATATCCTTTTTCACTATAAACCTCAATGGCTATCAAATATATCCTCGCAGATTCTAATAAAAGAGTCTTTCCAAACTGCAGAATGAAAACAAGGTTGAACAATGTGAGGTGAATGCACAGCTTTGGTCTCGAGGTGTTCCCAATATTCATTCACAGAATGGACAAAAACAGTGTTTCTGAACTGCTGAATCTTAAGAAATGTTTCCCTCTGTGAGACGAATGCACACATTCCAAAGCAGTTCCTAATTCAGCTTCATTCTAATTTTTATCTGAAGATACTTCCTTTTTCACCGTAGGCCTCAATGCAATATTAAAGGACTTTTCACAGATTCTAAGAAAATAGTGTTTCCAAACAGCTGAATTAAAAAAAAAGATTTAACTCTGTGAGATGAATGAACACATCACAAAATAGTTTCTCAGAAAGCTTCTTTTAAGTGTTTATCTGAAGATATTTCCTTTTTTAAACATAGGCCACTCTGTACTGCCAAATATCCCTACACAGATTCTACAAAAACACTTTCAAAACTTATGATTGAAAAGAAATATTTAGCATTGCAAGACGAATGCACACATCACAAAGCATTTTCTCATATATCTTCCTGCTAGTTTTTATCCTGGGATATTCACTTCTTCACCATTGGCCTCAATGATCTCCCAAATGTCCATTCACAGAATGGAAAAAAACAGTTTTCCAAACTGCTCAATCCAAAGAAAATTTTAACTCTGTGAGACGAGTGCACACATCACAGAGCAGTTTCTCAGAAAGCTTCTTTCTAGTTTTTATCTGAAGGTATTACATTTTCCACCATAGGCCTCAATGAAGTGCCAAATATCCCTTCACAGATTCTACAAAAACAGTGTTTCCAAACTGCTGAATGAAAAATGTTTAATTGTGTTAGATGAATGCACACATGACAAATCAGTTTCTCAGATAAATTCCTTCTAGTTTTTATCCTGGGATATTCGCTCTTTTGCAATTGGCCTCCATGAGCTCCAAAATGTCCATCACAGAATGGACAAAAACAGTGTTACCAAATTGCTGAAACCAAAGAAAGGACTAACTCTGTGAGATGAATGCACACATCACAAAGCAGTGTCTCAGAAAGGTTCTTTCTAGTTTTTATCTGAAGAGATTTCCTTTTTCACTACACCCCTCATTACATTTCCAAATGTCTCTTCACAGTTTCTAAGAAAACAATGTTTCCACAACCAAAAAAGAGAATTTTAGACCAATATCCTTGATGAACATTGATGCAAAAATCCTCAATAAAATACTGGCAAACCAAATCCAGCAGCACATCAAAAAGCTTATCCACAATGATCGAGTGGGCTTCATCCCTGGGATGCAAGGCTGGTTCAATATATGCAAATCAATAAATGTAATTAAGCATAGAAACAGAACCAAAGACAAAAACCGCATGATTATCTCAATAGATGCAGAAAAGGCCTTTCACAAAATTCAACAACACTTCATGCTAAAAACTCTCAATAAATTAGGTATTGAGGGGACATAACTCAAAATAATAAAAGCCATCTATGGCAAACCCACAGCCAATATCATACTGAATGGGCCAAAACTGAAAGCATTCCCTTTGTATACTGGCACAAAACAGGGATGCCCTCTTTCACCACTTCTATTCAACATAGTGTTGGAAGTTCTGGCCAGAGCAATCAAGCAGGAGAAGGAAATAAAGGGTATTCAATTATGAAAAGAGAAAGTCAAATTGTCCCTGTTTGCAGATGACATGATTGTATATCTAGAAAACCCCACTGTCTCAGCCCAAAATCTCCTTAAGCTGGTAAGCAACTTCAGCAAAGTCTCAGGATATAAAATCAAAGTGCAAAAATCACAAACATTCTTATAGGCCAATAACAAACAAACAGAGAGGCAAATCATGAGTGAACTCCCATTCACAATTGCTTCAAAGAGAATAAAATACCTAGGAATCCAACTTACAAGGGACGTGAAGGACCTCTTCAAGGAGAACTACAAACCACTGATCAATGAAATAAAAGAGAATACAAACAAATGGAAGAACATACCATGCTCATGGGTTGGAAGAATCAATACCGTGAAAATGGCCATACTGCCCAAGGTAATTTATAGATTCAATGCCATCCCCTTCAAGCTACCAATGACTTTCTTCTCAGAATTGGAAAAAACTACTTTAAAGTTCATATGGAATCAAAAAAGAGCCCGCATCACCAAGTCAATCCTAAGCCAAAAGAACAAAGCTGGAGGCATCACACTACCTGACTTCAAACTATACTACAAGGCTACAGTAACCAAAACAGCATGGTATTCAAACAAATTTACAAGAAAAAAACAAACAACCCCATCAAAAAGTGGGCAAAGGACATGAACAGACACTTCTCAAAAGAAGACATTTGTGCAGCCAAAAAACACATGAAAAAATGCTCACTATCACTGGCCATCAGAGAAATGCAAATCAAAACCACAATGAGATACCATCTCACACCAGTTAGAATGGCGATCATTATAAAGTCAGGAAACAACAGCTGCTGGAGAGGATGTGGAGAAATAGGAACACTTTTACACTGTTGGTGGGACTGGAAAATAGTTCAACCATTGTGGAAGTCAGTGTGGGGATTCCTCAGGGATCTAGAACTAGAAATACAATTTGACCCAGCCATCCCATTACTGGGTACACACCCAAAGGACTATAAATCATGCTGTTATAAAGACACATGCACACGTATGTTTATTGCGGCACTATTCACAATAGCAAAGACTTGGAACCAACCCAAATGTCCAACAATGATAGATTGGATTAAGAAAATGTGGCACATATACACCACGGAATACTATGCAGCCATAAAAAATGGTGAGTTCGTGTCCTTTGTAGAGACATGGATGAAATTGGAAATCATCATTCTCAGTAAACTATCGCAAGGACAAAAAACCAAACACCGCATGTTCTCACTCATGGATGGGAATTGAACAATGAGAACACATGGACACAAGAAGGGGAACATCACACTCTGGGGCCTGTTGTGGGGTGAGGGGAGTGGGGAGGGATAGCATTAGGAGATATACCTAATGCTAAATGACGAGTTAATGGGTGCAGCACACCAGCATGTCACATGTATACATATATAACTAACCTGCACATTGTGCACATGTACCCTAAAACTTAAAGTATAATAATAATAAAATAAAACAAAATAAAATAAAACAGTGTTTCCAAACTGATGAATGAAAGGCAAGTTTTAACTCTGTGAGTTGAATACTCACATCAGAAATCAGTTTCTCAGATAACGTGCTTCCAGTTTTTATTCTGAGATGTTCTCTTTTTCACCATTGCCCTTAATGAGCTCCCAAATGTCCATTCGTGCAATGAACAAAAACAGTGTTTCCAAACTGCTGAATCCAAACAAAGATTTAACTGTGTAAGACGAATGAACACATCTCAAAGCAGTTTCTCAGAAAGCTTCTTTCTAATTTTTATCTGAATATATTCCCTTTTTCACCATAGGCCTCAAAGCGCTCCCAAATATCCCTTCACAGATTCTACAAAAACCTGGCTTTCAAACTGCTCAGTGAAAAGAAAGTTTTAACTCTGCGAGATGAATGCACACAAAACAAAGCAGTTTCACAGATGTCTTCCTTATATTGTTTATCCTGGGATATCCCATTTTTCACCACTGGCCTCAATGAGATCCCAAATGTCCAGTCACAGAATGGACAAAAACAGTGTTTCCATATGGCTGAATCCAAAGAAAGTTTTAACACTGTGAGGTAAATGCGCACATAATGTAGCAGATTCTCAGAAAGCTTCTTTCTAATTTTTATCTGAATATATTTCCTTTTTCACCATAGGACTCAACGTGTTCCCAAATGTCCAATTGCCGAATAGACAAAAACAGTCTTTCCAAACTGTGGAATCCAAAGGAAGTTTTAACTCTGTGAAATGAATGAACACAAACCAAAGCAGATTCTCATTAAGCTTCTTTCTAGTATTTATCTGCAGATATTTCGTGTTTCACCATAGGCCTCAAGGCACTAACAAGTATCTCTTTGCACATTCTAAGAAAACAGTATTTCCAAACTGCTGCATGAAAAGAAATGTTTAAGTCTTTGAGATGAACACACACATCACAGATCTTTTTCTCAGATTAAATCCTTCTAGTTTTTAACCTGTGATATTCACTTCTTTGCCCTGGCCACAATAAGTTCCCCAATATCCATTCGCAGAGTGGACGAAAACTGTGTTTTCAAACTTCTGAATTCAAAGAAAGCTTTAACTCTTGTGATAGATGAACACATCCCAAAGCAGTTTCTCATTAAGCTTCTTACTACTTTTGATCTGAAGAAAATTCCTTTTTCACCCTAGACCACAATGCACTACCAAATATCTCTTCACAGATTCTAAGAAAACAGTTTTTCCAAATATCTGAATGTAAAGCAAAGTTTAACCCTGTGAAATGAATGCACATGTCCCCAGTCGGTTTCTAAGATAACCTCCTTCTAGTTTTTATCAAGGGATACCAACTTTTTCATCATTGGCCTCAATGAGTTCCCAAAAGTCCATTCACAGAATAGATAAAAACAGTGTTTCCAAAATGCTGAATCCAAAGGAAGGATTAACTTTGTGAAATGAATGAACACATCACAAAGCAGTTTCTCAGAAAGCTTCTATTTTTTATCTGAAGTTATTTCCTTTTTCACCATAGGCTTCAATTAGCTGCCAAATATTCAATCACAGATTTTAGAAAAAATAGTGTTTCCAAACTGCTGAATGAAAAGGAAAATGTAACACTGTAAGATGAATGCACACATCACAAAGCTGTTTTCATATAGCTTCCTTCTTGATTTTATCCTGGGATATTGACTTTTTCAATTTGACCTCAATGAGCTCCCAAATATTCCTTTGCAGATTCTACAAATAGAGTGTTTCCATACTGCTGAACCCAAAGAAAGTTTTAATCTGTGAGATCAACACACACATCACAAAGTAGTTTCTCAGAAAGCTTCTTTCTAGTTTTTTCTGAAGATGTTTCCTTTTTTTACCATTGGTCCCCATGGGCTCCCAAATGTCCCCTTCAGATTCTACCAAAACAGTGTTTCCAAACAGCTGAAGGAAAAGAAAATTTTAGTTCTGCTGAATGAAGGCACACATCACAAAGCAGTTACTCAGATAGCTTCATTCTGTTTTTTTTTTTTTCCTGTGATGTTCGATTTTTCACCTTAGGCCTCAATGCGCTCCCAAATATCTCTTTGCAGATTCTACAAAAACAGGGTTTCCAAACTCCTGAATCCAAAGAAAAGTTTAAAGCTGTGACATGAATGCACACATCAGAAAGCAATTTCTCACAAGGATTTTTTCTAGTTTTTAATCTCAACATATTATCTTTTTCACCACAGGCCTCAATGTGCTCCCAAATATCCCTTCACAGATTCTACTGAAACAGTGTTCCCAAACTGCTGAATGAAAATAAAGGTTTAACTGTGAATTGAATACATACATCACAAAGTGGTTTCTCAGATATTTCCTTTCCAGTTTTTATACTGAGATGTGCATGTTTTCACCATTGGCCTCCATGAGCTATCAAATATCCCTTTGCAAATTCCACAAAAACAGTGTTTACAAACTGCTGAATCCCAAGAAAGTTTCAACTATGTGAAATGAATGCACACATCACAAAGTAGTCTCTCAAATATCTTCTTTCTAGTTTTTATTTGAAGATATTTCCTTTTTCACCATAGGCCTCAATGCGCTCCCAAATATCCCTTCACAGATTCTACTGAAACAGGTGTTTCACAACTGCTGAAAGAAAATAAATTTTTAAAGCTGTGAAATGAATTCACACATCAAAAAGCAGTTTCTCAGAAAGCTTCTTTCCTGTTTTTTTCTGGAGATATTTCCTTTTTCACTAAATACCTCAATGCACTCCCAAATATCCTTTCACACATTCTACCAAAACAGTATTTCCAAACTGCTGGATGAAAAGAAAGGTTTAACTCTGTGAGATGAATGCACACATCACAAAGATGATTCTCAGATAGCTTCCTTCTATTTTTTTATCCTGAGATATTCTCTTTTCACCTTTGGCCTCAATGAGCTCCCAAATATCCCTCTGCAGATTCTACAAAAACAGTGGTTCCAGACTGCTAAATACAAAGAAAGGTTTAACTCTGTAAAATGAATGCACACATCAGAAAGTAGTTTCTCAGAAATCTCCTTTCTTGTATTTATCTGAAGTTATTTTTTTCTACACCATAGGTGGCAATGAGCTTCCTAAAATCCCTTCGCAGATTCCACAAAAACTGTGTATACAAACTGCTGAATGAAAAGTAATTTTAAACTCTGTGAGAAAATGAACACATCACAAAGTGATTTCTCAGGTTGCTTCCTCCTAATTTTTATCCTGGGATATTCACTTTTTCACCTGTGGCCTCAATGAGCTATCAAGTATACCTTTGCAGAATCTACAAAAACTGTGTATCCAAACTGCTGAATCCAAAGAAAAGTTTACTTCAATGAGATGAATGCATACAATGGAAAGTGTTTTCTCAGAAAGCTTCTTTGTAGTCTTTAACTGAAGTTATTTCCTATTTCACCATAGGCCTCAATGGGCTCCCAACTATCCCTTTGCAGATTCTACCAAAACAGTGTTTCCAAACTGCTGAATAGAAAGAAAGGTTTAACTCTGTGAGATGAATGTGCACACCACAAAGTGATTTCTCAGATAGATCCTTCTACTTTTTATCCTGAGATATTTGCTTTTTTGCTTTTGGCCTCAACAAGCCCCGAAATACCCCTTCACAGGTTATAAGAAAACAGTGTTTCCAAACAGGTGAATCAAAAGAAAGGTTTAACTTTGTGAAATGAATGCACACATCATGAAGCGGTTTATCAGAAAGTTTCTTTCTAGTTTTTATCAGAAGGTATTTCCTTTTTCACCATAGTCCTCAATGCACTCGCTGATATCCCTTCACAGAATCTACCAAAAGTGTTTCCAAACTTCTGAATGAAAAGAAAGGTTTAACTCTGTGAGACGAATGCACACATCACGCAACGTTTCTCAGATAGCTTCCTTCTACTTTTTATATTGAGATATTTGCTTTTTCACCTTTGTCCTCAATGAGCTCTTAAAAATCCCTTAGCAGATTCTACAAAAACAGTGTTTCTAAACTGCTGAATCCAAAGAAAGGTTTAACTCTGTGAGATAAATTCACATGTCACAAAGCAATTTCTCAGAAACCTTCTTTCTAGTTTTTATCTGATCCTACCAAAACAATGTTTCCAAAGAGCTTAATGTAAATAAAGGTTTAACTCTGTGAGATGAATGCAAACATCACAAATTGGATTCTCAGATAGCTTCCTTCTAGTTTTTAAACTGAGATATTTGCTTTTTCATCTGTGGCCTCTATGAGCTATCTAATATCCATTCACAGATTCTACAAAAACAGTGTTTCCAAAATGCTAAATTCAAAGAAAGGTGTAACTCTGTGAGATGAAGCATACGTCACAAAACAGTTTCTAAGAAAGCTTCTTTACAGTTTTTATCTGATTGTATTTTCTTTTTCACCATTGGCCTCAGTGAGCTCCCACATATCCCTTCATAGATTCAACAACAACAGTGTTTCCAAACTGCTGAATCCAAAGAAAGGTTTAACTCTGTGAGATGAAGGCACACATCATAAAGCAGTTCCTCAGAATGCTTCTTTATAGTTTTGATCTGAAGATATTTCCTTTTTCATTATAGGCCTCAAATTTCTCCCAGATATCACTTCACAGAGTCTATGAAAACATTGTTTCCAAACTGCTGAATGAAAAGAAATGTTTAACACTGTAAGGTGTATGCACACATCACAAAGCGGTTTCTCAGATGGCTTCCTTCTAGTTTTTATCCTGGGATATTCATTTTTTGTCCTTTGGCTTCAATGAACTCACAAATATCCCTTCATGGATTTTACAAAAAAAGTGTTTCCAAATTCATGAATCCAAAGAAAGATTTAACTCTGTGAGATGAATGCACACATCACAAAGCAGTTTCTCAGAAAACTTTTTTCTAGTTTTCATCTAAACACATTTCCTTTTTCACCATAGACATCAAAGCACTCCCAAGTACCTCTGAAAAGATTCTACCATGGTGTATATGTGCCACATTTTCTTAATCCAGTCTATCATTGTTGTACATTTGGGTTGGTTCCAAGTCTTTGCTATTGTGAATAATGCCGCAATAAACATACGTGTGCAGGTGTCTTTATAGCAGCATGATTTATAGTCCTTTGGGTATATACCCAGTAATGGGATGGCTGGGTCAAACGGTATTTCCAGTTCTAGATCCCTGAGGAATCGCCACACTGACTTCCACAATGGTTGAACTAGTTTACAGTCCCACCAGGAATACTATGCAGCCATAAAAAATGATGAGTTCATGTCCTTTGTAGGGACATGGATGAAATTGGATATCATCATTTTCAGTAAACTATCACAAGAACAAAAAACCAAACACCGCATATTCTCACTCATAGGTGGGAATTGAACAATGAGATCACATGGACCCAGGAAGGGGAATATCACACTCTGGGGACTGTTGTGGGGTGGGGGGAGGGGGGAGGGATAGCATCGGGAGATATACCTAATGCTAGATGATGAGTTAGTGGGTGCAGTGCACCAGCATGGCACATGTATACATATGTAACTAACCTGCACAATGCGCACATGTACCCTAAAACTTAAAGTATAATAAAAAAAAAAAGATTCTACCAAAACAGTGTTTTCAAACTGCTGAATGAAAATTAATGTTTAATTCTGGAGATGAATGCACACATCAAAAAGTGGTTTTTCTGTTAGCTTCCTTCTACATTTTATGCTGGAATATTCACTTTTTCACCCTTGGCCTCAAGGAGCTCCAAAATGTCCACTTTCATAATGTACAAAAACAGGGTTACCAAACTGCTCAATCAAAAGAAAGGTTTAGCTCTCTGAGATAAATGCACACATCACAAAGCAGTTTCTCCGAAAGCTTCTTTCTAGTTTTTATCTGAAGATGTTTCCTTTTACACTATAGGCCTCAATGCACTTCCAAATATCCCTTTGCAGATTCTACCAAAACAGTGTTTCCAAAATGATGAATGAAAAGAAACGTTTAATTCTGTGAGATGAAGGTACACATCACATAACAGTTTGTCAGATATCTTTCTTCTAGTTTTTATCCTGGGATATTTGCTTTTTAGCCTTTGGCCTGAATTAGATCCCAAATGGCTATTCACAAAATGGACACATTCATGATACCAAACTGCTGAATCCAAAGAAAGGTTTAATTCTGTGAGATTAATGCACACATCACAAGGCAGTTTCTCTGATAGCTTCCTTTTAGTTTTAGTCCTGGGATATTCACTTTTTTACCATTGGCCTCAATGAGCTTAAAAACATCCTTTCACAGAATGGACACAAACAACGTTTCCAAAGTGCTGAATCCAAAGAAAGGTTTATTTCTGTGAGATGAATGCATACAACCCAAACTAGTTTCTCATTAAGCTTCTTTCTGGTTTTTATCTGAAGATATTTACTTTTCACCATAGGTCTCAAAGTGTTACCAAATATCTGTTCGCAGATTCTGAGAAATCAGTGTTCCCAAACTGCTGAATGAAAAGAAAGTTTTAACTCTGTGAGATGAATGCACACATCATGATTCGGTGTCTCAGATAACTTCCTTCTAGATTTTTCCTGGGATATTCACTTTTTCACCTTTAGCCTCAATGAGTTCCCAAATTTCCATTCCAAAAAAGGGCAAAATAGTGTTTCCAAACTGCTGAATATAAAGACAGTTTTAACTCTGTGAGATAAATGAACATTTCACAAAGCAATTTCTCAGGAAGCTTCTTTCTAGTTTTTATCTGAAGTTATTTCCTTTTTCACCATAGGCCTCAAAGTGCTGCCAAATATCCTTTTGCAGTTTCTACAAAAACAGTGTTTCCAAACTGCTGAATGAAAAGAAAGTTAAAGTGTGCTAGATGAATGTACACATCAAAAGTGATTTCTCAGATAGCTTCCTTTCTAGTTTTAATCCTGGGATATTGGCTTTTTCACCATTGACCTCAATGACCCCCCAAAAGTCCATTCACAGAATGAACAAAAAGAGTGTTACCAAACTGCTGAATCCAAAGAAAGTTTTAACTCTGTGAGATGAATGCACACAAGCCAAACCAGTTTCTCCTTAACCTCCTTTATAGTTTTTATCTGAAAATATTTCCTTTTACACCATAGGCCTCAATGGGCTATGATATATCTCTTCGTAGATTCTAAGAAATCAGTGTTTCCAAACTGCTGATTGAAAACAAAGGTTTAACTCTGTGAGATGAATGCACCCATCATGAAACCATTTCTCAGGTAACTTCCCTCTAGTTTTTATCCTGAGATATTCTATTTTTCACCATTGGCCTCAATGAGTTCCAAAATGTACTTTCCAAGAATGGACAAAAACAGTGTTTACAAACTGCTGAATCCAAAGAAAGGTTTAACTCTCAGAGATGAATGCATACATCCCAAACCAGTTTCTCATTTAGCTTCTTTCTTGTTTTTATCTGAAGATATTTCCTTTTTCACCTTAGGCCTCAATGAGCTGCCAAGTATTCTTAGTCAGTTTCTAAGAAAACAGTGTTTCCAAACTGCTGAATGAAAAGAAAGTTTTATCTCTGTGAGTTGAATGCACACATCAGAAAGCGGTTTCTTAGAGAGCTTCCTTATAGTTTTTATCCTGGGATATTCACTTTTTCACCATTGGCCTCAATGAGCTCCCAAAATTCAATTTGCAGAGTTGTGAAAAACTGTGTTACCAAACTAATGAATCCAAAGGAATGTTAAACTCCGTGAGATGAATGTGCACATCCCAAAGCATTTTCTCTTCAAAATTATTTCTGGTATTTATCTGAAGACATTTCCCATTCACCACAGTCCTCAGATTGCTACCAAGTATCTCTTTACACATTCTAAGAATACAGAGTTCACAATCTGCTGAATGAAAAGATAGGTTTAATTCTGTGAGATGAATCCACACATCACATATTCGTTTCTCAGATAACTTCCTTCTTCTTTTTATAATGGTATATTCAGTTTTTCACCACTGGCCTCAGTGAGTTCTAAATGTTCCTTCAAAGAATGGACCAAACCGTGTTTCCAAACTGCTGAATCTAAAGAATTTTTTAAGTCGGTGAGATGAATGAACACATCACAAATTGGCTTCTCAGATAACTTCCTTCTAGTTTTCTTCCTGGGATATTCCCTTTTTCACCTTTGGCCTCAATGAGCTCCCAAATGTCCATTCACCCAATGGACAAAAACTGTTTTCAAACTGCTGAATCTATAGAAAAGTTTAACTCTGTGAGATGGTTGCATACATCACAAAGCAGTTTCTTGTAAAGCTTTTTTCCAGTTTTTTTTTCTGAAGATATTTCCTTTTTCACCATACACCTCAAAGCACTACCAAATATCCATTCACAGATTCTACAAAACCCGTTTCAAAACTGCTGAATGAAAAGAAAGGTTTAACTGTGCGAGATGAATGCTCACGTCACAAAGCAGTTTCTCACAGAGTGTCCTTCTAGTTACTATCCTGGGATATTCACTTTTTCACCTTTGGCCTCAATGAGCTCCCAAGTATCCATTCGCATAATGGACAAAAACAGTGCTTCCAAACTGCTGAAGCCAAACAAAGTTTTCACTCTGTGAGATGAATGAACTCATCACAAAGCAGTTTCTCAGTAGGCTTCTGTCCAGTTTTTATCTAAAGATATTTCCTTTTTCACCATAGGCCTCAATGCGCTGCCAAATATCCTTTCACGGTTTCTTCAAAAACAGTGTTTCCAAACTGCTGAATGAAAAGAAAGTTTTAACGCTGCTAGATGAATTCACACATCACAAAGCGGTTTCTCAGAGAGTTTCCTTTTAGTTTTTATTCTGGGATATTCCCTTTTTCACCATTGGCCTCTATGAGCTCCCAAACGTCCTTTCATAGAATTGTCAAGAACAGAGTTACCAAACTGCTGAATCCAAAGAAAGGTTTAAATCAGTGAGATGAATGCATACATCATGAAGAAGGTACTCAGAAAGCGCCTTTCTAGTTTTTATCTGAATGTATTTCCTTTTTCACCATAGACCTCATGCACCCCCAAATATCCCTTCACAGATTCTACTTAACAGTGTTTCCAAACTGCTAAATGAAGATATAGTTTTATCTCTGTGAGATGAATGCACTCATCACAAATCAATTTCTGAGACACCTTTCTTATAGTTTTTATCCTGGGATATTTACTTTCTCACTGTTGGCCTCAATGAAGTCCCAAATGTCCATTCACTGAATGGACGAAAACAGTGTTTCCAAACTGCTGAATCCAAAGAAATGTTCATCTCTGTGAGATGAATGCACCCATCACAAAGCAGTTTCTCAGAAAGCTTCTTTCCAGTTTTTATCTGAAGTTATTTCATCTTCACCATAGGTCTTGATGTCCTCCCAAATGTCCTTTTGCAGATTCTACCAAAATAGTGTTTCCAAACTGATGAATAAGAAGAAAGGTTTAACTCTGTGAGATGAATGCACACATCAACAAGCAGTTTCTCAAATAGCTTCCTTCTAGTTTTTATCCTGGGATATGCACTTTTTCACAATGGGCCTCAAAGTGCTACCTAATGTCAATTCACAGAATGGACAAAAATAGTGTTTCTGAACTGCTGAATCTTAAGAAATGTTTAACTCTGTGAGATGAATGCACAAATCACAAAGTAGTTTCTCCAAAAGATTCTCTCTAGTTTTTATCTGAGGAATTTTCTTTTTTCTCTACTGGCCTCAATGCATGCCCAAATATTCCTTCACAGATACTGCAAAAACAGTGCTTCCAAACTGCTGAATGAAAAGAAACTTTTACCTCGGCAAGATGAGTGTGCACATCATAAAGGGGTCTCTCAAACAGCTTCCTTCTAGTTTTTAACCTGAGATATTTGCTTTTTCACCACTGGCCTCAATGTGCTTTCAAATATCCCTTTGCAGATTATACAAAAACAGTGTTTTGAAAGGGATGAATAATACACAGAAAAACTTAACTCTGTGAGATGAAGATACACATCACAAAGCAGTTTCTCAGAAAGCTTCTTTCTAGTTTCTATCTAAAGTTATTTCCCTTTCCATGTTAGACCTCAATGTGATCTCAAATATGCCTTCACAGATTCTATGAAAACTATGTTTCCAAAATGCTGAATAAAAAGAAAGTTTTAACTCTGCGAGATGAATGTACACATCACAAAGCTGTTTCTCAGATAGCTTCCTTCTAGATTTTATCTTGGGATATTCACTTTTTCGCCTTTGACCTCAGTGAGCTCCATATAATCCATTCGCAGAATGGACAACAACAGTGTTTCCAAACTGTGGAATCCAAAGTAAGGTTTAACTCTGTGAGATAAAGGTGCACATCACAAAGCAGTTTCTCAGAAAGATTCTTTCTAGTTTTTATCTGAAGATATTTCCTTTTTCACTGTAGTTCTCAACGTCCTCCTAAATATCCCATCACAGATTCTGCAAAAACAGTGTTTTGAATCTGAGGAATTTTAAAAAAAAGTTTTTCTCTGAGAATTGAATGCGTACATCACAAATCAGTTTCTCAAATAGCTTTCTTCTTGTTTTACCCTGGGATATTCGCTTTATCACCTTTGGCCTCCATGAGCATCTAAATGTCCATTCCAAGATTTTACAAAAACAGAGTTTCCAAACTCCTGAATCCAAACAAAGGTTTAATTCTCTGAGATGAATGCACACACAACAAAGCAGTTTCTCAGAAATCTTCTTTGTAGTTTTTATCTGAAGATATTTCTTTTTTCACCATAGGCCTCAATGTGCTCCCAAATATCCCTTTGAAGTTTCTACCAAAAAAGTGTTTGCAAACTGCTAAATAAAAACAAAAGTTTAACTCTATGAGATGAATGCATGAATCACAAGCAGTTTCTCAGATAGCTGTCTTCTCGTTTTTATCCTGGGATAATCACTTTTTCACCATTGACCTCAAAGGGTTCCCAAATGTCCATTCACAGAATGGACAAAAAGAGTGTTTCCAAACTGCTGAATCAAAAGAAAGATTTAATTCCAAGATAAAGGCACACATCACAAAGCAGTTTCTCTGAAACCTACTTTCTAGTTTTTATCTGAAGATGTTTCCTTTTTCACCATAGGCCTCAATGCACTCCAAAATATCTCTTCACAGTTTCAACAAAAACACTGTATCCAAACTGCTGAATAAAAAGTAAGATTTAACTTTGCAAGATGAATGCACACATCACAAAGCAGTTTCACAGATAGCTTCCTTCTAGTTTTTATCCTGGGATTTTCACCTTTTCGCCATTGGCTTCAATAAGGTAAAAAATTCCATTCCCAGAATGAACAAAAACAGTGTTTCCAAACTACTGAATAAAAAGAAATGTTTAACTCTGTGATATGAATGCAGGCCTCACAAAGTAGTTTCTCAGAAAGCATATTTTTAGTTTTTATCTGAAGATGTTTCCTTGTTCATCACAGGCCTCAACGTGCTCCCAAATGTCCCTTAGCAGATTCTACAAGAAGTGTTTCCAAACTGTTAAATGAAAAAAATCATTTAACTCTGTGATATGAATGCACACATCACAAAGCGGTTTCTCAGATAAGATTCCTTTTAGTTTTTGTTCCAGGATATTACGTTTTTTGCTGTTGGCCTAAATGAGCTCCCAAAAGTCCATTCGCAGAATGGACAAAAACAGTGTTTCCAAACTGCTGAATCCAAAGAAGATATATCTTTCTGAGATGAATGCACACATCACAAAGAAGTTTCTCAGCAAGCATCTTTCTAGTTTTTATATGAAGATGTTTTCTTTTCCAATATAGACTGCAATAAGCTCCCAAATATACCTTCGCAGATTGTGGAAAAATAGGGTTTCCAAATTGCTGAACGAAAAGAAAGGTTTGGCTTAGTGAGATGAATGCACACATCACATCGCAGATTCTCCAATAGCTTCCTTATAGTTTTATCCTGGAATATTTTCTCTTTTGCTAGTGGCCCCAATGAGGTCCCAAATGTCCATTCACAAAATTTACAAAAAGAGTGTTTCCAAACTGCTGAATCAAAAGAATTGTTTAACTCTGTGAGATGAATGCAAACGTTACAAAGCAGTTTCACAGAAAGAATCTTTCTAGTTTTTATCTGAAGATGTTTCCTTTTTCACCGTAAGCCTCAATGTGCTCCCAAATATCCCTTCGTATATTCTACAAAAAGAGTGTTTCCAAACTGCTAAATGAAAAGATAGGTTTACCTCTGCTAGATGAAAGCAAACATCACAAAATGGTCTCTCAGATAGCTTCCTTCTTGTTTTTAGCCTTAGATATTCACTTTTTTGCCATTGCCCTCAGTGAGCTCCCAAATTCCCAGTCGCAGAACGGACAAAAAGTGTGCTTCCAAACAGCTGAATTAAAAGAAAATTTTATTGTAATGAGAAGAATGCACACATCACAAAGCAGTTTCTCAGAAAGTTTCTTTCTAGTTCTTTTTGGAAGATGTTTCCTTTTCCACCGTACACCTCAATGCACTCCCAAATATCCCTTCACAGATTCTACAAAATCCCTGTTTCCTTTTATTGGTTGGTAAGCTATTAATTATTGCCTCAATTTCAGAGCCTATTATTGGTCTATTCAGAGATTCAACTTCTTCCTGCTTTAGTCTTGGAAGGGTGTATGTGTCCAGGAATTTATCCATTTTTCCAGATTTTCTAGTTCATTTTCATAGAGGTGCTTATAGTATTCTCTGATGGTAGTTTGTATTTCTGTGGGATCATTGATGATATATCCTTTATCATTTTTATTGCATCTATTTGATTGTTCTCTCTTTTTTTCTTTATTAGTCTTTCTAATGGTCTTTCAATTTTTGTTGATCTTTGAGATGGATTCACAGCTGAATTCTACCACAGGTACAAGGAGGGGCTGGTACCATTCCTTCTGAAACTATTCCAATCAATAGAAAAAGAGGGAATCCTCCCTAACTCATTTCATGAGACCACATCATCCTGATACCAAAGCTGGGCAGAGACACAACAAAAAAAGAGAATTTTAGACCAATATCCTTGATGAACATCGATGCAAAAATCCTCAATAAAATACTGGCAAACCAAATCCAGCAGTACATCAAGAAGCTTATCCACCATGATCAATGGGGCTTCACCCTTGGGATGCAGGGCTGGTTCAACATACGCAAACCAATAAACGTAATCAAGCATATAAACAGAACCAATGACAAAAACCACATGGTTATCTCAATAGATACAGAAAAGGCCTTTGAAAAAATCCAGCAATCCTTCGTGCTAAAAACTGTCAATAATTCAGGTATTGATGGGATGTATCTCAAAATAATAAGAGCTATCTATGACAAACTCACAGCCAATACCACACTGAATGTGCAAAACCTGGAAGCATTCCCTTTGAAAACTGGAACAAGCCAGGCATGCCCTCTCTCACCACTCCTGTTCAACATAGTGTTGGATGTTCTGGCCAGGGCAGTCAGGCAGGAGAAGGAAATAAAGGGCATTCAATTAGGAAAAGAGGAAGTCAAATTTTCCCTTTTTGCTTCTTTCTAGTTTTTATCTGAAGATATTTTCTTTTTGACCATAGGCCTCAATGTGCTCCCAAATATCCCTTTGCAGATACTACAAAAACAGTGTTTCCAAACTGCTGAATAAAAAGAAAGCTTTAACTCGGTGAGATGAATGCACACATGACAAAGCTGTTCCTCAGATGGCTTCCTTATAGTTTTTATCGTGGAATATTTGCTTTTTAATGCTAAGCACTAATGATCTCCCAAATGTCCATTCACAGAATGGAAAAAAACAGAGTTTTAAAACTGCTGAAATAAAAGAAAGGTTTCACTCTATGAGATGAAGGCACATGTCACCAAGTTTTTACTCAGATAGTTTCCTTCTTTTTTATCTGGGGATATTCACTTTTGCATTAAGCCTCAATGGGCTTCCAAATGTCCATGCGCAGAATGGACAATACAGTGTTCTCAAAGTACTGAATCAAAAAGAAGGTTTAACTATGCGAGATGAATGCACACATCACAAACAGGTTTCTCAGATAGATTCCTTCTAGTTTTTATCCTAGTATATTCAATTTTTCACCATTGGCCTCAATGAGCTGCCAAATGTCCCTTCACAGAATAAACAAAAACAGTGTATCCAAATTGCTGAATCAAAAGAAAGTTTCAACTCTTTGAGCTGAATGCACACATCACAAAGCAGGTACTCAGATTCTTTCTAGTTTTTATTTGAAGATATTTTCTTTTTGACTTTATGCAACAATGTGCTCCCAAATATCCCTTTGCAGATTCAACAAAAAGAGTGTTTCCAAACTGCTGAATGAAAAGAAAGTTTAATTCTGCAAGATGAATGATCACATCACAAATCAGTTTCACAGATAGCTTTAAATTAGCTTTTATCCTGGGATATTCACAGTTTCTGAGAAACTGCTTTGTAATGTGTGCATTCATCTCAAAATATTAAAACTTTCTTTTGATTCAGCAGTTTGGAAACACTGATTTTGTCCATTCTGTGAATGGAAATTTGGGAGCTCTTTGAGGCCAAGGCAAAAAGACGAATATCCCAGTACAAATACTAGAATTAACTTATATGAGAAACCACATTGTTATGTGTGCTTTCATCTCACAGACATAAACGTTTATTTTCTTTCAGCAATATGAAAACACTGTTTTTGTCCATTCTGCCAGTGGACATGTGGGAGTTCATTGAGGCCAATGATGAAAAAGCAAATATCCCAGGATAAAAACTAGAAGGAATCTCTCTGAGAAACTGCTTTGTGATTTGTGCATTCGTCTCACAGAAGTAAACCTTTCTTTTCATTCAGCAGTTTGGAAACACTGCTTTTGTAGAATCAGCAAAGGGATGTTTGGGAGTGCATTGACGCCTACAGTGAATAAGATAATATTTTCATATGAAAACAAGGAAGAAACTGTCTAAGAAACTGCAATGTAATGTGTGCATTCAGCTCTCAGAGTGAATAATTTCTTTTGATTCAGCAGTAGGGACACTGTTTTTGTCCATTCCGGGAATGAACATTTGGGAGCTATTGAGGCCAACAGTGAAAAATCAAATATTCCAGGATAAAAACTAGAAGAAAACCTTCTGAGAAATGTCTTTATGATGTGTGCACTCATCTGCAAACTTTACCTTTCTCTTCATACAGCAGTTTGGAAGCACTGTTTTTGAAGAATCTGTGAAGTGATATTTCAGAGTGCATTGAGGCTTATGTTGAAAAAGAAATTATCTTCAGATATAAACTAGAAAGAAGCTTCTGAGATACTGCTTTGTGATGTGCTCATTCATCTGACAAAGTTCAAACTTTCTTTGGATTCAGCAGTTTTGGAAACACGGTTTTCTTTTTTTTTTAATTACACTTTTAAGTTTTAGGGTACATGTGCACATTGTGCAGGTTAGTTACATATGTATACATGTGCCATGCTGGTGCACTGCACCCACTAACTCGTCATCTAGCATTAGGTATATCTCCCGATGCTATCCCTCCCCCCTCCCACCACCCCACAACAGTCCCCAGAGTGTGATATTCCCCTTCCTGTGTCCATGGAATCTCATTGTTCAGTTCCCACCTATGAGTGAGAATATGCGGTGTTTGGTTTTTTGTTCTTGTGATAGTTTACTGAGAATGATGATTTCCAATTTCATCCATGTCCCTACACAGGACATGAACTCATCAGTTTTTATGGCTGCATAGTATTCCATGGTGTATATGTGCCACATTTTCTTAATCCAGACTATCATTGTTGGACATTTGGGTTGGTTCCAAGTCTATGCTGTTGTGTATAATGCCGCAATACACATACGTGTGCATGTGTATTTATAGCAGCATGATTTATAGTCCTTTGGGTATATACCCAGTAATGGGATGGCTGGGTCAAATGGAATTTCCAGTTCTAGATCCCTGAGGAGTTGCCACACTGACTTCCACAATGGTTGAACTAGTTTACAGTCCCACCAACAGTGTAAAAGTGTTCCTATTTCTCTACATCCTCTCCAGCACCTGATGTTTCCTGATTTTTAATGATTGCCATTCTAACTGGTGTGAGATGGTATCTCATTGTGGTTTTGATTTGCATTTCTCTGATGGCCAGTGATGATGAGTATTTTTTCATGTGTTTTTTGGCTGCATAAATGTCTTCTTTTGAGAAGTGTCTGTTCATGTCCTTCGCCCACTTTTTGATGGGGTTGTTTGTTTTTTTCTTCTAAATTTGTTTGAGTTCATTGTAGATTCTGGATATTAGCCCATTGTCAGATGAGTAGGTTGTGAAAATTTTCTCCCATATTGTAGGTTGCCTGTTCACTCTGATGGTAGTTTCTTTTGCTGTGCAGAAGCTCTTTAGTTTAATTAGATCCCATTTGTCAATTTTGGCTTTTGTTGCCATTGCTTTTGGTGTTTTAGACATGAAGTCCTTGCCCATGCCTATGTCCTGAATGGTAATGCCTAGGTTTTCTTCTAGGGTTTTTATGGTTTTGGTCTAACGTTTAAGTCTTTAATCCATCTTGAATTGATTTTTGTATAAGGTGTAAGGAAGGGATCCAGTTTCAGCTTTCTACATATGGCTAGCCAGTTTTCCCAGCACCATTTATTAAATAAGGAATGCTTTCCCCATTGCTTGTTTTTCTTAGGTTTGTCAAAGATCAGATAGTTGTAGATTTGCGGTGTTATTTCTGAGGGCTCTGTTCTGTTCCATTGATCTTTATCTCTGTTTTGGTACCAGTACCATGCTGTTTTGGTTACTGTAGCCTTGTAGTATAGTTTGAAGTCAGGTAGAGTGATGCCTCCAGCTTTGTTCTTTTGGCTTAGGGTTGACTTGGCGATGTGGGCTCTTTTTTGGTTCCATATGAACTTTAAAGTAGTTTTTTCCAATTCTGTGAAGAAAGACATTGGTAGCTTGATGGGGATGACATTGAGTCTGTAAATTACCTTGGGCAGTATGGCCATTTTCACGATATTGATTCTTCCTACCCATGAGCATGGAATGTTCTTCCATTTGTTTGTATCCTCTTTTATTTCCTTGGGCAGTGGTTTGTAGTTCTCCTTGAAGAGGTCCTTCACATCCCTTGTAAGTTGGATTCCTAGGTATTTTATTCTCTTTGAAGCAATTGTGAATGGGAGTTCATTCATGATTTGGCTCTCTGTCTGTTGTTGGTGTATAAGAATGCTTGTGATTTTTGTACATTGATTTTGTATCCTGAGACTTAGCTGAAGTTGCTTATCAGCTTAAGGAGATTTTGGCCTGAGACAATGGGCTTTTCTAGATATACAATCATGTCATCTGCAAACAGGGAGAATTTGACTTCCTCTTTTCCTAATTGAATACCCTTTATTTCATTCTCCTGCCTAATTGCCCTGGCCAGAACTTCCAACACTATGTTGAATAGGAGTGGTGAGAGAGGGCATCCCTGTCTTGTGCTAGTTTTCAAAGGGAATGCTTCCAGTTTTTGCCCATTCAGTATGATATTGGCTGTGGGTTTGTCATAGATAGCTCTTATTATTTTGAAATACTTCCCATCAATACCTAATTTATTGAGAATTTTTAGCATGAAGGGTTGTTGAATTTTGTCAAAGGCCTTTTCTGCATCTATTGAGATAATCATGTGGTTTTTGTCTTTGGCTTTGTTTATATGCTGGATTACATTTATTGATTTGCATATATTGAAGCAGCCTTGCATCCCAGGGATGAAGCCCACTTGATCATGGTGGATAAGCTTTTTGATGTGCTGCTGGATTCTGTTTGCCAGTATTTTATTGAGGATTTTTGCATCAATGTTCATCAAGGATATTGGTCTAAAATTCTCTTTTTTGGTTGTGTCTCTGCCTGGCTTTGGTATCAGAATGATGCTGGCCTCATAAAATGAGTTAGGGAGGATTCCCTCTTTTTCTATTGATTGGAATAGTTTCAGAAGGAATGGTACCAGTTCCTCCTTGTACCTCTGGTAGAATTTGGCTGTGAATCCATCTGGTCCTGGACTCTTTTTGATTGGTAAACTATTGATTATTGCCACAATTTCAGCTCCTGTTATTGGTCTATTCAGAGATTCAACTTCTTCCTGGTTTAGTCTTGGGAGAGTGTATGTGTCCAGGAATTTATCCATTTCTTCTGGATTTTCTAGTTTATTTGCGTAGAGGTGTTTGTAGTATTCCCTGATGGCAGTTTGTATTACTGTGGGATCGGTGGTGATATCCCCTTTATCATTTTTTATTGTGTCTATTTGATTCTTCTCTCTTTTTTCTTTATTAGTTTTGCTAGCGGTCTATCAATTTTGTTGATCCTTTCAAAAAACCAGCTCCTGGATTCATTAATTTTTCGAAGGGTTTTTTGTGTCTCTATTTCCTTCAGTTCTGCTCTGATTTTAGTTATTTCTTGCCTTCTGCTAGCGTTTGAATGTGTTTGCTCTTGCTTTTCTCGTTCTTTCAATTGTGATGTTAGGGTGTCAATTTTGGATCTTTCCTGCTTTCTCTTGTGGGCATTTAGTGCTATAAATTTCTCTCTACACACTGTTTTGAATGTGTCCCAGAGATTCTGGTATGTTGTGTCTTTGTTCTCATTGGTTTCAAAGAACATCTTTATTTCTGCCTTCATTTCGTTATGTATCCAGCAGTCATTCAGGAGCAGGTTGTTCAGTTTCCATGTAGTTGAGCGGTTTTGAGTGAGATTCTTAATCCTGAGTTCTAGTTTGATTGCACTGTGGTCTGAGAGATAGTTTGTTATAATTTCTGTTCTTTTACATTTGCTGAGGAGAGCTTTACTTGCCAGTATGTGGTCAATTTTGGAATAGGTGTGATGTGGTGCTAAAAAAATGTATATTCTGTTGATTTGGGGTGGAGAGTTCTGTAGATGTCTATTAGCTCTGCTTGGTGCAGAGCTGAGTTCAATTCCTGGGTATCCTTGTTGACTTTCTGTCTCGTTGATCTGTCTAATGTTGACAGTGGGGTGTTAAAGTCTCCCATTATTATTGTGTGGGAGTCTAAGTCTCTTTGTAGGTCACTCAGGACTTGCTTTATGAATCTTGGTGCTCCTTTATTGGGTGCATATATATTTAGGATAGTTAGCTCTTCTTGTTGAATTGATCCCTTTACCATTATGTAATGGCCTTCTTTGTCTCTTTTGATCTTTGTTGGTTTAAAGTCTGTTTTATCAGAGACTAGGATTGCAACCCCTGCCTTTTCTTGTTTTCCATTGGCTTGGTAGATCTTCCTCCATCCTTTTATTTTGAGCCTATGTGTGTCTCTGCACGTGAGATGGGTTTCCTGAATACAGCACACTGATGGGTCTTGACTCTTTATCCAATTTACCAGTCTGTGTCTTTTAATTGGAGCATTTAGCCCATTTACATTTAAAGTTAATATTGTTATGTGTGAATTTGATTCTGTCATTACGATGTTAACTGGTTATTTTGCTCGTTAGTTGATGCAGTTTCTTCCTAGTCTCGATGGTCTTTACATTTTGGCATGATTTTGCAGTGGCTGGTACCGGTTGTTCTTTTCCATGTTTAGTGCTTCCTTCAGGAGCTCTTGTAAGGCAGGCCTGGTGGTGACAAAATCTCTCAGCATTTGCTTGTCTGTAAAGGATTTTATTTCTCCTTCACTTATGAAGCTTAGTTTGGCTGGATATGAAATTCTGGGTTGAAAATTCTTTTCTTTAAGAATGTTGAATATTGGCCCCCACTCTCTTCTGGCTTGTAGGGTTTCTGCCAAGAGATCCGCTGTTAGTCTGATGGGCTTCCCTTTGAGGGTAACCCGACCTTTCTCTCTGGCTGCCCTTAACAGTTTTTCCTTCATTTCAACTTTGGTGAATCTGACAATTATGTGTCTTGGAGTTGCTCTTCTCGAGGAGTATCTTTGTGGCATTCTCTGTATTTCCTGAATCTGAACGTTGGCCTGCCTTGCTAGATTGGGGAAGTTCTCCTGGATAATATCCTGCAGAGTGTTTTCCAACTTGGTTCCATTCTCCGCATCACTTTCAGGTACACCAATCAGACGTAGATTTCGTCTTTTCACATAGTCCCATATTTCTTGGAGGCTTTGCTTGTTTCTTTTTATTCTTTTTTCTCTAGACTTCCCTTCTCACTTCATTTCATTCATTTCATCTGCCATTGCTGATACCCTTTCTTCCAGTTGATTGCATCGGCTCCTGAGGTTTCTGCATCCTTCACGTAGTTCTCGAGCCTTGGTTTTCATCTCCATCAGCTCCTTTAAGCACTTCTGTGTATTGGTTATTCTAGTTATACATTCTTCTAATTTTTTTTCGAAGTTTTCAACTTCTTTACCTTTGGTTTGAATGTCCTCCCGTAGCTCAGAGTAATTTGATCGTCTGAAGCCTTCTTTTCTCAGCTCGTCAAAGTCATTCTCCATCCAGCTTTGTTCCATTGCTGGTGAGGAACTGCGTTCCTTTGGAGGAGGAGAGGCACTCTGCTTTTTAGAGTTTCCAGTTTTTCTGTTTTGTTTTTTCCCCATCTTTGTGGTTTTATCTACTTTTGGTCTTTGATGATGGTGATGTACAGATGGGTTTTTGGTGTGGATGTCCTTTCTGTTTGTTAGTTTTCCTTCTAACAGAGAGGACCTTCAGCTGCAGGTCTGTTGGAGTACCCTGCCGTTTGAGGTGTCAGTGTGCCCCTGCTGGGGGGTGCCTCCCAGTTAGGCTGCTCGGGGGTCAGGGGTCAGGGACCTACTTGAGGAGGCAGTCTGCCCCTTCTCAGACCTCCAGCTGCATGCTGGGAGAACCACTGCTCTCTTCAAAGCTGTCAGACAGGGACATTTAAGTCTGCAGAGGTTACTGCTGTCTTTTTGTTTGTCTGTGTCCTGCCCCCAGAGGTGGAGCCTACAGAGGCAGGCAGGCCTCCTTGAGCTGTGGTGGGCTCCACCCAGTTCGAGCTTCCCAGCTGCTTTGTTTACCTAAGCAAGCCTGGGCAATGGTGGGCGGCCCTCCCCCAGACTAGCTGCCGCCCTGCAGTTTGATCTCAGCCTGCTGTGCTAGCAATCAGCAAGACTCCGTGGGCATAGGACCCTCCGAGCCAGGTGCGGGATATAATCTCGCGGTGCGCCGTTTTTTAAGCCCATCGGAAAAGTGCAGTATTAGGGGGGGAGTGACCCGATTTTCCAGGTGCCGTCTGTCACCCCTTTCTTTGACTCAGAAAGGGAACTCCCTGACCCTTTGTGCTTCCCAGGTGAGGCAATGCCTCGCCCTGCTTCAGCTCGCACATGGTGCACGCACCCACTGGCCTGTGCCCACTGTCTAGCACTCCCTAGTGAGATGAACTCAGCACCTCAGATGGAAATGCAGAAATCACCCATCTTCTTCATCACTCACACTGGGATCTGTAGACCGGAGCTGTTCCTATTCGGCCATCTTGGCTCCTCTCTCTGGAAACACGGTTTTCATCCATTCTACCAAACAACATTTGGGAGCTCATTGATGCCAATGGTGAAAAAACAAATATTCCCGTATAAAACTAGAAGGAAGCTATCTGAGATACCACTTTGTAATGTGTGCATTCACGCCACAGTTAAACCTTTCTTTTTATTCAGTAGTTTGGAAAAACTTATTTTTGTAGAATCTGTGAAGGCATATTTAGGAGAATGTTGAGGACTATGGTGAAAAAGAAAGTATCTTCTGATAAAAAATAGAAAGAAACTTTCTGAGAAACTTCTTTGTGATGTCTGCAATCATCTAACTTAGGTAAAACTTTCTGCTGATTCAGCAGTTTAGAAACACCCTTTTGTAGATTCTGCGAGGGGATGTTTGGGAGCACATTGAAGCTAAAGGTGAAAAAGGAAATTTCTACAGATAAAAACTAGAAAGAAGCCTTCTGAGATACTGCTTTGTGATGTGTGCATTCAGCTCTCAGAATGAAAACTTTCTTTTGATTCTGCATTTTGGAAACACTATTTTGACCATTCTGCAAATGGACAATTGTGAGCTCATTGACGCCAAAGGCAAAAAGGCAAATATCCCAGGATAATAAATAGAAGAAAGCTAACAAAGAAACCACTTTGGGACGTGTGAATTCGTGTGGCAGAATTAAATTTTTCTGTTCATTCAGCAGTTTGGAAACAATGTTTTTGTAGAGTCTGTGAAAGGATATTTAGGAGTGCACTAAGGTTTATGGTGAAAAGGGAACCATATTCAGATAAAAACTAGAAAGA
This sequence comes from Homo sapiens, assembly GCF_000001405.40. Lineage (NCBI taxonomy): Eukaryota > Metazoa > Chordata > Mammalia > Primates > Hominidae > Homo > Homo sapiens. The sequence continues at coordinate 54,946,182 of NC_000011.10, read as the reverse complement.
AGCTATCTGAGAAGCTGCTTTTTGTTGTGTGCATTCGTATCTCAGAATTAAACCTTTCTTTGGATTCAGCAGTATTGAAAACCTGTTTTTGTCCATTCTGCGAATGGACAATTTGGGGCTCATTGAGAACAATGGTGAAACAGTGATTATCCCAGGATAAAAACTAGAAGGAACCTACCTGAGAAACCACTTTCTGATGTGTGCATTCATCTAGCAGAGCAAAACCTTTCTTTACATTCATCGGTTTGGAAACACTGTATTTCTAGAATCTGCCAAGGGATATTAGGAATGCATTGAGGCCTGTGGTGAAAAAAGAAACACCTTCAGATAAACCTAAAAAGAATCTTTTAGGGAAACTGCTTTGTGATGGGTGCACTCAACTCACAGAGTTAAACCTTTCTTTTGATTCAATAGTGTTAAAACACTGTTTTTATCTATTATGTGAATGGACATTTGGGAGCTCATTGAGACAAATGGAGAAAAAGTGAATATCCCTGGATATAAACTAGGGGGAACATATCTGAAATAGTGCTTTGTGATACGTGCATTCGTCTTTCAGAGTTAAAATTGATTTTATTTCTACAGTTTGAAAACACTGTTGTTGTCTATTCTGCCAATGGACATTTGGGAGCTCTTTGAGGCCAATTTTGAAAAAGCAAGTATACCAGCATAAAAACTAGAAGGAAGCACACTGGGAAACTGCTTGGTGATGTGTGCATTCATCTCATGGAGCTAAACCTTTCCTTTCAATCACCAGTTTTGAAACACCGTTTTTGTAGAATCTGAGGGGGAGTATTTGGGAGCACATTGATTCCTAATGAGAAAAGGGAAATATCTTCAGATAAAAACTAGAAATAAAGTTTCTGAGACACTGCTTTGTGATGTGTGCACTCATCTCACAGACTTAAACCTTTCTTTTGATTCAGCAGTTTGGAGACACCGTTTTTGTCCTTTCTGCAAATGGATATTTCAGAGCTCATTGACGTGAATAGCAAAAAAGTGAATATCCCAGGATAAAAACAAGAAGGAAGCTACCTGAGAAACCGCTATGGGATGTCAGCATTCACTTCACAGATGTAAACTTTTCTATACATTCAGCAGTGTGGAAGCACACTTGTAGAATCAGGAAACGTTATTTAGGAATGTATTGAGATCTATGGTGAAAGAGAAAATACCTTCAGATAAAAACTAGATAGAAGCATTCTGAGAAACAGCTTTGTGATGTGTGCATTCATCTCGGAGAGTTAAACATTCATTTATATTCAGCAGTTTGAAAACACTGTTTTTTTAGTGATTGCAAAGGGACATTTGGGAGCATATTGGGGCCTATGGTGAAAAAGGAAATATCTTCAGATAAATACTAGAAAGAAGCTTTCTGAGAAACTTCTTTGAGATGTATGCATTCATCTCACAGAGTTCAAAATTTCTTTGGGTTCACCAATTTGGAAACACTGTTATTGTAGAATCTGTGAAGGGATATTTGGGAGCTCATTGAGGCCAATGATGAAAACGCAAATATCCCAGGATAAAAACTGGAAAGAAGCTATCTGAGAAACCACTTAGTGATGTTTGCATTCACCTCACAGAGATAAAGCTTTCTTTTATTCAGAAATCAGGAAACACTGTTTTGACAGAATCCCAAAAGGGATATTTTGGAATGCATTTAGCCCTATGGTGAAAAAGAACATATCTTCAGATAAAATCTAGAAAGAAGCTTTCAGAGAAACTACCCTGTGATGTATGCATTCATCTCACAGAGTTAAAACTTTCTGTGGATTCAGCATTTTGTAAACACTGTTTTTATCCATTCTGCAAATGTGCATTTGAGAGCTCATTGAGCCAATGGAAAAAGTGAATATCCCAGGACAAAAACTAGAAGGAAGCTCTTTGTGAAACCACTTTGTGATGTGTGCATTCATCTGGCAGAATTAAACCTTTCATTTCATTCAGCAGTTTCAAAACACTGTTTTCAAATATCTGCGAAGTGATATTTGGGAGTGCATTTAGGCCTATGGTGAAAAGGAAATCTCTTCAGATAAAAACTAGAAAGAAGCTTTCTGAGAGTCTGCTCTGGGATATCAGCATTCATCTCACAGAGTTAAAACTTTATTTGGATTCAGCAGTTTGCAAACACTGTTTTTGTCCATTAGGCCAATGGACAATTTGGTGCTCATGGAGACCAGAGGCAAAAAAGTGAACATCCATGCATAAAAACTGAAAGGAAACTATCTTAGAAACCTCTTTGTGATGTGTGAATTCACCTCGCAGAGATAACCTTTCTTTTCATTCAGCAGTCTGGAAACACTGTTTTTGTAAAATCCTCCATGGGATATATGGGAGTGCATTGAGGCCTATGAGAAAAAGAAAATATATTTAGATACAAAATAGAAAGATGCTTTCTGAGAAACTGCTTAGTTATGCATGCATTCATCTCACAGAGTTAAACCTTTCTTTTCAATCAACAGTTTGGAAACACTGCTTTCGTAGAATCTGCAAAGTGATATCTGGGATCACATTGAGGCTCATGGTGAAAAAGGAAATATCTTCAGATAAAAACTAGAAAGAAGCTCTCTGAGAATCCGCTTTGTGATGTGTGCATTCATCTCACAGGGTTAATCCTTTCTGTGGATTCAGCCATTTGCTAACACTGTTTTTGTCCATTCTGCAAAGGCATATTAGGGAGTGCATTGAGGCCTATGGTGAAAAAGAGAATATCTTCACATAAAAATTAGAAAGAAATTTTCTGAGAAACTGCTTTGTGATGTGTGCATTCATCTCACAGAGTTAAATCTTTCTTTTCACTGGGCTGTTTGGAAACACTGTTGTTTTAGGATCTCTGAAGGGATATTTGAGAACTGATTAAAGCAAATGTCAAAAAAGTGAATACCCAAGGAATAAAACCAGAGGGAAGTAATCTGAGAAACTGCTTTGTGATGTGTGCATTCATCTCACAGAGTTAAAACTTTTTTTTCATTAAGCAGTTTAGAAACACTGTTGTAGAATCTGCAAAGGGGTATCTGGGAACTCATTGAGGCCAAAGGAAAAAAGCAAATATCCCTTTATAAAAACTGGAAGGAAGCTATCTGAGAAACCTCTTTGTGATATGTGCATTCACTTTGCAGAGAAAAACCTTTATTTTCATTCAGCAGTCTAGAAACACTGTTTTTGTCCATTCTGCAAATGGACATTTAGGAGCTCATTGAGGCCAATGACGAATAAGCGAATATCCCATTATCAATATTGGAATTAAGCTATCTGAGAAACCGCTTTTTGATTTGTGCAATCACCTAGCAACCTTAAAACCTTCTTTTCATTCAGTAGTCTGGAAACCCTGTTTTGACACGATATGCCAAGTAGTGATATTTATGATTGCATAGAGGCCTATGGTGAAAAAGGAAATATCTTCAGATAAACACTAGAAAGAAGCTTCCTGGGAAACTGCTTTGTGATATGTGCATTCATCTCACAGAGTTAAACATTTCTTTGGATTTGACAGTTGGAAACACAGTCGTTGTAGAATCTTTTACGGTATATCAGGGAGCTCACTGAGGCCCATGGAGAAAAAGTGAATATTTTCATAGTAACTGCTTTGTGAGGTGAGCATTCACCTCACAGAGTTAAACAATTGGGAGGATTCAGCCGTTTGCATACACGGTTTTTTTCCATTCTGTAAAGGGATATTTGGGAGCACATTGGGGCCTTTGGTAAAAAAGGAAATACATTCATATAAAAATTAGAAAGAAGATTTCTAAGAAACTGCTTTGTGATGTGTGCATTCATCACCCAGAGTTAAACTTTCTTTGGATTCAGCAGTTTGGAAAAACTCTTGTTTTAGAACTTGTGAAGGGATATTTGGGAGCTCATTAAGGTGAATGGTGAAAAAGCCAATTTCCCAGGAAAAAACTAGAGGGAAGCATTCTGAGAAAACGATTTCTGTTATGTGCATTTATCTCACAGAGTTAAATTTTTCTTTGCATTCAGCAGTTTGGTAACACTGTTTTTGTACAATCTGCAAAGGGTTAATTTAGAACTCATTGAGGCCTATAGTGAAAAAGGAAATATCTTCAGATAAAAACTAGAAAGAAGCTTTCTGAGAGACTGCTTTGTGATGTGTGCATTCATCTCACAGAGTTAAACATTTCTGTGGATTCAGAAGTTTGGAAACACTGTTTTTGACCATCTGTGACTGGACATTTGAGAGCTCATTAAAGCCAATAGCGAAAAAGAGAATATCCCAGAATAAAAACTAGAAGGAAGCTATCTGAGAAACTGCTTTAGTGATGTGTGCATTCGTCTCACAGAGTTAAAACTTTCTTTGGATTCATCAGTTTGGAAACTCTGTTGTCATAGAATCTGTGAAGGAATATTTGGGAGCTCATTGAGGTCGATGGCAAAAAAGAGAATATCCCAGGATAAAAATTAGAAGGAAGCTATCTGAGAAACAGCTTTGTGATGTGTGCATTCATCTCACAGGGTTAAACCTTACTTTTCATTAAGCAGTTTGAAAACACTGGTTTCCTAGAATCTGTGAAGGGATATCTGGGAGCACACTGAGGCCTATGTAAGGAAATATTTTCCAATAAAAACTCGAAAGAAGCTTTCCAAAAAACTGCTTTGTGATGTGTGCATTCATCGCACAGAGTTAAAAATTTCTGTGGATTCAGCTGTTTGCAAACACTGTGTTTGTCCATTCTGCAAAAGGACACTTGGGAGCTCATTGAGGCTAATGGTGAGAAAGCGAATATCCCAGGATAAAAACTAGAAGGAAGCAATCTGAGAAACCACTTTGTGATGCATGCATTCATCTAGCAGAGTTAAACCTCTCTTTTCATTCAGCAGTCTGAGAAAACTTTTTTGGCAGAATATAAGAATGGATATCTGGTAGCGCATTGAGGCCTATTGTGAAAAAGGAAATATCTTCAGATAAATCTAGACAGAAGATTTTGAGAAACTGCTTTTTGATGTGTGCATTCATCTTATAGAGTTAAACCTTCCTTTGAATTCCTCAGTTTGGAAACGTTGTTGTCCCAGAATCTGAGAAAGGATATTTGGGAGCTCATTGAGGTAAATGGTGAAAAATTGAATATCCCAGGAAAAAAACTGGAAGAAATCTATCTGACAAACCACTTTGTTATGTGCATTCATCTCGCAGATTTAAAACTTTATTTTTATTCAGCAGTTTGGAAAACCTGTTTTGGCAGAATCCACAAAGGGACATTTTGGAGCTCATTGAGGCTTCTGTTTAAAAAAGGAAATATCTTCAGATAAAAGTAGAAACAAGCTTTCTGAGAAACTGCTTTGTGATATGTGCACTCATCTTGCAGATTTAAATCTTTCTTTTCTTTCAGGACTTTGGGAACAGTGTTTTCATAAAACCTGTGAAGTGATATCTGGGAGCACATTGAGGCCAAAGGTGAAAAAGGAAATATCTTCCAATAAATCTAGAAAGAAGATTTTGAGAAACTGCTTTGTGATGTGTGCATTCATTGCACAGATTTAAACCTTTCTTTAGATTCAGCAGTTTGGAAACACTTTTGTTTCAGAATCTGTGAAGGGATATTTGGGAGCTCATTAAGACAAACAGCCAAAAAGCAAATTACCCAGGAAAAAAACTGGAAGGATGCAATCTGAGAAAATGGTTTGTGATGTGTGCATGTATCTCACAGAGTTAAAACTTCCTTTGCATTCACCAGTTTGGAAACACTGTTTTCATAGAATCTGCGAAGGGATAACACAGAGCTCATTGAGGTCCATGGTGAAAAAGGAAATATCTTCTGATAAAAACTAGAAAGAAGCTTTCTGAGAGACTGCTTTGAGATGTGTGCATTCATCCCACAGAGTTAAATATTTCTGTGTATTCAGCAGCTTAAAACACTGTTTTTGACTATTCTGCCACTGGACATTTTGGAGCTCATCAAAGCCAATGGCAAAAAAGAAAATATCCCAGAATAAAAACTAGAAGGAAGTTATCTGAGAAACTGCTTTGTGATGTGTGCATTAATCTCACAGAGTTAAACCTTTCTTTGGAATCAGCAGTTTGGAAACTGTTGTTGTAGAATCTGTGAAGGGATATTTGGGAGCTCATTGAGGCCTATGTTTAAAAAAGAAGTATCTTCAGATAAAAACCAGAAAGGAGCTTTCTGAGAAACTGCTTTGTGACGTGTGCATTCATCTCACGATTTAAAATTTTCTTTTCGTTCAGGAGTTTGGAAAGAGTTTTTTCATAGAATCTGTTAAGTGTTATAAGGGAATGCATTGAGGCCTATGGTGAAAAAAGAAATATCTTCAGATAAAAACTAGAAAGAAGCTTTTGAGAAACTTATTTTTGATGTGTACATTCATGTGACAAAGTTAAACCTTTCTGAGGATTCAGCTGTTTGCAAGCACTGTTTTTGTCCATTCTGCGAATGGACATTTGGGAGCTCATTGAGGCCAATGGTGAAAAAGTGAATATTCCAGAATAAAAACTAGAGGGATGCAATCTGAGAACCGGCTTTGTGATGCCAGCCGTTTGGAAACACTGTTTTTGTAGAATCTGCAAAAGGACATCTTGGAACACATTGTGGCCTTTGGTGAAAAAGGAAATATCTTCAGGTAAAAACTAGAAAGGAGCTTTCTGAAAAACTGCTTTGTGATGTATGAATTCATCTCACAGAGTTAAGACTTTCTTTGGATTCAGCAGTTTGGAACCACTGTTGTTGTAGCATCTGCTGTTGTAGCATATGAGAAAGTGAATATCCCAGGAAAAAATCTAGAAGGAAGCTCTCTGAGAAAGTGCTTTGTGATGCGTTCATTCATCTCTCACAGATAAACCATTCTTTTCATTCAGCTGTTTGGAAACACTGTTTTCATAGAATCTGCAAAGTGATATCTTGGAGCGCATTGAGGCCCATGATGAAAAATGAAATATCTTCAAATAAAAACTAGAAAGAAGCTTTCTGAGAAACTTCTTTGAGACATGTGCATTCACCTCACATAGTTAAATCTTTCTTTGGATCAGCAGTTTTGAAACACTGTTGTTGCAGAATCTGTGAAGGGATGTGTGGGAGCTCATTGAGACCGATGGTGAAAAAGAGAACATCAAGGATAAAAATTAGAAGGAAGCTATTTGAGATGCCACTTTGAGAAGTCTGCATTAATCCCACAGAGTTAAACTTTTCTTTTCCATCAGCAGTTTGGAAACACTGTTTTTGTAGAATCTACCAAGGGATATCTGAGAGTGCATTGAGTCCTATGGTGGGAAAGGAAATATCTTCAGATAAAAAATAGAAAGAAGTTTTCTAAGAAACTGCTCTGGGATGTGTGCATTCGCCTGACAGAGATAAAATTTTCTGTGAATCCAGCCATTTGCAAACACTGTTTTTGTCCATTCTGCAAATGGACATTTTGGAGCTCATTGAGGCCAATGGTGAAAAAGCAAATATCCCATGATAAAAACTAGAAGGAAGCAATCTGAGAAACCAGTTTGTGCTGTGTGCATTCATCTCACAGAATTAAACCTTTCTTTTCATTCAGCAGTTTGGAAACACTGTTTTCATAGAATCTGCACGGTAACATCTAGGATAGCATTGAGGTCTATAGTGAAAAAGCAAGTACCTTGAGCTAAAAACTAGAAAGAATCTTTGTGAGACACTGCTTTGTGATATACACATTCACCTCAAAGAGTTAAAACTTTCTGTGGATTCAGCAGTTTGCAAACACTGTTTTTGTCCATTCTGAGAATGGGCATTCGCGAGCTCTTTGAGGCCAATGGCAAAAAAGCAAATATCCCAGGATAAAAACCAGAAGGAAGCTATCTGATAAACCTCTTTGTGATGTATGCATTCATCTCGCAGGGTTAAAATCTTCTTTTCATTCAGTCGTCTGTAAACACTGTTTTGGCAAATCCACGAAGGGATATTTAGGAGCACATTGAGGCTTGTGGTGAAAAAGAAGATATCTTCAGATAAAAACTAGAAAGAAAGCTTCTGAGAAACTACTTTGTGATGTGTGCATTCACCTCACAGTGTTAAACCTTTCTGTGGATTCAGCCATTTGCAAACACTGTTTTTGTCCATCTGTGAAGGGAAGCTTGGGAGCTCATTGAGGCCTATGGTGAAAAAGGAAATATATTCACATAAAAATTAGAAAGAAGATTTCTGATAAATTGCTTTCTGATGTCTGCATTCATCTCACAGAGTTAAACCTTTTTTTGGATTCAGCATTTTGGAATCACTGTAGTTTTAGAATCTGTGAAGGGATATTTGGGAGCTCACTGAGGCCAGTGGTGAAAAAGGAAACATCCCAGGATAAAAACTAGAAGGAAGCTATCTGAGAAACTGCTTGGTGATGTGTGCATTCAACTCACAGAGTTAGAATTTTGTTTTCATTCTGCACTCTGGAAACACTGTTTTGGCAGAATCCACAAAGGAATATTTGGGAGCACATTGAGACCCATGGTGAAAAAGGAAATACCTTCGGATAAAAACTAGAAAAAAGCTTCTGAGAGACTGCTTTGTGAGGTGTGTATTCATCTCACAGAGTTAAACCTTCCTTTGGATTCAGCAATTTGGATACACTGTTGTTGCAGATCCTGCAAAGGGATACTTTGGTGCATAATGAGGCCAAAGGCAAGAAAGGGAACATTCCAGCAAAAACACTAGAAGTAAGCTATCTGGGAAACCACTTTGTGATGGGTGCATTCATCTCCCAGAGTTAAACCTTTCTTTTCATTCAGCAGTTTGGAAACACTGTTTTTGTAGAAACTGCACAGTTATATTTGGGAGTGCATTGAAGCCTATGGTGAAAAAGGAAATAATATCTACAGATAAAAACTAGAAAGAAGCTTTCTGAGAAACTGCTTTCTGTTGTGTGCATTCATTTCTCAGAGTAAAACATTTATTTGGTTTCAGCGGTTTGGAAACACTGTTGTTGTAGAATCTGTGAAGGGATATTTAGGAGCTCATTGAAGCCAATGGCAAAAAAAGTGAATATCCCAGGAAAAAAAGTAGAAGGAACATATCTGAGAAACGGCTTTGTGATGTGTGCATTCCTCTCACAGAGTTAAATCTTTCTTTTAATTCAGCAGTTTGGAAACATTGTTTTCATAGAATCTATAAGCAGATATCAGAGAAAGTATTGAGGTCTAAGGTGAAAAAGGAAATATCTTCAGATAAAGACTAGAAAGAAGTTTTCTGAGAAACTCCTTCATGATGTGTGAATTCATTTCACAAAGTTAAACCATTCTGTGGATTCAGCCATTTGCAAACACTGTTTTTGTCCATTCTGCAAATGGACATTTGGGAGCTCATTGAGTCCAATATCGAAAAATCAAATATCCCAGGTGACAACTGGAAGGAAGCTATCTGAGAAACTGCTGTGTATTGTGTGCATTCATCCCACAGAGCTAAGCCTTTTTATGGATTCAGCAGTTTGGAAACTCTGTTGTTGTAGAATCTGCGAAGGGATATTTGGGAGCTCATTGTGGCCAATAGCAAAAAAGCAAATACCCAAGGATAAATACTAGAAGGAAGCTATCTAAGAAACCACTTTGTGATGTGTGCATGCATTTCTCAGAGCTAATCCTTTCTTTTCATTCAGCAGTTTGGAAACTCTAATTTCATAGAATGTGCAAGGTGATAACTTTGAGCCCATTGAGGCCTATGATGAAAAAGGAAATATCTCAGATTAAAACTAGAAAAAAGCTTTCTGAGAAACTGCTTTGAGATGTGTGCGTTCATCTCATAGAGTTAAACCTTTTTTTGGATACAGCAGATTGAAAACACTGTTGTTGTGCATTCTGCGAATGGATATTTGGGAGTTTATTTAGGCCATTGGTGAAAAAGTGATTGTCCCAGGATAAAAAGTAGAAGGAAGCTAGCTGAGAACCCAGCTTGTGATGTGTGCATTCATCTCACAGAGTTAAACCTTTCTTTTCATTCAGCAGTTTGGAAACACTGCTCTTATAGTATCTATGAAGGGATATCTGGGAGCGTATTTGAAGCCTATGGTGAAAAAGACAATATCTTCAGATAAAAACTAGATAGAAGCTTTCTGAGAAACTGCTTTGTGATGTGTGTATTCATCTGACAGAGTTAAAACTTTCTGTGGATTCAGCAGTTTGCAAGCACTGTTTTCGTCCATTCTGCAAATGGACATTTATGAGCTCACTAGGACCAATGGCAAAAATGTGAAAATTCCAGGATAAAAACTAGAAGGAAGCAATCTGAGAAACAGCTTTGTGATGTCTGCATTCACTTCACAGAGTTAAAATCTTCTTTTAATTCTGCAGTCTGGAAACAGAGTTTTGACAACATCCGCAAAGGGATATTTTGGAGTGCATCGAGGCCTATGGTGAAAAAGGAAATATCTTCACATAAATCTAGAAAGAAGCTTTTGAGAAACTGCTTTGTGATGTGTGCATTCATATCTCACAGAGTTAAACCTTTCTTTGGTATCAGCAGTTTGGAAACACTGTTGTTGTAGAATCTGTGAAGGGATATTTGGGAGCTTAATGAGGCCAAAAGTGAGAAAAAAAATATACCAGGAAAAATTTGAGAAGAAATCTATCTGGGAAACTGCTTTGTGACATGAACATCTGCTTCACAGAGTTAAAATTTTCTTTTCATTCAGCCGTCTGGAAAAAATGTTTTGGCAGAATCTGTGAAGGGATATTTGGGAGTGCATTGAGGTCTATGATGAAAACAGGAAATATCAGATAAAAATTAGACAGAAGCTTTCTGAGAAACTGCTTTGTGATGTGTGCATTCATCTCAGAGAGTTAAACCTTTCTTTAGATTCAGCAGTTTGGAAACTCTGTTGTTGTAGGATCTGCAAAGGGGAATTTGGGAGCTTAATGAGTCCAAATGTGAGAAATTGAATATCCCAGGAAAAAACTAGAAGGAAGCTATCTGAGAACCCGTTTTGTGATGTGTGCATTCATCTCTCAGAGATAAATCTTTTCTTTCATTCAGCAGTTTGGAAACACTATTTTCATAGAATCTGTGAAGTGATATTTGGGAGTGCTTTGAGGCCTATGATGAAAAAGGAAAAATCTTCAGATAAAAAATAGAAAGAAGTTTATTGAAAAACTTCTTTGAGTTGTGTGCATTAATCTAACAGAGTTAAACCTTTCTTTTGATACAGTGCATTGAAAACATTATTGTCCATTCTGCAAATGGACAGTTGGGAGCTCATAGAAGCCAATGACGATAGAGTGAATATCCTAGGATACAAGCTAGAAGGAAGCTATCTGAGAAACTGCTTTGTGATGTGTGCATTCGTCTCGAAGAGTTAAAATCTTATTTTCATCTGACAGGCTAGAAACACTATTTTGGCAGAATCCATGATGGGATATTTGGGAGTGGTTTAAGGCCTATGTTGAAAAAGGTAATATCCTCAGATAAAAACTAGAAAGAAGCTTTCTAAAAAACTTCTTTGTGATGTGTGCATTCACCTTGAAGAGATAAACTTTTCTTTTCATTCAGCAGTCTGGAAACACTGTTTTGACAGGATACGTGAGGAGAAAATTGGGAGCGCATACATGCCTTTGTTGAAAAAAAAATTTCAGATAAAAACTAGAATGAAGCTTTCTGAGAAACTGCTTTTTGAGGTGTGCATTCATCTCATAGATTTAAACATTTCTTTGAAATCAGCAGTTTGGAAACAGTGTTGTTGTAGAATCTGCGAAAGGATGTTTGGGAGCTCATTTAGGTCACTGGTGAAAAAGAAAATATCCCAGGATAAATACTAGAAGAAAGCTATCTGACAAACCACTTTGTGATGTGTGCATTTACCTCACAGAGTTAAAACTTTCTTTTCATTCAGCAGTCTGGAAAAACTGTTTTGGTAGAATATGCAAAGGAATGTTTGGAGTTCATTCAGGACTATGGTGAAAAAGGAAATATCTTCAGATAAAACTAGAAATACACTTACTGAGAAATTACATTGTGATGTGTGCATTCATCTCATAGAGTAAAACTTTCTTTTCATTCAGCAGTTTGGAAACACTGTTTTTATAGAATCTGCAAAGGGATATCTCAAAGCGCATAGTGGCCTATGGTGAAAAAGGAAATATCTTCAGATAAAAACTAGAAAGAAGATTTCTGAAAAACTGCTTTGTGATGTGTGCATTCATCTCATAGAGCTAAACCTTTCTGTGGATTCAGTCGTTTGCAACACTGTTTTTTTCCATTCTGTGAAAGGATATTTGGGAGCTCATTGAAGCCTATGGTTTAAAAGGAAATATCTTCATGTAAAAATTAGAAAGAAGGTTTCTGAGAAACTGCTTTGTGATGCGTGTATTCATCTCACAGGGTTAAACCTTTCTGTGGATTCAGCAGTTTGGAACCCCTGTAGTTTTAGAATCTGCGAATTGATATTTGAGAGCTCATTAAGGTGAATGGCAAAAAAGGAAACACCCGAGGAAAAAAAGTAGAAGGAAACAATCTGAGAAACAGCTTTGTGATGTGTGCATTCATCTCACAGAGTTAAAACATGCTTTTCATTCAGCCATTTGGAAACACTGTTTTTGTAGAATCTGAGAACTGATATCTGGGAGCACATAGAGGCCTATGGTGAAAATGGGAATATCTTCAGATAAAAACTAGAAAGTAACTTTCTGACAAAGTGCTTTGCGATGTGTGCATTCATCTCACAGAGTTAAACCATTCTTTGGATTCAGCTGTTTGGAAGCACTGTTGTTGTAGAATATGAGAAGGGATATTTGGGAGCTCATTTATGCTAATGGCAAAAAGTGAACATCCCAGGAGAAAAACTAGAAGGAAGCTATCTGAGAAACTGCTTTGTGATGTGTGCATTCACCTCACAGAGTTAAATATTTCTTTTCATTCAGCAGTCTGGAAACACTGTTTTGGCAGAATCTGCAAAGAGATATTTGGGAGCACATTGAGGCCTATGGTGAAAAAGGAAATACCTTCAGATGAAAAATAGAAAGAAGCTTTCTGAGAAACTGCTTGGTGATGTGTGCATTCATCTCACAGAGCTAAAACTATCTTTGTATTCAGCAGTTTGGAAACACTGTGGTTGCAGATCAGTGAAGGAATAATTGGGTGCTTAATGAGGCCAAAGTATAGAAAGTGAATATCCCAAGAAAAAAAACTAGAAGGAAGCTCTCTGATAAACTGCTTTTTGATGGGTGCATTCATCTCTCAGAGTTAGGCCTTCTTTTCATTCAGCAGTTTGGAAACACTGTTTTTCTAAAATATGCACAGTTATATTTGGGAGCGATTTGAGGCCAATGGTGAAAAAGGAAGTATCTTCAGATAAAAACTAGAAAGAAACTTTCTGAGAAACTGCTTTCTGATGTGTACATTCATTTCACAGAGTGAAACATTTCTTTTGATTCGGCAGTTTGGAAACAATGTTGTTGTAGAATTTGTTAAAGGATATTTAGGAACTCTTTGAGGTCAATGGCGAAAAAGCGAATATCCCAATATAAAAACTAGAATGAAGGTATTTGAGAAATTGCTTCATGATGTGTTCATTCACCTAACAAAATTAAACCTTTCTTTTCAATTAGCAGTTTGTAAACCCTGTTTTCTGAGTATCTGCGAAGTGATATCTGTTAGTGTAATGAGGCCTACGGTGAAAAAGGAAATACCTTCAGAAGAAAACTAGAAAGAAGCTTTCTGATAAACTGCTTTGTGATGTGTGCATTCATCTCACAGAATTCAACCTTTCTGTGTATTTCATAGTTTGCAAACACTGTTTTTGTCCATTCTGTGAATTGACATTTGGGAGCTCTTTGAGGTCAATGGCGAAAAAGTGAATCTCCCAGGATAAAAACTAGAAGGAAGCTATTTGATAAACTGCTTTGTGATATGTGCATTCATCTCACAGAGTTAAACCTTTCTTTTCATTCAGCAGTTTGGAAACACTGTTTTCATAGTGTCTATGAAGGGATATCTGGGAGCACATTGAGGCTTATGGTGAAAAAGGAAATATCTTCAGATAAAAACTAGAAAGAAGTTTTCTGAGAAACTGCTTGTGATATATACATTCACCTCACAGAGATAAATATTTCTGTGGCTTCAGCAGCTTGCAAACAGTTTTTATCCCTTCTGCGATTGGACATTTGAGAGCTCAATGAGGCCAATGGTGAAAAATTGAATATCCCAGGATCAAAACTAGAAGGAAGCTATATGGACAATTGATTTTGATGTGTGCATTCTTCTCACAGAGTGAAAACCTTCTTTTCATTCAGCAGTCTGGAAACAGTGTTTTGGCAGTATCCATGAAGACATATTTAGGAACGTATTGAGACCTATGGTGAAAAATGATATATCTTCTGAGGAAAACTAGAAAGAAACTTTCTGAGAAACTGCATTGTTATCTGTGCATTCATATCACAGATTTAAACCTTTCTGTGGATTCAGTAGTTGGCAACCACTCTTGTAGAATCTGCAAATGGACCTTTGGGAGCTTATTGAGGCCAATCACAAAAAAGGGAATATCCCAGGATAAAAACTAGAAAGGAGCTATCTGAATAAATGCTTTGTGATGTGTGCATTCACCTCATAATGTTAAAAAGGTTCTATTCATACAGAAGTCTGGAAACACTGTCTTGACAGTAGCAGCAAAGGGATATTTTGAGCACATTGAGACCTATGGTGAAAAAGGAAATATCTTCAGATAAAAACCATAAGGAAGCTCTCTGAGAAACTGCTTTATGACGTGTGCATTCATTTCACAGAGTTAAACCTTTCTTTGGAATCAGCAATTTGAAAATAGTGTTGTTGTAGAATATGCAAAGGGATATTACAGAGCTCATTGAGACCAAAGGCAAAAAGTGAATATTCCAGGATAAAAACTATAAGGAAACTATATGAGAAACAGCTTTTTGGTGTGTGCATTCATCTAACAGAGTTTAATCTTTCTTTTCATTCAGCAATTTGGGAACAGTGTTTTCTTAGTATCTGCAAAGGGATATCTGGGAGTGCATTGAGATGTATGGTGAAGAAGGAGTCTGGCTGTGGTGGCTCACACCTGTAATCCCAGCTCTTTTGGAGACCAAGGCAGGAGGGTCACGAGGTCAGGATATCAAGACCATCCTGGCTAACAAAGTGAAACCCCATCTCTACTAAAAACAGAAAAAATTATCCAGGCATGGTGGCAGGCACTTGCAGTCCCAGCTACATGTCAGGCTGAGGCAAAAGAATGGCATGAACTGGGGAGGCAGAGCTTGCATAGAGCCGAGATCATCCCCTGCACTCCAGCCTGGGTGTCAGAGTGAGACTCCATCTCCAAAAAGAAAAAAAAAACAAAAGGAAATATCTTCAGATAAACACTAGAAAGAAGCTTTTGAGGAAACTGCTTTGTGATCTTTGCATTCATATCACAGATTTACAACTTTCTGTGGATTCAGCAGTTTGCAAACACTGTTGTAGAACCTGTGAATGGATATATGGGATATTATTGAGGCCAATGGTGAAAAACAGAATATCCCAGGATAAAAACTAGTAAGAAGATATCTGAGTAACTGCTTTGTGATGTGTGCATTCACCTCAAAGAGTTAAAACATTCTTTCCCAACAGCAGTCTGGAAACACTGCATTGGCAGAATCTGCAAAGTGATATTTGGGAGAGCATAGATGCCTAAGGTGAAAAAGGAAATATGCTCAGATGAAAATTAGAAAGAATCTTTCTGAGAAACTGCTTTGTGATGTGTGCATTTATCTCACAGAGTTAAACATTTCTCTGGATTCAGCAGTTTGCAAACGCTGTTTTTTTCCATTTTGTGAATGAACATTTGGGAGCTCATCGGGACCGATGGTGAAAAAGAGAATGTCCAGGATAAAAACTAGAATTAAGCTATTTGAGAAACTGCTCTGTGATGTGTGCGTTCACCCTGCAGAGTTAAAATATTCTTTTTCAACAGCAGTCAGGAAACACTGTTTTGGCAGAAACTGTGAAGGGATACTTGGGAGTGCATTGAGGCCTATGGTGAAAAAGGAAATATCTTCAGATAAAAACTAGAAAGAAGCATTCTGAGAAACAGCTTTGTGATGTGTGCACTCATCTCACAGAGTTAAATCTGTTTTTTGATTCAGCAATTTGGAAACACTGTTGTTATAGAATCTGCAGATGGACATTTGGGAGCTCTTTGAGGTGAATGGCAAAAAGGCACATATCTCAGTTTAAAAACTAGAAGGAATCTATGTGAGAAACGGCTTTGTGATGTGTGCATTCATCTCGCAGAGTTAAACTTTTCTTTTAACACAGCAGTCTGGAAACATTGTTTTCATAGTATCTGCATAGGGATATAAAGGAACACATTGAAGCCTATGGTGAAAAAGGAAATGTCTTCAGATAAAAACGAGAAAGAATCTTTCTGAAAAACTGCTTTCTGGCGTGTGCATTCATTTCATAGAGTGAAACATTTCTTTGGATTCAGCAGTTTGGAAACACTGTTGTTGTAGAATCTGCAAAAGGATATTTGGGATCTCTTTGAGGTCAATTGTGAACAAGTGAATATCCCAACATAAAAACTAGAATGAAGGTATTTGAGAAACTGCTCTGTGATGTGTGTATTCATCTTGCAAAATTAAATGTTTCTTTTCATTCAGCAGTTTGCAAACACTGTTTTCCTAGAATCTGCCAAGTGATATATGGTAGCGCTTTGAAGCCTATGGTGAAAAAGAAAATATCTTCAGAAAAAACTAAAAGAAGCTTTCTGAGAAACTGCTTTGTGACGTGTGCATTCACCTCACAGAGTTAAACCATCAGTGGATTCAGCAGTTGGAAAACACTGTTGTTGCAGAATCCACAAAGGAATATTTGGGAGCTCTTTGAGACCAATGGCCAAAAAGTCAGTATCCAAGGACAAAAACTAGAAGGAAGCCCTCTGAGAAACAGCTTTGTGATGTGTGCATTCCACTCACAGAGTAAAACTTGCTTTTCATTCAGTAATCTGGAAACACTGTTCTGGCAGAATCCCCGAAGGGATATTTTGGTGTGCAATGAGGCCTATGGTGTAAAAGGAAATATCTTCAGACAAAAACTAGAAAGAAGCTTTCTGAGAAACTGCTTTCTCATGTGTACATTCATCTCACAGAGTTAAACCATTCTGTGGATTCAACAGTTTGCAAACACTGTTTTTTGTACTTTCTGCAAATGGACATTTGGGAGCTCATTGATGTCAATGGCAAAAAAGCAAATTTCCCAGGATAAAAAATAAGAAGGAAGCTATTTTAGAAACATCTTTGTGATGTATGCATTCTTCTCATAGAAATAACACTTTCTGTGGAATCAACAGTTTGGAAACACTGTTTTTGTCCATTCTGTGAATGGACATTTTGGAGCTCATTGAGGCCAAAGGCGAAAAAGCAAATATCCCAGGATAAAAACTAGAAAGAAGCTATCTGAGAAATCTCTTTGTGATGTGTGCATTCACCTTGCAGAGGTAAAACTTTCTTTTCACACTTATGTCTGGAAACACTGTTTTGGCAGAATCCACGAAGAGATATTTGGGAGCGCATTGAGGCTGATGGTAAAAAAGGAAACATCTTCAGATAAAAAGTAGAAAGAAGCATTCTGGGAAACCGCTTTGTGATGTGTGCATTCATCTCACAGAATTAAACCTTTATTTTGATTCAGAAGTTTGGAAATACTGTTGTTGTCGAATCGGTGAAGGGATATTTGAGAGCTCATTTAGGCCAGTGGCATAAAAGTGAATATTCCTGGATAAAAACTAGAAGGAAGCTATCTGAGGAACAGCTTTGTGATGTATGCATTCACCTTGCAGAAGTAAAACTTACTTTTCATTCAGCAATCTGGAAACACTGTTCTGGCAGAATCCCCAAAGGGATACTTGGGAGCACATTGGGGCCTATGTTGAAAAAGGAAATATCTTCAGATAAAAACTATAATGAAGCTTTCTGAGAAACAGCTTTGTGATATGTGCATCCGTCTCAAGGAGTTAAATCTTTCTTTGGGTTCAGCATTTTGGAAACACTGTTGTTGTGGAATCTGTGAAGGGATATGCTGGAGCTCATTGAGGTCAGTGGTGAAGGAGGGAATATCACAGGACAAAAACTAGAAGAAAGCTCTTTGAGAAACTGGTTTGTGATGTGTGCATTCATTTTGCAGAGTTAAACCTTTCTTTTCATTGAGCAGTTTGGAAACACTGTTTTTTTCTAATCTGCGAAGTGATATTTGGGAGTGCTTTGAGGAATATGGTGAAAAAGGATGTATCTTCAGAAAAAAAAAACTAGAAAGAGTCTTTCTGAGAAACTTCTCTGGGATGTGTCCATTCACCTCACAGAGTTAAACCATTCTGCAGAATCAGCAATTTGAAAACACTGTTGTTGTAGTATCTGTGAAGGAATATTTGGGAGCCCTTTGAGGCCTATGACAGAAAAGAGTGTATCCTAGGATAAAAATTCGAAAGAAGCTGAGTAACAGCTATGTGATGTGTGCATTCACCTCACAGAAGTAACACTTACTTTTCATTCAGCAATCTGGAAACACTGTTATGGTGGAATCCCTGAAGGGATATTTGGGAGCACATTGGGACCTATGGCGGAAAAGGAAATATCTTCTGATAAAAACTAGAAAGAAGCCTTCTGAGAAACTGCTTTGTGATGTGTGCATTCATCTCATAGAGATCAACCTTTCTTTGGTTTCAGCAGTTGGAAAAACACTGTCATTGTAGAATCTGTGAAGGGACACTTGGGATCTCATTGAGGCTAATGGCAAAAAAGTGAATATCCCAAGATAAAAACGAGAAGGAAGCTGTCTGAGAAAGCACCTTGTGATGGGTGCATTCACCTTGCAGAGATAAACCTTCCTTTTCATTCAGCAGTTTGGAAACACTCTTTTGACAGAAACCGTGAAGGGATATTTGGGAGTGCATTGAGGCCTACGATGAAAAAGGAAATATCATCAGATAAAAACAAGAAAGAAGCCTTCTGAGAAACTTCTTTGTCATGTGTGCATTCATCTCACAGAGATAAACCTTTCTTTTCATTGAGCAGTTTGGAAACACTGTTTTCATAGAATTTTCAAAGTGATATTTGGGAGTGCTTTGAGGCTTAAGGTGAAAAAGGGAGTATCTTCAGAAAAAAACTACAAAGAAGCTTTCTGAGAAACTTCCTTGGGATGCATCCATTCACCTCACAGATTTAAACCATTCTGTGGATTCAGCAATTTGAAAACACTGTTGTTGTAGAATCTGTGAAGGAATTTTTGGGAGACCTTTGAGGCCAATGGCAAAAAGCCAGTATCCCAGGATAAAAATTCGAAAGAAACTATCTGAGTAACAGCTATGTGATGTGTGCATTCACCTCACAGAAATAAAACTTACTGTTCATTCAGCAATCTGGAAACACCGTTATGGCAGAATCCCTGAAGGGATATTTGGGAGCGCATTGAGACCTAAGGTGAAAAAGGAATAATCTTCCAATAAAACTAGAAAGAAGCATTCTGAGAAATTGCTTTGTGATGTGTGAATTCATCTCACAGAGATAAAGCTTTCTTTGTTCTCAGCATTGGAAAAACACTGTTGTAGAATCTGTGAAGGGATATTTGGGGACTCATTGAGCCCAAAGGCAAAAAAGCAAAAATCTGAGGATAAAAACTAGAAGGAATGTATTTGAGAAACTACATTGTGATGTGTGCATTCATCTCCCAGAGTTAAGCCTTTCTTTTTGTTCAGCAGTCTGGGAAGCCTGTTTTCATAGAATCTGTGAAGGGATATCTGGGAGCACATTGAGGCCTATGGTGAAAAAGGAAATATCTTCAGATAAAAACTAGAAAGAAACTTTTTGAGAACCTGCTTTGTGCTGTGTCAATTAATCTCACAGAGCTAAACCTTTCTTTAGATTCTGCAGTTGGAAACACTGCTGTTGTAGAATCTGGAAAATGATATTTGGGAGAACAGTGAATCCAAAGGTGAAACAGAGAACATCCCAGGATAAAAACTAGAAGGAAGCTATTTGAAAAACGGCTTTGTGATGTGTGCATTCATCTTGCAGAGTTAAACTTTTCTTTTCTTTCAGCAGTTTGGAAACACTGTTTGTGTAATATGTGCAAACGGATATTTGAAAGTGCATTGAGGCCTAAGGTGAAAAAGGAAATATCTTCAGATAAAAACTAGAAAGAAGCTTTCTGAGAAACTCCATTGTGATGTGTGCATTCCTCTCACAGAGCTCAACCTTTGTGTGTTTTCAGTAGCTTGCAAACACTGTTTTTGTCCATTCTGTGAATGGACATTTGGGAAATCTTTCAGATCAATGGAGAAAAAGGGCATATCCTATGATAAAATCAAGAGGGAAGATACTTGAGAAACTGCTTTGTGATGTGTGCAATCATCTCACAGAGTTAACCTTTCTGTTCATTCAGCAGTTTGGAAACACTGTTTTCATAGAATCTGCGAAGTGATATCTGGGAGTGCCCTGAGGTCTATAGTGAGAAAGGAAATAACCCCAGATAAAAACTAGAAAGAAGCATTTTGAGAAACTGCTTTGTGATGTGTACATTCAACTCACAGAGTTAAACCTTTGTGTGTATTCAGCCATATGCCAATACTGTTTATCTTCATTGTGCAAATGGGCATTTGGGAGCTCATTGAGGCCAATGGTAAAACAGTGAATATCCCAGGATATAAAGTAGTAGGAAGCACTCTGAGAAACTGCATTGTGATGTGTGCATTCATATCTGAGAGACAAACTATTCTTTCCATCCAACGGTCTGCAAACACTGTTTTGGCAGAATCTGGGAATGGATGTTTAGGAGTGCATAGAGGCCTATGGTGAAAAAAGAAATATCTTCAGATAAATACTAGAAAGAAGCTTTCTGAAAGACTGCTTTGTGATGTGTGCATTCATCTCACAGAGTTAACACTTTCTTTTGATTCCCTAGTTTGGAAACACTGTTGTAGAATCTGCAAAGTGATATTTGGGGGCTCATTGAGACCCATGATGAGAAATTGAATATCCCAGGATAGAAACTAGAAGGAAACTATCTGGGAAACCACTTAGTGATGTGTGCATTCATCTCGGGCAGTTAAACCTTTCATTTCTTTCAGTAGTTTAGAAACACTGTTTTCATAGAATCTGCGAAGGGATATCTGGGAGAGCTTTGAGGCCTATGGTGAAAAAGGAAATATCTTCGTATAAAAACTAGAAAGAAGCTTTCTGAGAAATGGCTTTGTGACATGTGCATTCACCTCGCAGATATATTCTTTTCATTCAGCAGTCTGGAAACACTGTTTTGGCAGATTCCATGAAGGGATATTTGGGAGTTCATAGAGGCCTATGGTGAAAAAGGAAATATCTTCAGATAAAAACTAGAAAGAAGCTTTCTGAGAACCTGCTTTGTGATGTGTGCATTCATCTCACAGAGTTAAACATTTCTTTGGATTCAGCAGTTTGGAAACACACTTGTTGTAGAATCTGTGAAGGGGTATTTGGAAGCTCATTGGGGCCAGTGGTGAAAAAGTGAATATCCCAGGGTCAAAACTAAAAGAAAGCTGTCTGAGAAACCATTTTGTGCATATTCACCTCACCAAGTTAAAGCTTTCTTTTCATTCAGCAGTGTGGAAACACTGTTTTGGCAGAATCCAAGAAGGGATATTTCAGAATGCATTGAGGCCTATGGTGAAAAAGGAAGTATCTTCAGATAAAAACAAGAAAGAAGCTTTGTAAGTGCTTTGGGATGTGTGCATTTACCTCGGAGAGTTAAACCTTTCATTTCATTATGCAGTGTGGAAACACTGTTTTCGTAGAATCTGTGTAGTTATATCTGGGAGCGCAATGAGGCCTATGGTGAAAAAGGAAATATCTCCAGATAGAAAGTAGAAAGGAGCTTTCTGAGAAATTGCTTTGTGATATTTACATTCATCTCATAGAGGTAAAGGTTTCTGTGGTATCAGCAGTTTGCAAAAACTGTTTTTGTCCATCCTACTAATGGAAGTTTGGGAGCTCATTGAGGCCAATGTTGAAAAAGCAAATATGCCAGGATCAAAACTAGAAGGAAGCTATCTGAGAAACTTCTTTGTGATGTGTGCATTCGTCTGGTAGAGTTAAACCTTTCTTTTCCTTCAGCAGTTTGGAGACACTGTTTTTGCAGAATCTCTGAAGGAATATTTGGGAATGCATTGAGGCCTATGGTGAAAAAGGAAATATCTTCAAATAAAAACTAGAAAGAAGCTTTCTGAGAAACTTCTTTGTGATGTGTGCTTTCATCTCACATTATTAAACATGTCTGTGGAATTAGCAGTTTGCAAACACTGTTTTTGTCCATTCACAGAATGGATATTTGGGAACTCATAAAAGTCAAAGGTGGAAAAGTGAATATCCCAGGACTAAAACGAGAAGGAAGCTCCCTGAGAAACTGCTTTGTGATGTGTGCATTCATCTCTCAGAGATAAATTTTTCTTCCCATACAGCAGTCCAGAAACACTGTTTTGGCAGAATCCGCGAAGGGATATTTGAGAGTGCATTGAGGCCTATGGCAAAAAAGGAAATATCTTCAGAAAAAATTAGAAGGAAGTTTTCTGAAAAACAGCTTTGTGATATGTGCATTCGTCTAACAGAGTTAAACCTTTGTGTGGTTGCAGCAGTTTGGAAACCCTGTTGTACAATCTGCGAAGGTAAATTTGGAGCTTAATGATGTAATAGGCAAGAAAGTGAATATCCCAGAAAAAAAAACTAGATGGAAATTATCTGAGAAACCGCTTTATGATGTGTACATTCATCTCACAGAGTTAAAACTTTTTTTGCCTTTTGCAGTTTGTGAACACTGTTGTACAACCTGTGAAGGGATATTTGGGAACTCACTGAGGCAAAAGATGAAAAAGCAAATATTCCAGAAAAAAAAACCTAAAGGAAGCTATCTGAGAAACAGCTTTGTGATGTGTGCAATCATCTCACAGAGCTACATCATTGTTTTCATTCAGCAGTTTGGAAACACTGTTTTTGTAGAATCTGCGAAGTTATATTTTGGAGTGCATTGAGGCCTCTGGTGAAAAAGGAAATATCTTCAGATAAAAACTAGCAAGAAGCTTTCTGGGAAATTGCCCTGTGTTGTGTGCATTCATCTCACAGAGATAAACCTTTCTGTGGATGCACCAGTTTGCAAACACTGTTTCTGTCCATTCTGTGAATGGGCGTTCTGGAGGTCCTTTTTCCCATAGCGAAAAAGTGAATACCCCAGGATAAAAGCTAGAAGAAAGCTATCTGAGAAACTGCTTTGTTATGTGTGCATTCGTCTTGCCGAGATAAACCTTTCTTTTCATTCAGCAGTCCAGAAACACTCTTTTCATAAAATCCGAGAAGAGATATTTGGGAGCGCATTGAGTCCTGTGGTGAAAAATGAAATATCTTCAGATAAAAAACGAAAATCTTCAGATAAAACTAGAAACAAGCTATCTAAGAAACTGCTTTGTGATCTGTGCATTCATTGCACAGTTTTAAACCTTTCTTTGGATTCAGCAGTTTGGAAACATTGCTGTTGTAGTATCTGCAAAGGGATATTTGGGAGCTTATAGAGGTCAAAAGCAAAAAAGCGAACATCCCAGGAAAAAGAAATCTAGAAAGAAGCTATCTGACAAACCAGTTTGTGATGTGTGCATTCATTTCTCAGATTTAAACCATTGCATTCATTCAGCAGTTTGGAAACACTGTTTTTGTAGAATCTGCAAAGTTTTATTTTGGAGTGCATTGAGGCCTATGGTGAAAAAGGAAATATCTTCAGATAAAAACTAGAAAGAAACTTTCTGAGAAACTGCTTTGTGGTGTGTGCATTCATCTCACAGATTTAAAAATTTCTTTGGATTCAGCAGTTTGGAAAACCTGTTGTTGTAGAATCTGTGAAGGGATATTTGGGAGTTTATGAGGCCAAAGGCAAAAAAGTTATTACCTCAGGACAAAAACTAGAAGGAAGCTATTCAAGAAACAGCTTTGTGATGTGTACATTCATCTCACAGAGTTAAAAATTTCTTTTCATTCAGGAGTTTGAAAACACTGTTTTAGGAGAAACTGTGAAAGGATACTTTGCATTGCACTGAGGCCTATGGAGAAAAAAGAAATGTCTTCAAATAAAAACTAGAAACAAGCTTTCTGAGAAGCTGCTTTGTGATGTGTTCATTCATCTCACAGGGTTAAACCATTCTTTGGATTCTGCAGTTTAGAAACACTTATTTCTTAGAATCTCTGAAGATATATTTGATAGTGCATTGAGGCCTAGGGGGAAAAAGGAAATATCTTCAATTAAAAACTATAAAGAAGCTTAATGAGAAACTAGTTTGGGATGTGTGCATTTATCTCACAGTGTTAAAACTTCCTTTGGATTCAGCAGTTTGGTAACACTGTTTTTGTCCATTCTGCAAATGGACATTTAGAAGCTCATTGAGGTCAATGGGGAAAAAGCAATTATCCCAGTGTAAAAACTAAAAGGAAGCTATCTGAGAAACTGCTTTGTTATGTGTGCATTCATCTAGCGGAGTTAAAACTTGATTTTCATTCAGCAGTTTAGAAACACGGTTTTTGTAGAATCTGTGAATGGATATTTGCCAGTGTTTTGAGGCCTATGGTGAACAAGGAAACATCTTCAAATAAAAACTATAAAAAAGGATTCTGAGAAACTGTTTTATGATGTGTCCATTTATCTCACAGAATTAAACCTTTCTTTGAATTCAGCAGTTTGTAAACACTGCTTTTGTCCATTCTGCAAATGGACATTTGAGAGCTCACTGATGCCAATGGCTAAAAAGCAAATATCCCAGGAAAAAAAGACAAAGCAATTTATCTGAGAAACCGATTTGTGATGAGTGCATTCATCTCACAGAGTTAAACCTTTTTCTTTCAGCAATTTGGAAACACTGTTTTCTTAAAATCTGCAGAGATATTTGGTAGCACATTGAGGCCTATGATGAATAGCAAATACCTTTAGATAAAAACTAGAAAGAAGCTTAATGATAAACTGCTTTAGGATGTGTGCATTCATTTCACAGTGTTAAACTTTTCTTTTCGTTCAGCAGTTTGGAAACAGTGTTTTTGTACAAACTACGAGATAATATTTGGCAGCATATTGAGGCCTATGGTGAAAAAGAAAATATCTTCAGATAAACACTACAAGGAAGCTTTATGAGTTTGGAATGCTCACTTGTGTTGTGTGCATTCATCTCACAGATTTCAACATTCGTTTGCATTCAGCAGTTTGGTAACACTGTTTTTGTGCATTCCATGAATGGACATTTGGCAGCTCATTTAGGCCAATGGAGAAAAAGGGAATATGCAGGATAAAAACTAGAAGGAAGGTCTGTGACAACCTCCCTTGTGATGTGTGCATTCATCTCGCAGAGTTAAACCTTTCCTTTCATTCAGCAGTTTGGAAACCGTATTTTCTTAGAATCTGCAAAGAGATGCTTGGAAGAGTATGGATGCCTATGTTGAAAAAGGAAATATCTTCAGATAAAAACTAGAAAGAAGCTTAATTAGAAACTGGTTTGTGATGTGTGCATTCAGCTCACAGACTTATACATGTCTTTGGATTCACAGTTTAGTAACACTGTTTTTGTCCATTCTGTGAATGGACATTTGGGAGCTCATTAAGGCAAATGGTGAAAAAGCAAATAGCTCAGGATAAAATCTAGAAGGAAGCTATCTGAAAAAGCCGTTTGTGATGTGCACATTCCTGCAGCACATTTAAACCTTTCTTTTCACTCATTACTTTGGAAACATTGTTTTTGTAGAAACTGCAAAAGGATATTTGGCAGCTCATTGAGGCCTAGGGTGAAAAAAGAAACATCTTCATATAAAAACTAGAAGGAGGCTGTCTGAGAAACTGCTTGGTGATGTGTTCATTCATCTCACAGAATTAAATCTTTCTTTGGATTCAGCAGTTTGGAAACACTGTTTTTGTCCATTACGCGAATGGACATTTGGGAGCTCAAAGAGGCCAATGGTGAAAAAGCGAATATCTCTGGATAAAGACCAGAAGGAACCCATCTGAAAAATCGATTTATACCGTGTTCATTCATCTCACAGAGTTAAAACTTTCTTTTCATTCAGCAGTTTGGAAACACTGTTTTCTTAGAATCTGCAAAGAGATATTTGGTAGTGCATTCCAGCCTATGGTGAAAAAGGAAATATCTTCAAGTAAAAACTAGAAAGAAGCTTAATGAGAAACTGGTTAAGGATGTGTGCATTCATCTCAAAGTGTTAAACCTTTATTTGGATTCAGCAGTTTGGTAACACTGTTTTTGTGCACTCTGTGAATGGACATTTGGGAGCTCATTGAGGCCAATGGCAAAAAAGCGAATAACCCAGGATAACAACTAGAAGGAAGCTATCTAAGAGGCTGCTCTGTGTTGTGTGCATTCTTCTAGCCGAGTTAAAACTTTCCTTTCATTCAGTACTTTGGAAACATTGTTTTTGTAGAAACTGCAAAAGGATATTTGGCAGTGCCTTGAGGCCTATGTTGAAAAAGAAATATCTTCAGATAAAAAGTAGAAGGAAGCTTTCTGATTAACTGCTTTGCAATGTGTTCATTCACCTCACAGTGTTAAACCTTTCTTTGAATTCAGCAGTTTGGAAACACTGTTTTTGTCCATTCTTGGAATGGACATTTGGGATCTCTTTGAGGCCAATAGCAATAAAGGAAATATTCTGGGATAAAAACTAGAGGAAGTTATCTGAGAAACCTATTTGTGATGGGTGTATTCATCTCACAGTGTTAAACCTTTCTTTTCATTCAGCAGTTTGGAAACACTGATTTCTTCAAAGCTTTGAAGAGATATTTGGTAGTGCATTAAGACTTAGGGTGAAAAAGGAAATAACTTCAAATGAAAACTAGAAAGAAGCTTTATGAGAAACTCTTTTGTGTTGTGTGCATTCGTCTCACAGACTTCAAACTTTGTTTGGATTCAGCAGTTTGGTAACACTGTTTTTGTCCATTCTGTAAATGGACATTTGGGAGCTCATTGAAGCCAGTGGTGAAAAAGAGAATATCCCAGGATTAAAACTAGAAGGAACCTTTCTGAAAAACCCCTTTATGATGTGTGCATTCATCTAGCAGAGTTAAACCTTTCCTTTCATTCAGCAGTTTAGAAACACTGTTTTTGTAGAAACTGCAAAAGGATGTTTGGCAGTCCATTGAGGCCTAGGGTGAAAAAGCAATATGTTCAGATAAAAACTAGTAAGAAGCTGTCTGAGAAACTACTTAGTGATATGTTAATTCATCTCAAAGAGTTAAATCTTTCTTTGGATTCAGGAATATGAAAACACTGTTTTTGTCCATTCTTGGAATGGACATTTGGGAAATCATTGGGGCTCATGGTGAAAAAGAGAATATACCAGGATAAACATTAAAAGGAAGCAATCTAAGAAACTGCTTTCCGATGTGTGCATTCATCTCACAGGCTTAGAACTTTCTTTTCATTCAGCAGTTTGGAAACACAGTTTGTGTAGTATCTACAAACGGATATTTGGCAGTGCATTGAGGCCTAAGGTGAAAAAGGAAATATATTCAGATAAAAACTAGAAAGAAGTGGTCTGAGAAACTGAATTTTGATGTGTTCATTCATCTCACAGAGTTAAAACTTTGTTTGGATTCAGCAGGTTGATAACATCGTTTTTTCCCATTCTGTGAATGGACGTTTTGGAGCTCATTGATGTCAATGGCGAAAAAGTGAATATCCCTGGACAAAACCTAGAGGAAGTTATCTGAGAATCCGATTTGTGATGTGTGCATTCATCTCACAGAGTTAAAACTTTCCTTTCATTCGTCAGTTTGGAAGCACCGTTTTCTTAGAATCTACAATGAGATATTTGGAAGGGTAAGGAGGCCTATGGTGAAAAACAAAATGTCATCGGGTAACCACTACAGAGATGCTTAAGGGGCAAGTGGTTTGGGATGTGTGCATTCATCTCAGAGAGTTAAAACTTACTTTGGGTTCAGCGGTTTGGTAACACTGTCTTTGTCCATTCTGTGAATGGACATTTAGGAGCTCATTGAGGTCAATGGCAAGAAAGTGAATTTCCCAGCATAAAAACTAGAAGGAAGCTATCTGAGAAACTGCTCTGTGATGTGTGCATTCATCTCACAGAATTAAACGTTTCTTTTCATTCAATATTTTGAAAACACTGTTTTTGTAGAATCTGTGCAGGGATATTTGGCAGCTCATTGAGGCCTTTGTTGAAAAAGGAAATACCTTCAGGAAAAAACTGGAAATAGACATTCTCAGAAACTGCTTTGTGACATGGATATTTATCTCACAGAGTTATGCTTTCTTTGGATTCAGGAGTTTGTAAACACGGTTTTTGTCCATTCTGGGAATGGACATTAGGGAACTCTTAGAGGCCAATGGCAAAAAAGTGAACATACTTGGATTAAAAACTAGAAGGACATTATCTGAGAACTGATTTGAGTGGTGTGCATTCTTCTCAGTTTTAAACATTTCTTTTCATTCAGCAGTTCAGAAACACTGATTTCTTCGAATCTGAGATGGGATACTTGGTAGCAAATTGAGACTTATGTTGAAAAAGGAAATATCTTCAGATAAAAACTAGAAAGAATATTTATGAGAAACTCACTTGGATTGTGTGTACTCATCTCACAGACTGCAACCTTTGATTGGATTCAGCAGTTTGGTAACTGTTTTTGTCCATTCTGTGAATGGACGTTTGAGAGCTCATTGATGCCAATGGCAAAAAAGTGAATATCCCAGGATAAAGACTAGAAGGAAGCTATCTGAGAAACACGTTTGTGATGTGTGTATTCATCTAGCAGAGTTAAACCTTTCTTTCCATTCAGCACTTTGGAAACACTGTTTTTGTAGAAACTGTGAAAGGATATTTGGCAGCCCATTGAGGCCTATGGTGAAAAAGTAAATACCTTCAGAAAACAACTAGAAAGAAGTTTTCTGAGAAACCTCTTTGTGATGTGTTCATTCATCTCACAGAGTTAAACCTTGCTTTGGATTCAGCAGTTTGGAAACAATGTTGTTGTGCATTCTGCAAATGGACATTTTGGAGCTCATTGAGGTCAATGATGAAAAGGCAATTATTCCAGGATAAAACCTAGAGGGAAGTTATCTGGGAAACCTACTTTTCATGGGTGCATTTTTCTCACAGAGTTAAAACTTTCTTTTAATTCAGCAGTTTTGAAAAACTATTTTCTTAGAATGTGCAAAGAGATAGTTGGAAGAGTATGGGGGCCTATGGTGAAAAAGGAAATATCTTCAATGAAAAACTAGAAAGAAGCTTTCTGAGACACTGCCTTGTGAAGTGTTCATTCATCTCACAGAGCTAAAACTTTCTATGGATTCAGTAGTTTGGAAACACTGTTTTTGTCCATTCTTGGAATGGGCATTTGGGAACGCATTGAGGCCAGTGGCAAAAAAGCAAATATACCAGGATAAAAACTAGAAGCAAGTTATCTGAGAAACTGATTGATGATGTGTGCACTCATCATACAGAGTTTAAGCTTTCTTTTCATTCAGCAGTTTGGAAACACTCATTTGTTAGAATCCTCAAAGAGATATTTGGTAGTCCATTGAGGCCTATGTTGAAAAAGGAAATGTCTTCAGATAAAAACTAGAAAGAAGCTTAATGAGGAACTCATTTGCATTGCATGCATTCATCTCACAGAGTTAAACCTTTCTTTGGATTCAGCAGTTTGGTAACCCTGCTTTTGTCCATTCTGTGAATGGAGGTTTTGAAGGTATTTGAGGCCAATGGTGAAAAAGCAAATATCCGATTATAAAAATTAGAAGGATGCTCTCTGAGAAAGTGCTTTGTGATGTGTGCATTCATTTCACAAAGTTAAATGTATCTGTTCATTCAGCAGATTGGAAATACTGTTTTTGTAGAATCTGCAAAGGGATACTTGGCAGCGCATTGAGGCCTATGGTGAAAATGGAAATATCTTCAGAGAAAAACTAGAAAGAAGCTTTCTGAGAAACTGCTTTGTGTTGTGTGCATTCATCTCACAGAGTCAAACCGTTCTTTTCATTCACTGTTTGGAAACACTGTTTTTATCCATTCTTGGAATGCATATTTGGAACCTCATTGAGGGCAATGGCAAAAAAGCGAATATCCCGGGATGAAAACTAGAAGGAAGTGGTCTGAGAAACCAATTCATGATGTGTGCATTCATCTCACAGAGTTAAACCTTTCTTTTCATTCAGCAGTTTGAAAACATTGATTTCTAAGGATCTGAGAAGAGATATTTTCTACCACATTGTGGCCTGTGGTGAAAAAGGAAATATCCTCAGATAAAAACTAGAAAGAAGCTTAATGAGACACTCATTTGGGTTGTGTTATTTCATCTCACAGAGTTAAACCTTCTTTGGATTCAGCAGCTTGGAAACACTGTTTTTGTCTATTCTGTGAATGGACATTTGGGAGCTCATTGAGGCCAATGGCAAAAAAGTGAATATCCCAGGATAAAAACTAGAAGCAAGTTACCTGAGCACCGATTCATGATGTGTGCATTCATCTCACAGAATTAAACCTTTCTTTTCATTCAGCAGTTTGGAATCACTGATTTCTTAGAATCTGTGAAGAGATATTTTGTAGCACATTGAGGCCTATGGTGAAAAAGGAAATATCTTCAGATAAAAACTAGAAAGAAGCATAATGAGAAACTCGTTTGAGTTGTGGGCATTTATCTCACAGACTTAAAGCTTTATTTAGATTCAGCAGTTTGGTAACAGTGTTTTTGTCCATTCTGTGAATGGACATTTGGGAGCTCAATGAGGCCAATGGCAAAAAAGTAAACATTCCAGGATTAAAAATAGAAGGAAGCAATCTGAGAATCCCCTTTTTGATGTGTGCATTAATCCAGCAGAATTAAACTTGTCTTTTCATTCAGTAGTTTGGAAACTGTGAAAGATATCTGGATGCGTGTTGAGATCTACAGTGAAAAAGGAAATAACTTCACATAAAAACTAGAAAGTAGCTTTCTGAGAAACTGCTTTGTGATGTATTCTTTCATCTCACAGAGTTATACTTTTCTTTGAATTCAGCAGTTTGGAAACACTGTTTTTGTCCATTCTGTGAATGGACATTTGGGAGCTAATTGAGGCCAATGTTGAAAAAGAGAATATCCCAGGATAAAAACTGGAAGAAATTTATCTAAGAAATTGATTTGTGATGTATACATTCATCTCATAGTGATGAAACTTTCTTTGGATTCAGCAGTTTGGAAACACTGTTTTTGTCCATTCTGGGAATGGACATTTGATAGCTCATTGAGGCCAATGGTGAAAAAGCAATTATCCTAGGATAAAAACTAAAAAGCAGTTATCTGAGAAACCAGTTTGTGATGTGTGCATTCATCTCACAGGGTTAAAACTTTCTTTGCTTTCAACAGTTTGGAAAAACTGTTTTCTTAGAATGTGCAAAGAGATATTTGATAGCCCATTGAGTCCTATGTTGAAAAACGAAATTCTTTCAGATTAAAAACTAGAAATAAGCTTAATGAAAACTGCTTTAAGATGTGTGCATTCATCTCTCAGAATTAAACATTTCTTTGGATTCAGCCTTTTGGTAACAATTTTTTTGTCCATTCTGCAAATGGTTTTTTGGGAGCTCATTGAGGTCAATGGCAAAAAAGCAAATATCCCAAGATAAAAACTACAAGGAATCTATCTGAGAAACAGCTTTGTGATGTGCGCATTCATCTCACAGAGTTAAACCTTTCTTTTCATTCCACAGTTTGAAAACACTGATTTCTAAGAATCTGAGAAGAGATATTTTGTACTACATTGTAGCCTATGGTGAAAAAGGAAATATCCTCAGAAAAAAATTGGAAATAATCTTAATGAGAAACTCGTTTGGGTTGCATGCTTTCATCTTACAGAGTTAAACCTTCTTTGGATTCAGCAGTTTGGAAACACTGGTTTTGTCCATTCTGGGAATGGACATTTGGGAGTTCATTGAGGCCAATGGCAAAATAGTGAATATCCCAGGTTAAAAACTAGAAAGATGTTGTCTGAGAAACCAATTTGTGATGTGTGCATTCATCTCACATAGTTAAAACTTTCTTTTGATTCACAGTTTGGAAACACTGTTTTCTTACAATCTGTGAAGAGACATTTGGAAGTGTATGGGTGCCTATGTTTGAAAAATGAAACATCTTTAGTTAAAAATTAGAAAAAATACATATGAGAAACTGGTTTTGGATGTATGCATTCATCTCAGAGGGTTAAACCTTTCTTTGTATTCAGCAGTTTGGTCACACTGTTTTTGTTCAATCTTTGAATGGACATTTGGGAGGTCATTGAGGCCAATGGCAAAAAAGTTAATATCCCAGGATTAAAACTAGAAGAAAGCTCTGTGAGAAACTGCTTGGTGATATAGGCATTCATCTCACAGATTAAATGATTCTTTATATTCAGTAGTTTGCAAAAACTATTTTTGCACAATCTGAAAAGGGATATATGGCAGCACATTAAGGCCTAAGGTGAAAAAGGGAATATCTTCAGATAAAAACTAGAAAGAAGCTTTCTGACAAACTGCTTTGCGATGTGTTCATTCAACTCAGGAGTTAAACATTCCTTTTAATTAAGCAGTTTGGTATAACTGTTTTTATCGATTCTGCAAATGGATATTTGGGAGCTCATTGAGGCCAATCGTGAAAAAACGAATATCCCAGGATGAAAACTACCAGGAAGTCTGTGACAAACCACTTTGTGATGAGTGCATTCATCTCACAGAGTTAAACATTTCTTTTCATTCAGCAGTTTGGAAACACTACTTTCTTTTTTTTTTTGTTTTATTATTATTATACTTTAAGTTTTTGGGTAAATGTACACAATGTGCAGGTTTGTTACATATGTATACATGTGACATGTTGGCATGCTGAATCCATTAACTCGTCATTTAACATTAGGTATATCTCCTAATGCTATCCCTCCCCCTTCCCCCCACCCCACAACAGTCCCCGGAGTGTGTTGTTCCCCTTCCTGGAAACACTATTTTCTTAGAATCTGTGAAAAGATATTTGTTAGTGCATTGAGGGCTAAGCTGAATAGGAAATATCTTCAGATAAAAACTAGAAAGAAGGTTAATGAGAAACTGATTTGTGATGTATGCATTCCTCCCAAAGACTGAAACCTTTCTTAAGATTCAGCAGTTTGGTAACACTGTTTTTGTCCATTCTGTGAATGGACTTTTGGGAGCTCATTGAGGCCAATGGTGAAAAAGGGAATATCCCAGGATGAAAACTGGAAGGAAGTTGTATGAGAAACTGATTTGTGATGTGTGCATTCATCTCACAGGGTTAAACGTTTCTTTGGATTCAGCAGTTTGGAAAAACTGTTTTTGCAGAGTGGATATTTGGGAGCTCATTGAGGCCATTGGAGAAAAAGCTAATATCCCAGGATAAAAACTATAAGGAATCTATCTGAGAAACCAATTTGTGATTTGTGCATTCATCTCACAGAGTCAAAACCTTTCTTTTCCTTCAGCAGTTAAGAAACACTGTTTTGAAGAATCTGCAAAGGGATATTTGGTAACCCTCTGAGGCCTATGGTGAAAAAGGAAGTATCTTCAGATAAAAACTAGAAAGAAGCTTTCTCAGAAAATGCTTTGTGATGTGTTCATTCAACTCACAGAGTTAAATCTTTCTTTGGATTCAGGAGTTTGGAAATACTGTTTTCACAGAATTGACATTTGGGAGCTCATTGAGGCCAATGCAAAAAAGCGAATATCCCAGGGTAAAAACTAGAAGAGAGTTATCTGAGAAACCGATTTGTGATGTGTCCATTCATCTCAGAGAGTTAAACATTTCTTTTCATTCAGCACTTTGGAAAAGCTGTTTTCTTAGAAACTGCGAAGAGATACTTGGTAGAGTATGGAGGCCAATGGTGAAAAAGGAAATATCTTCAGATAAAAACTGGAAAGCAGCTTAATGAGAAAGTGGCTAAGGATGTGTGCATTCATCACAGAGAGTTAAACATTTCTTTGGATTCAGAAGTTTGATTACACTGTTTTCATGCATTCTGTGAATGGACACTTTGAAGCTCATTGATGTCAATATCGATAAAGCAAATATCCCAGGATAAAAACGAGAATGGGAAGCTATGTGAGAAACCGCTTTGTGATGTGTGCAATCAACTCGAAGAGTTAAACTTTTCTTCTCATTCAGCAGTTTGGAAATACTGCTATTGTAGGATCGGCAAAGGGATATTTTGCAGCACATTGAGGCCTATGGTGAAAAAGGAAATATCTTAAGATAAATCTAGAAAGAACCTTAATGAGAAACTGCTTTGTGATGTATTCATTCATCTCACAGAGATAAACCTTTCTTTGGATTCAGGATTTTGCAAACACTTTTTTTGCCCATTCTGGGAATGGACATTTGGGAACTCATTGAGGCCAATGGCAAAAGAGCGATAATCCTGGATAAAAATGAGAAAGTAGTTATCTGAGAAACTGATTTTTGATGTGCGCTTTCACCTCACAGACTTACATCTTTTTTTTTTTTTCATTCAGCAGCTTGGAAACACTGATTTCTTGGAATCTGCAAAGAGCTATTTGCTAGTGCATTGAGTCCTGTGGTGAAAGAGGAAATATCTTCAGATCAAAACTAGAAAGAAGCTTAATGAGAAACTAGTTTGGGATGTCTGCATTCATCTCACAGACTTAAACTTTTCTTTTGATTCAGCAGTTTCATAATACTGTTTTTGCCCATTCTGCGAATGGACATTTGGGAGCTCATTGAGGCCAAAGGCCAAAAAGAAAATATCCCACAATAAAAACTATAAGGAAGCTCTCTGAGAAGCTGCTTTGTGATGTGTGCATTTATCTAGCAGAGATAAATCTTCCTTTTCATTCAGCAGTTTGGGAACACTGTTTTTGTAGAATCTGCAAAAGGACACTTGGAAGTACATTGAGGCCTATGGTGAAAAAGGAAATATCTTCAGATAAAAACTAGAAAGAAGCTTTCCAAAAAACTGCTTTGTGATGTGTTCATTCATCTCACAGAGTAAAACCTTTCTTTGAATTCAGGAGTTGGCAACACTGTTTTTGCAGAATGGACATTTGGGAGCTCATTGAGGCCAATGGTGAAAAACAGAATATCCCAGGATAAAAACTAGAAGGAAGTTATCTGAGAAACTGATTTGTGATGTGTGCATACATCTAACAGGTTTAAACCTTTTTTTTCATTCAGCAGTTTGGAAACACTGTTTTCTTAGAATCTGCAAGGAGGTATTTGGTAGCATATTGAGTCTTATGGTGAAAAAGGAAATTGCTTCAGATAAAAATTGGAAAGAAGCTTAATAAGAAATTGGTTTTAGGATGTGTGCATTCATCTCAGAGAGTTAAAGTCTTCTTTCAATTCAGAAGTTTGGTAACACTGTTTTTGTCCATTCTGAGAATGGACATTTGGGAGCTCACTGAGGCCAATGGCAAAAAAGGGAATATCCCAAGATAAAAACCAGAAGGAAGCTATCTGAGAATCTTCTTTGTGATGTGTGCATTCATCGCTCAGGGTTAAATATTTCTATTCATTCAGCAGTATAGAAACACTGTTTTTGTAGACTATGCGAAAGGATATTTGGCAGTGCATTGAGGCCTATGGTGAAAAAGGAAATATTTTCAGATAAAAACTAGAAAGAAGCTTTCTTAGAAACTGCCCTGTGATGTGTTCACTTGTCTCAGAGAGCTAAAACTTTATTTCATTGAACAGTATGGAATTACTGTTTTTGTTCATTCTGCGAATGAACATTTGGGGAGCTCATTTATGCCAATGGAGAAAAAGCGAATATCCCTGGTTAAAAACTAGAAGAAAGTTATCTGAGAGACCAATTTGTGATGTGTGCATTCGTCTCACAGAGGTAAAACTTTCTCTTCATTCAGCAGTTTGGAAACACGGTTTTCTTAGGATCTGCAAAGAGATATTTGGAAGAGTATGGAGGTCAATGGTGAAGAAGAAAATATCTTCAGGTGAAAACTAGAAAGAAGCTTAATGAGAAACTGGTTTGGGATGTGTGGATTCATCTCACAGAGTTAAACCTTTCTTTTGACTCAGCAGTTTTGTAACACTGTTTTTGTGGATTATGCAACAAGACATTTGGGAGCTTATTGAGGTCAAAGGCGAAAAAGCAAATATCCCAGGATAAAAACTAGAAGGAAGCTCTCTGAGAAACTGCTTTGTGATGTGTGCATTCATCCAGGAGAATTAAACCTTTTTTTTCATTCAGCAGTTTGGAAACGTTGTTTTTGTAGAATCAGCAAAAGGATATTTGGCAGCGCATTTGGGCCTACAGTGAAAAAGGAATTATCTTCAGATAAAAACTAGAAAGAAGCTTTCTGAGAAACTGCTTTGTGGTATGTTCATTAATCTCACAGAGTTAAACCTTTCTTTGAATTCAGCAGTTTAGAAACACTGTTTTTGCAGAATGGACATTTGGGAGCTTATTGCAGCCAATGGTGAAAAAGCAAATATCCCAAGATAAAAACTAGAAGGAAGTTATCTGAGAAAATGATTTTTGATGTGTGCATTCATCTCACAGGGTTAAATCTTCTTTTCATTTGGCAGTTAGGAAACACTGTTTTCTTATAATCTGTGAAGAGATATT
Organism: Homo sapiens; assembly: GCF_000001405.40. Lineage (NCBI taxonomy): Eukaryota > Metazoa > Chordata > Mammalia > Primates > Hominidae > Homo > Homo sapiens. Next base: position 54,909,651 of record NC_000011.10, on the reverse strand, counting down.
TGGAAGCATATTAAGGCCAGTGGTGAAAAAGGAAATACATTCAGATAAAAACTAGAAAGAAGCTTACTGAGAAACTGGTTTGGCATGTGTGCATTCATCTCACAGAGTTAAACCTTTCTTTGTATTCGGTAGTTTGGTAACTCTGTTTTTGTCCATTCTGCAAATGGACATTTGGGATGTCATTGAGGCAATGGCAAAAAAGTGAATATCCTAGGATAAAAACTAGAATTAAGCTATCTGAGAAACTGCTTTTTGACGTGTTCATTCAACTCGCAGATTCAAAACCTTTATTTTCATTCGGCAGTTTCTAAACATAGTTTTTATAGAATCTATGAAGGGATATTTGGCAGCACATTGTGGCCTATGGTGAAAAAGGAAATATCTTCATATAAAAAATAGAAGCTTTCTGAGAAACTATTTTGTGATGTGTTAATTTATCTCAAAGGATTAAACCTTTCTTTGGATTCAGCCATTTGCAAACACTGTTTTTGTCTATTCTGAGAATGGACATTTGGGAGCTCATTGAGGCCAATGGTGAAAAAGTGAATATCCCAGGATAAAAACTAGAAGGAAACTAACTGAGAAACCACTTTGTGATGAGTATATTAACCTCACAGAGATAAACCTTTCCTTTCATTCAGCAGTCTGGAAACACACTTTTGGTAGAATCCATGAAGGGATAATTTAGGATCGCATAGAGGCCTATGATAAAAAAAGAAATATCTTCAGACAAAAACTTGAAAGAAGCTTTGTGAGAAACTACTTTGTGATGTGTGCATTCATCCTGCAGAGATAAACTTTTCTTTGGATAGAGCAGTTTGCAAACACTGTTGTTGTCCATTCTGTGAATGGACATTTTGGAGCACATTAAGGCCAATGGCAAAAAAGTGAATATTCCAAGAAAAACTAAAAGGAAGCTATTTGAGAAACTGCTTTGTGATGTGTGCATTCATCTTGCAGAGTTAAACCTTTCTGTTTTTCAGCAGTTTGGAAACACTGTTTTTGTAGAATCTGTGAAGGGATATGTGGGAGTGCATTGAGGCCTGTGGTGAAAAAGGAAATATCTTCAGATAAAAACTAGAAAGAAGCTTTCGGAGAAACTGCTTTGTGATGTGTACATTCCTCTCACCGAGTTAAATATTTCTCTGGATACTGCAGTTTGGGAACACTGTTGTTGTAGAATCTGCAAAGGGGTATTTGTGAGCTCATTGAGGCCAATAGCAAAAAAGTGAATATCCCAGGATAAAAACTAGAAGGAAGCTATTTGAGAAACCACTTTGTGATGTGTTCATTCATCTCGCATATTTAAACCTTTCCTTTCATTCAGCAGTTTGGAAACACTGTTTTTGTAGGATCTGCAAAGCAATATCTGGGAGTGCTTTGAAGCCTATGGCGAAAAAGGAAATATCATGAGAAAAAAACTAGAAAGAATGTTTCTGAGAAACTGCTTTGTGACATGTGCTTTCCCCTTACAGAAATAAAACTTTCTGTGGATTCAGCCATTTGTAAACACTGTTTCTGTGCATTCTGCGAATGGACATTTGGGAGCTCATTGAGGCCAATGGAGAAAAAGTGAATATCCCAGGATAAATACTAGAAGGAAGCTATCTGAGAAACCATTTTGTGATGTGTGCATTCACCTCACAGAGATAAACCTTGATTTTCTAATGTTGTTTGGAAACACTGTTTTGGCAGAATCCATGAAGGGTTATTCGGGAGCACCTAGTATCCTATGGTGAAAAGCAATATTTTCAGATATAAACTAGAAAGAAGCTTTCTCAGAAACTGCTTTGAGGTGTGTGCATTCATCTCACTGAGTTAAACCTTTCTTTGGATTAAGCAGATGGAAACACTGTTGTAGAAGCTGCAAAGGGACATTTGGGAGCTTAATGAGGCCAAAGGCAAAAAGGTAATTATATCAGGACAAAAAGTAAAAGGAAGCTATTTCAGAAACAGCTTTGTGATGTGTTTATTCATCTCACAGAATTAAACGTTTCTTTCCATTCAGCAGCTTGGAAACACTTTATTCCTAGAATCTGCAAAGAGATACCTGGGAGCACACTGAGGCCTGTGGTGAAAAAGGACATATGTTCAGATAAAATCTAGAAAGAAGCTTTCTGAGAAACTGCTTTCTGAAGTGTGGATTGAAATCAGAGAGGTAAAAGTATCTGTGGATTCTGCAGTTAGCAAACACTATTTTTGTCCATTCTGTGAATGGACATTTGGGAGCTCACTGAGGCCAAAGGTGTGAAAGAGAATATCCCAGATTTAAAACTAGAAGAAAGATATCTGAGAAACTGAAAACCACTTTGTGATGTGTGCATTCACCCTGCAGAGTTAATTGTCTCTTTTCATTCAACTGTCTGGAAACACTGTCTTGGCAGAATCCACGAAGCAATATTTGGGATCTCTTTGAGGCATATGGGGAAAAAAGAAATAACTTCAGATAAAAACTAGAAGGAAACTTTCTGAGAAACTGCTTTGTCATGTGTGCATTCACCTCATAAAGTTAAACCTTTGTTTGGATTCAGCAATTTTGAAATACTGTTTTTGTCCTTTCTGTGAATGGACAATTTTTCAGCTCATTGAGGCCAAATGCGAAAAAGCAAATATCCCAGTATAAAAACTTGAAGAAACCTATCTGAGAAACTGCTTTGTGATGTGTGCATTCCTCTGGAAAGTTAAACCTTTCTTTTCATTCTGCAGTGTGGAAACCCGGTTTTTGCAGAATCTGCAAAGGGATATCTGGGAGTGCATTGAAACTCATGGTGGAAAAAGAAATATCTTCAGATAAAAACTAGGAAGAAGCTTTCTGAGAAACTGCATTGTAATGTCTCCATTTATCTTACAGAGTTAAATATTTTGGTGGATTCAGCAGTTTGGAAACACTGTTGTAAAATCTGCAAGGGGATATTTGGGAGCTCATTGAGGCCATAGGGGAAAAACTGAATATCCCAGGATAAAAACAAGAATAAGCTATCTGAGAAACAGCCTTCTGGTGTGTGCATTAATCTCACAGTGGTTAAACTTCCTTTTCATTCAGCAGGCTGGAAAAACTGTTTTTGTAGAATCTGCAAAGGGATATTTTGGAGTCCATTGAAGGCTAGGGATAAAAAGGAAGTATCTTTAGATGAAAACTAGCAAGAAGATTTCTGAGAAACTGCTTTGGGACATGTGCATTCACCTCACAGAGTTAAACCTTTCTTTGGATTCAGCAGTCTGGAAACACTGTTATTGTCCATTCTGTGAATGGATTTTTGGGAGTTCTTTATTCCAACGGTGAAAAAGCAAATATCCCAAGATGAAAACTAAAACAGAGCTATCTGAGAAGCCACTTTGTGATGTGTGCACTTATTTCACAGTGTTAAAAGTTTCTTTACATTCAGCAGTTTGGATACATTGTTTTGGTAGGATCTGCAAAGGGATATTTGGGAGTCCATTGAGGACTACAGTGAAAAAAGAAAAATCTTCAGATATAAACTAGAAAGAAGCATTCTGAGAAACTGCTTTGTGATGTGTGCATTCATCTCAGAGAGGTAAAATGTTTTGTGTTCAGCAGTTTGGAAACACTGTTTTTGTTGGATCTGTGAAGGGATATTAGAGAGCTCATTGAGGCCATAGGCAAAGAAGCAAATATCCCATGATAAAAACTAGAAGGAAGCTCTCTGATGAACCACTTTGTGATGGTTGCTTTCATCTCACAGAGTTAAAACTTTCTTTCCATTCAGCAGCTTGTAAACACTGTTTTAGTAGATTCTGCAAAGAGATATTTAGGATCACATTGAGGCCTATGGTGAAAAAAGAAATATCTTCAGATTAAAACTACAAAGAAGATTTCTGAGAAACTGCTTCATGATGTGTACCTTCAGATGAGAAATTTAAACATTTGTTTGGATTCGGTAATTTGGAAACACTGCTTTTGTCGCATCTGTGAAGGGATACTTGATAACTCATTGAGGGTGTAGGGAAAAGTCAAATATCCCGAAACAAAAACTAAAAGGAAGGTATCTGAGAAACCACCTTGTGAGGTCTACATTCATCTCCCAGAGTTAAAGCTTTCTTTTCATTCTGCAGTATGGAAACACTGTTTTGGTAGAATCTGTGAAGGGATATTTGATAGCTTATTGAGATCATAAGGGAAAAAGTGATTATCCCAGCATGAAAACCATAAGGAAGCTACCTGAGAGCCAACTTGGGATGTCTAAGTTCATCGAACAGCAATGAACCTTCCTTTTCATTCAGCAGTTTGGAAACACTGTTTTTGTAGAAGCTACGAAGGGATATTGGAGAGTGCTTTAAGGTCAATGTTGAAAAAGGATATATCTTCAGATAAAAACTAGAAAGAAGCTTTCTGAAACACTGGTTTGTGATGTGTGCATTCGTCTCAGAGAGTTGCACCTTTCTTTGTATTCAGCAGTTTGCAAACACTGTTTTTGTAGAGTCTGTGCAGTGATATTAGGTAGTTCATTAGGCCAATGGTGAAAAAGTGAATATACCAGGCTAAAAAATACAAGAAAGCTATCTGAGAAACAGCTTTGTGAAGTGTTCAATCATCTCACAGAGTTAAAACATTCTTTCCATTCACTAGTTTGAAAACACTGTTTTGGTATAATCTGCAAAGGGATATTAGGGAGCGCATTGAGGTGTATGGTGAAAAAGGAAATATCCTCAGAAGAAAACTAGAAAGAAGCTATCTGAGAAACAGCTTTGGAAGTGTGCATTCATCTCACAGAGATAAACATTTCTTTGGATTCAGTAGTTTGGAAACACTTTTTTTGTGGAATCAGCAAAAGGATATTTGGGGGAGCTTTGAGGCCTATGTTGAAAAAGGAAATATATTCACATAAAAACTAGAAAGAAGCTTTCTGACACACTGCTTTGTGATGTGTGAATTCGTCTAACAGATTTAAACCTTTCCTAGGATTCAACAGTTTGGAAACTCCTTTTTTGTAGAATCTGAGGAAGGATATTAGAGAGCTCAATGAGGCCAATGGCTAAAAAGCAAATATTCCAGGATAAAAAATACAAGAAAGGTATCAGAGAACCCGCTTTGTGATGTGTGCATTCATCATGTTGAGTTAAAACTTTCCTTTCATTCAGCAGTTTCAAAACACTGTTTTGGTAGAAACTGTGAAGGGATATTTGGGAGCACATTGAGGATTATGGTAAAAAAGGAAATATCTTCAGTTGAAAACTAGAAAGAAGCTTTCTGAGAAAATGCTTTTTGACGTGTTCATTCATCTCACAGTGTTAAACCTTTCTTTGGATTCAGCAGTTTGGAAACACTGTAATTGTAGAATCTGCAAAGGACTATTTGGGAGTTCATTGAGACCATAGAGGAAAAAGCAAATATCCCAGGATAAAAACTAGAAGGAAGCTATCTGGGAATCCACTTTGTGATATGTCCATTTGTATCCCAAAGTTACGCTTTCTTTTCATTCTGGAGAATGGAAACACTGTTTTTGTCAATTCTGTGAATGGATATTTGGGAGCACATTGAGGTCAATGGTGAAACAGCAAATATTCCAGGAGAAAAACTAGAAGGAAGCTACCTGAGAAACTGCTTTGTGATGAGTGCTTTCATCTCACAGAGTTAAACCTGTCTTTTCATTCAGCAGTTGGAGACACTGCTTTGGTAGAATCTGTGAAGGTATTATAGGAGTGCATTGAGGCATATGGTGAAAAAGGAAATATCTTCAGATAAAAACTAGAAAGAAGCTTTCTGAGAAACAACTTCGTGACATGTGCGTTCATCTCATAGAGTTAAACCTTTCTTTGGATTAAGTAGTTTAGAAGCTCTGTTTTGCTCCATTCTGTGAATGGACATTTGGCACCTAATTGAGGCCAATGGCAAAAAAGCGAATATCTCAGGATAAAAACTAGAAGAAAACTATCCGAACAACTGCTTTGTGATGTGTGCATTCATCTAGCAGAGTTAAACCTTTCTTTTCATTCAGCAGGTTGGAAGCACTGTTTTTGTAGAAACTGCAAGTGGATATTTGAGAGCACATTGAGGCTTATAGTAAGGAAATATCTTCAGTTGAAAACTAGAAACAAGCTTTTGAGAAACTGCCTTGTGTTGTGTGCATTCATCTCACAGCGTTAAACCTTTCTTTGGATTCAACAGTTTGGAAACAGAGTTGTTGTGGAATGTGCAAAGGCATAGTTGGGAGCTCATTGAGGCCATTGGGGAAAAAGCAAATATCCCAGGATAAAAACTAGGAGCTATCTGAGAAACCACTTTGTGATGTGTGCATTCATCTCACAGAGGTAAACCTGTTTTTCATTCAGCAGTTGGAAACACTGTTTTGCTAGAATCTGTGAAGGAATTATACGAGTGCATTGAGGCCTATGGTGAAAAAGGGAATATCTTCAGATAAAAACTAGAAAGAAGCTTTCTGAGAAACTGCTTTCTGACATGTGCATTCATCTCATAGAGTTAAACCTTTCTTTGGATTCAGTAGTGTAGAAACTCTGCTTTTCTCCACTCTGAGAATGGATATTTGGCAGCTAATTGAGGCCAATGGCAAAAAAGCTAATATCCCAGGATAAAAACTAGAAGGAAGCCATCTGAAAAACTGTTTTGTGATGTGTGCATTCATCTCACAGAGTTAAATCTTTCTTTTCATTCAGCAGTTTGGAAACATTGTTTTGGTAGAATCTGCGAAGGTATATTTTGGAGCACACTGAGGCCTATGGTAAAAAAGGAAATAACTTCAGATCAAAACTAGAAAGAAGCTTTCTGACAAACTGCTGTGTGATGTGTGCATTCATCTCACAGATTTCAACATTTCCTTGGATTCAGCAGTTTGGAAACACTGTTGTTGTAGAATCTGCAAAACAATAGTTGGGAGCTCATTGAGGCCATAGCAGAAAAAGCCAATATCCCAGGGTAAAAACTAGAAGGAAGCTATCTGGGAATCCACTTTGTGATGTGTCCATTCATATCCGAGAGTTGCACCTTTCTTTTCATTCTGGAGAATGGAAACACTGTTTTTGTCAATTCTGTGACTGGATATTTGGGTGCACGTTGAGGCCAATGGCAAAATAGTGAATATCCCTGGAGAAAAACTAGAAGAAAGCAATCTGAGCAACTGCTTTGTGATGAGTGCTTTCTTCTCACATACTTAAACCTGTCTTTTCATTCGGCAGTTGGAAACACTGTTTTTGTAGAACCTGTGAAGGTATTATAGGAGTGCATTGAGGCATATGGTGAAAAAGGAAATATCTTCAGATAAAAACTAGAAAGAAGCTTTCTGAGAAATGGCTTTGTGACATGTGCATTCATCTCATACAGTTAAACCTTTCTGTGGATTCAGTAGTTTAGAAACTCTGTTTTTCTCCACTCTGCATATAGACATTTTGCAGCTAATTGAAGCCAATGGCAAAAAAGCGAATATCCCAGGATAAAAACTAGAAGGAAGCTATCTGAAAAACTGCTTTGTGATGTGTGCATTCATCTCACAGAGTTAATTTTTTATTTTCATTCAGCAGGTTGGAAAAACTGTTTTTGTAGAAAGTGCAAGGGATTTTTCAGAGCACATTGAGGTTTATAGTAAAAAGGAAATATCTTCAGTTGAAAACTAGAAACAAGCTTTCTGAGAAGCTGCTTTGTGGTGTGTGCATTCATCTCACAGCGTTAAAACTTTCTTTGGATTCAACAGTTTGGAAACATTGTTGTTGTAGAATGTGTGAAGACATATTTGGGAGCTCATTGTGGCCATCAGGCCATCAGAGAAAAAGTGAATATCCCAGGATAAAAACTAGAAGGAAGCTATCTGAGAAACCACTTTGTGATGTGTGTATTCATCTCAGAGATTTCAACATTTCCTTGGATTCAGCAGTTTGGACACTCTGTTTCAGTAGAATCTGTGACGAGATATTTGATAGATCATTGAGGCCATAGGCTAAACAGCAAATATCCCAGGGTAAAAAGTAGAAGGAAAGTATCTGAGAAACCACTTTGTTATGTATCCATTCATCCTTTTGCAGATTCTAAAATAACAGTGTTTCCGAACTGCTGAATCCAAAGAAATGTTTAACTCTGTGAGATGAATGCACACATCACAATGCGGTGAGAGGTTCTTTCTAGTTTTCATCCTGGGATATTTGCTTTTTCATCATTGGCCTCAATGAGCTGCCAAATGTTCTTTCATAGAATGGACAGAAATTGGTGTTTTCAAAATACGGTATCCAAAGAAATGTTTAGCTCTGTGACATGAAAGCACACATCAGAAAGCAGTTTCTCAGAAAGCTTCTTTCTACTATTTATATGAAGATATTTACTTTTTCACCATAAGCCTCAATGAGCTCCCATATATCCCTTTGCAGATTCTCCCAAAAAGTGTTTCCAAACTGCTAAATGAAAAGAAACTTTTAACTCTGTAAGATGAATGCACACATCACAAAGTGGATTCTCAGATAGCTTATTCTAGTTTTTATCCTGGGATATTGGCTTTTTCACTTTTGACCCCAATGAGCTCCCAAATATCCATTCGCAGACTCTACAGAAGTGTGTTTCCATACTACTGAATGAGAAGAAAATTTTAAGTATGCGACACAAATGCACACATAACAAGTGGTTTCTGAGATAGTTTCCTTCTAATTTTTATTTTGGGATAGTATTTTTTTTTTCCTTGGCCTCACTTAGCTCACAAATATCCCTTTTCAGATTCTACAAAAACAGTGTTTCCAAACTGCTGAATCCAAAGAATGGTTTAACTCTGTGAGATGAATGCTCACATCACAAAGCAGTTTCTCAGAAAGCTTCTTTCTAGTTTTCAACTAAAGATATTTCCTTTTTCACCACAGGCCTCCAAGAACTCCCATATATCCCTTCACAGATTTCGAAAAACAGTGTTTCCAAACTGCTGAATATAAAACAAGTTTAACTCTGTGAGATGAATGCACACATCACAAATCGGTTTGTCAGATATCTTTCTTCTACATTGTATCCTGGGATATTCACTTTTTTGCCATTGGTTTCAATCAGATCTTAAATGTCCATTCACAGAATGGACAAAAACAGTTTCTCCAAACTGATGAATCAAAAGCAAGTTTTAATACTGTGAGATGAATGCAGATATTGCACAGCAGTTTCTCAGAAAGCTTTTTTCTAGTTTTCATCTAAAGACATTTCCTTTTTCACCATAGGCCTCAATGCGCTCTGAAATATCCCATCCAAGATTCTACCAAAAGTGTTTCCAAACTGCTGAATGAAAAGACAGGTTTAACTCTGAGAGATAAATGCACATATCACAAAGTGGTTTCACATATAATTCCTTCTAGTTTTTATCCTGGGCTTTTCACTTTTTCACCTTTGGCCTCAACGAACTCCCAAATGTCCCTTTGCAGATTCTACAAAAACACTATTTCCAAACTGCTGAATCCAAAGAAAGGTTGAACTCTGTGATATGAATGCACATATCAGAGAGCAGTTTCTCAGAAAAGTTCTTTTTACTTTTAATCTGAAGTTATATTTCCTTTTTCATTATAGGCTCCATTGCGTTTCCAAACATCCCCGCACAGATTCTATGAAAACAGTTTTTCCAAACTGCTGAATGAAAAGAAATGTTTAACTCTGTGAAATGAATGCACTCATTACAAAGTGGTTTCTCAAAGAGTTCTTTCTAGTATTAATCCTGGGATATTACCTTTTTTGCCTTTGACCTCAATGAGCTCCCAATTATCCCTTAGCAGATTCTACCAAAACAGTGTTTCCAAACTGCTGAATAAAAAGAGGTTTTACTGTGAGAGGTGAATGCACACATCACAAAGCAGATTCACAGAATGCTTCTTTCTAGCTTTTATCCTAGGATATTCCGTTTTTTGCCTTGTCCTCAATGAGATCCAATATATTGCTTCACAGATTCTACAAAAACAGTGTTTCCAAGTTGCCAAATCCAAAGAAAGGGTTAACTCTTTGAGAAGAATGTACACATCACAAAGTGGTTTCTCAGATAGCTTCTATCTCCTTTTTATACTGGGATATTCCCTTTTTTTACATTGGCCTCTATAAGTTCCTAAATTTCCATTCACAAAATGGACAAAGGATCATCTCTAACCTGCTGTATCCAAAGAAAGTTTTAACTCTGTGTGATGAATGAACACATCATAAAGCAGTTTCTCAGAATTCTTGTTTCTAGTTTTTTATCTGAAGATATTTCCTTTTTCACCATAGACCTCTATGTGCTGCCAGATATCACCTACTACATTCTACGAAAACAGAGTTTCCAAAATGTTGAATGAATAAAAAAGTTTAATTCTGTGAAGTGAATGCACACATCACAAAGCGGTTTCTCAGATAGTTCCTTCTAATTTTTATCCTTGGATATTGCCTTTTTTTGCCATTGGTCTCTATGAACTCCCCAAAATCCATTCTCAGAAAGTACAAAAACAGTGTTTGCAAATGGCTGAATCCACAGAAAGGCTTAACTCTGTGAGGTGAATGCATATATCCCAAATCAGTTTCTCGGAAAGCTTTCCAGATTAATCTGAAGATATTTCCTTTTTCACCCTAAGCCTCAATGTGCTCCCAGATATACCTTTGCATATTCTATGAAAACAGTGTTTCCAAACTGCTGAATTAGAAGAAAGCTTTAACTATGCAAAATGAATGCAAACATCACAAAGCAGTTTCTCAAAGAGCTTCTTTCTAGTTTTTATCCTGGGATATTTGCATTTTTGCTTTTGGCCTGAATGAGCTCCCAAATGTCCATTTGCAGAAAGGAAAAAAACATTGTTTGCAAACTGCTGAACCCACAGAATGTTTTAAATCTGTGAGAACAATGCACACAACACAAAGCAGTTTCACAGAAAGCTTCTTTAGAGTTTTTATCTGAAGATATTTCCTTTTTCACCACAGGCCTCAATGTGTTCCCAGATAACCCTTTGCAGATTCTATGAAAACGGTGTTTCCAAACAGCTGAATGAAAAGAAAGATGTAACTCTGAGAGTTTAATGCACACATAACAAAGTGCTTTCTGAGAAAGCTTCTTTCTAGTTTTTATCTGAAGGTATTTCCTTTTTCACCATAGGGCTCACTGCACTCCCAAATATCCCTTCATGGATTCTGCCAAAATGGTTTTTCCAGACTGCTGTATGAAAAGAAAGTTGTAACTCTGTGAGATGAATGCACCATTCACAAAGGGGTTTCTCAGGTAGCTTCTTTCTAGTTTTATCCTGGGATATTCACTTTTTCACCATTGGACTCAATGAGCTCCAAAACTTCCATTCGCAGCATCAGCAAAAACAGTGTTTGCAAATGGCTGAATCCAAAGAAAGATTTAACTCTGCAAGTTGAAAGCACAAGTCAAAAATCAATTTCTCAGATAGGATATTTCTAGTTTTTAAAGTCGAATATTCACTTTTTCACAATGGGCCTCAATGAGCTCCCAAATGTCCATTCATAGAATGGACAAAAATAGTGTTTCCAATTGGCTGAATCGACAGAAAGATTCAACTCTGTGAGATGTATGCACATATCACAAGGCAGTTTCTCAGAAAGCTTCTTTCTAGTTTTTATCTGAAGATATTTCGTTTTTCTCCATAGGCCTCAATGTGCTCCCAGATTCCATGAAAACAGTGTTTCCAAACTGCTGAAGGAAAAGCAAGGTTTAACTCTGTGAGGCAAATGCACATATCACACAGCAGTTTCTCAAATAGCTACCTTCTAGTTTTTATCTTGGGATATTGGTTTTTTCACCATTGGCCTCAATGAGCTCCCAACTATCCCATCACAGATTCTACAAAAACACAGTGTCCAAACTGCAAAATCCAAGGAAAGATTTAACTCTAAGAGAAGAATGCACACATGACAAAGCAGTTTCTCAGAAAGGGACTTTCTAATTTTTATCTGAAGATGTTTACTTTTTCATCGTAGGGCTCTATGCACTCCCAGATATCACCTCGATGATTCTATGAAAATAATATTTCCAAACTGCTAACTGAAAAGAAAGGTTTAACTCTGCAAGATGAATCTCCACATCACAAAGTGGTTTCTCAGATAGGATCCTTCTGGTTTTTATCCTGGGATATTGCCTTTTTCACCATTGGCCTCAATGAGCTCCCAAATGTCCATTCACAAAATGGTAAAAACAGTGTTTGCAAAACCCTGAATCCACAGAAAGGTTTAACTCTGTGAGGTAAATGCACACATCACAAATAAGTTTCTCAGAAAACTTCTTTCTAGTTTTTTTCTGAAGATATTTCATTTATCACCATAGGCCTCAATGTGCTCCCAGATATCACTTCGCAGATTCTACAAAAACAGTGTTTCCAAACTGCCGAATGAAAATAAAAGTTTAACTGTGTGAGATTAATGCACACATCACAGAGCAGTTTCTCAAAGAGCTTCCTTCTAGTTTTTATCCTCTGATATTCCCTTTTCAACCAGTGGCCTCAAAGAGCTCCAAAATGTCTATTTGCAGAATGAGCAAAAAAAAGTGTTTTAAAACTGCTGAGTTCACAGACAGGTTTAAATCTGTGAGGAGAATGCACACCTTACTAAGCACTTTCTCAGAAAGCTTCTTTCTACTTTTTAACTGAATATATTTCCTTTTTAACCATAGGCCTCAATGAGCTCCCAGATATAACTTTGCACATTCTACGAAAACAGTGTTTCCAAACTGCTGAATCGAAAGAATCATTTAACTCTGTGAGATGAATGCACACAATGCAAAGTGGTTTTTAAAAGTTTTTATCTTTGGATATTCGATTTTTTTGCCATTGACCTCAATGATCTCATAATGTCCTTTTTAAGAATGGACAAAAACCAGTTTTTACAAGCTGCTGAATCCACAGAAAGGTTTAACACTGTGAGATGAATGCACACATCACAAAGCAGTTTCAGAGAAAGCTTCTTACTAGTTTTTATCTGAAGATATTTCTTTCTTCACCATAGTCTTCAATGCACTTCCAGATATCCCCTTGGAGACACTATGAAAACAGTGTTCCAAACTGCTGAATGAATAGAAAGATTTATCTTTCCGAAATGAATGCTCACATCACAAAGCAGTTTCTCAAATAGCTTCCTTATAGTTTTGATCCTGGGATATTATCTTTATCGCCATTGGCCTCAATGAGCTCTCAAACATCCTTTTGCAGATGCTACAACAACAGTGTTTGCAAACTGCTGAAACCCCAGAAAGGTTTACATCTGTGAGAGTAATGCACACATCACAAATCTGTTTCTCAGAAGCTCCTTTCCAGTTTTTTTTCTGAAGATATTTTCTTTTTCACCATAGGCCTCAATACACTCACAAATATCCCTTTGCATTTTCTGAAAAAACAGTGTTTCTAGACTGCTGAATGAAATGAAGGTTATTTTTGTATTATACTTTAAATTTTAGGGTACATGTGCACAATGTGCAGGTTAGTTACATATGTATACATGTGCAATGCTGGTGTGCTGCACCCATTAACTCATCATTTAGCATTAGGTATATCTCCCAATGCTATCCGTCCCCGCTCGCCCCACCCCACAACAGTTCCCAGATTGTGATGTTCCCCTTCCTGTGTCCATGTGATCTCATTGTTCAATTCCCACCTATGAGTGAGAATTTGCGGTGTTTGGTTTTTTGTCCTTGTGATAGTTTACTGAGAATGATGATTTCCAATTTCATCCATGTCCCTACACAGGACATGAACTCATCATTTTTTATGGCTGCATAGTATTCCATTGTGTATATGTGCCACATTTTCTTAATCCAGTCTATCATTGTTGGACATTTGGGTTGGTTCCAAGTCTTTGCTATTGTGAATAATGCCGCAATAAACATAGTGTGCATGTGTCTTTATAGCAGCATGATTTGTAGTCCTTTGGGTATTTACCTAGTAATGGGATGGCTGGGCCAAATGGTATTTCTAGTTCTAGATCCCTGAGGAATTGCCACACTGACTTCCACAATGGCTGAACTAGTTTACAGTCCCACCAACAGTGTAAAAGTGTTCCTGTTTCTCCACATCCTCTCCAGCAGCTGTTGTTTCCTGACTTTTTAATGATTGCCATTCTAAGTGGTGTGAGATGGTATCTCATTGTGGTTTTGATTTGCATTTCTCTCATGGCCAGTGATGATGAGCATTTTTTCATGTGTCTTTTGGCTGCATAAATGTCTTCTTTTGAGAAGTGTCTGTTCATATCCTTCGCCCACTTTTTGATGGGGTTGTTTGTTTTTTTGTTGTAAATTTGTTTGAGTTCATTATAGATTCTGGATATTAGCCCTTTGTCAGATGAGTAGGTTGCGAAAATTTTCTCCCATTTTGTAGGTTGCCTGTTCACTCTGATGGTAGTTTCTTTTGCTGTGCAGAAGCTCTTTAGTTTAATTAGATCCCATTTGTCAGTTTTGACTTTGGTTGCCATTGCTTTTGGCGTTTTAAACAGAAGTCCTTGCCCATGCCTATGTACTGAATGGTAATGCCTAGGTTTTCTTCCAGGGTTTTTATAGTTTTACGTCTAACGTTTAAGTCTTCAATCCATCTTGCATTAATTTTTGTATAAGGTGTAAGGAAGGGATCCAGTTTCAGCTTTCTACATATGGCTAGCCAGTTTTCCCAGCACCACTGATTAAATAGGGAATCGTTTCCTCATTGCTTGTTTTTCTCAGGTTTGTCGAAGATCAGATAATTGTAGATACGTAGCATTATTTCTGAGGGCTCTGTTCTGTTCCATTGATCTATATCTCTGTTTTGGTACCAGTACCATGCTGTTTTGTTTACTGTAGCCTTGTAGTATAGTTTGAAGTCAGGTAACATGATGCCTCCAGCTTTGTTCTTTTGGCTTAGGATTGATTTGGTGATGCGGGCTCTTTTTTGGCTCCATATGAACTTTAAAGTAGTCTTTTCCAATTCTGTGAAGAAAGTCATTGGTAGCTTGATGGGGATGGCGTTGAATGTATAAATTATCTTGGGTAGTATGGTCATTTTCACGTATTGATTCTTCCTACCCATGAACATGGAATGTTCTCCATTTGTTTGAATCCTCTTTTATTTCCTTGAGCAGTGGTTTGTAGTTCTCCTTGAAGAGGTCCTTCACATCCCTTGTAAGTTGGATTCCTAGGTATTTTATTCTCTTTGAAGCAATTGTGAATGGGAGTTCACTCATGATTTGGCTCTCTGTTTGTCTGTTATTGGTGTATAAGAATGCTTGTGATTTTTGTACATTGATTTTGTATCCTGAGACTTTGCTGAAGTTGCTTATCAGCTTAAGGAGATTTTGGGCTGAGACAATGGGTTTTTCTAGATATATAGTCATGTCATCTGCAAACAGGAACAATTTGGCTTCCTCTTTTCCTAATTGAATACCCTTTATTTCCTTCTCCTGCCTAATTGCCCTGGCCAGAACTTCCAACACTATGTTGAATAGGTCTGGTGAGAGAGGGCATCCCTGTCTTGTGCCAGTTTTCGAAGGGAATGCTTCCAGTTTTTGCCCATTCAGTATAATATTGGCTGCGGTTTTTTTAAAGTATCAACAAAATTGATAGACCACTACTAAGACTAATAAAAAAGAAAAGAGGGAAGAATCAATAGATGCAATACAAAATGATAAAGAGGATATCACCACCGATCTCACAGAAATACAAACTACCATCAGAGAACACTACAAACACCTCTACAAAAATAAACTAGAAAATCTAGGAGGAATGAATAAATTCCTTGACACATACTCCCTCCCAAGACTAAACTGGGAAGAAGTTGAATCTCTGAATAGGCCAATAACAGGCTCTGAAATTGTGGCAATAATCAATAGCTTACCAACCAAAAAGAGTCCAGGACCAGATAGATTAACAGCCGAATTCTACCAGAGGTACAAGGAGGAACTGGTACCATTCCTTTTGAAATTATTCGAATCAACAGAAAAAGAGGGAATCCTCCCTAACTCATTTTATGAGGCCAGCATCATCCTGATACCAAAGCCGGGCAGAGACACAACCAAAAAAGAACATTTTAGACCAATATCTTTGATGAACATTGATGCAAAAATCCTCAATTAAGTACTGGCCAACAGAATCCAGCAGCACATCAAAAAGCTTATCCACCATGAACAAGCGGGCTTCATCCCTGTGATGCAAGGCTGGTTCAATATATGCAAATCAATAAATGTAATCCAGCATATAAACATAACCAAAGACAAAAACCACATGATTATCTCAATAGATGCAGAAAAGGCCTTTGACAAAATTAAACAATGTTTCATGCTAAAAACTCTCAATAAATTAGGTATTGATGGGACATATCTCAAAATAATAACAACTATCTATGAAATGAAGTTTTTAACTCTGTGAGATGAATGCACACATCACAGAGCAGTTTCTCAGATAGCTTCTTGCTGGTGTTTGTCCTGGGATATTCGATGGACAAAAGCAGGGCTTGCAAACTGCAGATCCACAGAAAGCTTTAACTCAGTGAGATGAATGCACACATCACAAAGCAGTTTCTCAGAATGTTTCTTTCAAGTATTTATCTGATGATATTTCCTTTTTGACCACAGGCTTCAATGCGCACTTATAACTTTGCAGATTCTACCAAAACACTGTTTCCATACAGCTGAATGAAAAGAAAGGTTTAACTCTGCGAGTTGAATGCAGACATCCAAAAGTGGTTTCTGAAATAGCTTCCTCTAATTTTTATCCTGAGATACTCGCTTTTTTTGCCATTGGCCTCAATGAGCTCCCAAATGTCCATTCACAGAGCAGTTTCATAGAAAGCTTCTTTCTAGTTTTTATCTTAAGATATTTCCTTTTTTAACATAAGCCTCAATGTGCTCCCAGATATACGTTTGCTGATTCTTTGAAAACAGTGTTTCCAAACTGCTGAATGAAAAGAAAGGTTTAATTCTGTGAGATGAATGCACACATCACAAAGTGGTTTCTGAGATAGCTTCCTTCTAGCTTCTGTCCTGGGATATTTGCTTTTTTGCCGTTGACCTCAAAGAGCTCCCAAACTTCCGTTAGCAGAATGGATAAAAACAGTGTTTGCAAACTGCTGAATCCACAGAAAGTGATTCATCTAACTCTGTGAGATGAATGCACACATCACAAAGCAGTTTCTCAGAAAGCTTCTTTCTAGTTTTTATATGAAGATTTTTTTTTCACCATAGACCTCAATGATCTCTCACATATCCCTTCACAGATTCTACAAAAACAGTGTTTACAAACTGCTGAATCAAAAGAATATCATAACTGTGAGAGATAAATTCACACATCACACAGTGGTTTCTCAGATAGCTTCCTTGTAGTTTTTGTCCTGAGATTTTTGGTTTTTTGCCTTTGGCTTCATTTATCTCCCAAATACCCCTGCTTAGATTTTACAACAGTGTTTCCAAATTGCTGAATCTAAAGAAAGGTTTAACTCTGTGAGATGAATGTGCACATCACAAAGCAGTTTCTCAAAAGTGGCTTTCTACATTTATCCAGAGATATTTCTCTTTCACCTTAGGCCTCAATGCTCTCCCAGTTATCTCTTCACAGATTCTATGAAAACAGTTTTTCCAGATAGCTGAATGAAAAGAAATGTTTATCTCTGCAAGGTGAATGCAAACATCACAAAGCAGTTTTTCAGATAGCTTCCTTCCAGTTTTTTCCTGGGATATTCGCTTTTTCTCCACAGACCTCAAAGAGCTCCCAATGTCCCTTCACAGAATGGACAAAAAGAGTGTTTGCAAACTACTGATTTGACAGACAGATTCAACTCTGTGAGATGAATGCACACATCACAAAGCAGTTTCTCAGAAACCTTATTTCTAGTTTACATCTGAAGATATTTGCTTTCTCACCATAGACCTCAAGGTGCTCCCAGATATACGTTTGCATGTTCAAGGAAAAGAGTGTTTCCACACTCCTGAAGGAAAAGAAAGGCTTAACACTATGAGATGAATGCACACATCACATAGCGATTTCTCAAATAGCTTCCCTCTAGTTTTTACCCTGGGATATTACCTTTTTTGTCGTTGGTCTGATTGAGCTCCAAAATTTCCATTTGCAGAATGGACAATAACAGTGTTTTCAAAATGCTTAATTCTCAGCAACATTGAACTCTCTGAAATATATGCACACATCACAAAGCAGTTTCTCAGAAAGCTTCTTTTAAGTTTTTATCAGAAGATATTTCCTTCTTCAACATAGGCTTTTATGCGCTCCCAGATATCCCTTTGCAGATTCTACAGAAACAGTGTTTCTAAACTGCTGAATGAAAAGAATGGTTTAACACTGTGAGATGAATGCAAACAGCACAAAGTGGATTCTGAGATAGCTTCCTTCTAGTTTTTATCCTGGGATATTCACTTTTTCACCATTGCCCTCAAAGACCTCCCAAATATCCCTTTGCAGATTCTACAACAACAGTCTTTCCAAACTACTGAATCAAAAGAAAGGTTTGGCTGTGTGAGATGAACACAGACATCACAAAGCAGTTTCTCAGAAAGCTTCTTTCTAGTTTTTATCTGAAGCTATTTCCTGTTTCAGGATAGGCCTCTATGCACTCCCAAATACCCCTTCTATGCTCCTACAAACACGGTGTTTCACAAATGCTGAATGAAAAGAAAAGTTTAACTCCACAAGAAGAATGCATGCATCACAAAGCTGTTTATCAAATAACTTCTTTCTACTTTTTGTCCCGGGAAATTCACTTTTTTGCCATTGGCCTCAGTGAGCTCCCAAGTATCCTTTCACAGATTCTAGAACAAGTTTTTGCAAACTGCTGAATGTGCAGAAAGGCTTAACTCTGTGAGAAGAATGCACACATCACAAAGTAGTTTCTACTTTCTAATTTTTATCTGAAGGTGTTTCCTTTTTCACCATAGGCCTCAATATGCTCAAAAATATCCCTTCGTGGATGCCGCCAAAACAGTGTTTCCAGACTGCTGAAAGAAAAGTACGGTTTAACTCTGTGAGATGAATGCACACATCACAAAGTGGTTCTAAAATATCTTCCTTCTAGTTTTTATACTGGGATATTCACTTTTTCACCCTTGACCACAAAAAGCTCCCAAATTTCCAATCACAGAATGGACAAAAACAGTGTTTGCAGATGACTGAATTTACAGAAAGTTTTAACTCTATATGATGAATGCACACATCACAAAGCAGATTCTCTGAAACCTTCTTTATATTTTTCATCTGAAGACATTTCCTTTTTCACCATAAGCCTAAATGCACTCCCAGATATCCCTTCGCAGATTCTACAAAAACATTATTTCCAAACTGCTGAATGAAACAGTGTTTTAACTCTCAGAGATGAATGCACACATCACAAAGCAGTTTCCATATAGCTTCCTTCTGTTTTTTCCTGGGATAATCCATTCTTCCCCTTTCACTTCATTGAACTCCCACATATCCCTTCACAGATCCTACAAAAATGGTGTTTTCAAACTGCTGAATCCCAAGAAAGGTTGAACTCTCTGAAAGGAATGCACGCATCACAAAGCAGTTTTTCAGAAAGCTTCTTTCTAGTTTTTATCTGAAGATATTTCCTTTTACACCATAGGCCACAAGGCTCTCCCAGATATCCCTTCACAGATACTTCAAAAACAGTGTTTCCAAACTGCTGAATGAAAATAAAGGTTTAACTCTGCAGGCTGAATGCACACATCAAAAAGCAGTTTCTCAGATAGCTTCCTTCTGCTTTTTTTCCTGGGATATTCACTTTCTTGCCTTTGGCTTCATTAAATTTCCAACTATCCCTTCACATATTCTACAACAGCAGTGTTTCCAAACTGCTGAATCCAAAGTATTGTTTATCTCTGTGAAATGAATGCATACATCAAAAAGAAATTTCTCAGAAAGCTTATTTCCAGTTTTTATCTGAAGATATTTCCTTTTTCACCATAGGTCAATGCACTCTCAGATATCTCTTCACAGATTCTGCCAAAAAAGTATTTCCAGACTGCTGTATGAAAAAAAAGATTTAACTCTGTGAGGTGAATGCATACATAACAAAGCAGTTTTTCAGATCCCTTCTTTCTACTTTTTATCTGAAGAGATTTACTTTTTCACCATAGGCCTCAATGCACTCCCAGATATTCCATCGCAGATATTTCAAAAACACGGTTACCAAACTGCTGAATGAAAAGAAAGTTTTAACTCTGCAAGAGGAATGAACACATCACAAAGCAGTTTCTCAGAAAGCTTCTTTCTAGTTTGTGTCTGAAGATATTTCCTTTTTCACCCTAGACCTCAATGCACTCCCAGATATCCCTTTGTGGATTCTGCCAAAACTGTGTTTCCTGATTGCTGAATGAAAAGAAAGATTTAACTCTGTGAGATGAATCCAAACATTAAAAAGCAGTTTCTCAATAGCTTCCTTCTAGTTTGTATATGGGGATATTCACTTTTTCACCATTGGCATCAATGAGCTCCCATATATCCCTTCGCAAATTCTACAACAACAGTGTTTCCAAACTGCTGAATCCAAGAAAATGTTTAATTCTGTCAGGCGAATGCATGTATCACAAAGCAGTTTCTCAGAAAGCTTCTTTCTAGTTGTTATCTGAAGATATTTCCCTTTTCATCCTATGCCTCTATGCACTCCTAAATATCCCTTCCCAGAAGCTACCAAAACAGTTTTTGCAGACTGCTGCATGAAAAGAAATGTTTACCTCTGCGAGATGAATGCCCACATCACAAAGTGGCTTCTCAGATACCTTCCTTCTATTTTTTATCCTGGGATATTTGCTTTTTCGTCATTGGCCTCAATGAGTTCCCAAAAGTCCATTCACAGAATGGACAAAACAGTGTTTACAAACTGGTGAATCCACAGAAAGGTTTAACTCTGTGAGTTGAATGCATACATCACAAAGCAGTTTCTCAGAAAGCTTCTTTCTAGTGTTTATCTGAAGATATTTCCTTTTTCACCACAGGTCTCATTGTACTCCCAGATATCTTTTCACAGATTCTATGAAAACAATGTTTCCAAACTGCTGAATGAAAAGAAAGTTTTAACTCTCTCAGATGAATGCACACATCACACAGCGGATTCTCAGGTTGTTTCCTTCTCATTTTTTTTTCCTGGGATATTCACTTTTTCACCATTTACCTTAATGAGTTCCCAAACCTCCTTTCACAGATTCTACAAAACAATGATTCAAACTGCTGAATCCAAAGAAATGTTTCACTCTGTGAGATGAATAGACACATAACAAAGCAGTTTCTCAGAAAGCTTCTTTCTAATTTTTATCTAAAGATATTTCCTTTTTCACCATAGTCCTCAGTGTGCTACCAGATTTCACTTCTCAAATTCTTTGAAAACAGTTTTCCTAAACTGCTGAATGAAAAGAAAGGTTTAACTCTGCGAGATGAATGCACACACTACAAAGCAGTTTCTCAGAAAGCTTCTTTCATGTTTTTACCTGAAGATATTTCTTTTCACCTTAGGCCTCAATGAGCTCCCAAATATCACTTCACAGAATCTGCCAGAAGAGTGTTTCCAGACTGTTGTGTGGAAGGAAAATTTTAACTCTATGAAGTGAATGCACACATCACAAAGCTGTTTCTCAGATAGCTTCTTTCTAGTTTTTATCCTGGGATGTTTGCATTTTGACATTAACCTCAATGACCTCCAAAATGTCCATTTGCAGAATACACAAAAACAGTGTTTGCAAACTGTTGATTCCACAGAAATGTGTAACTCTGAGAGATGAATGTGCATATCAAAAAGCGGTTTCTCAGATAGCTTCCTTCTAGTTTGCTTCCTGGGGTATTCACTTTCTCAACTTTGGCCCCATTAAGCTCCCAAATATCCTTTCATAGTTTCTACAATAACAGTTTCCAAACTGCTGAATCCGAAAAATGATTGAATTCTGTGAGATGACTGCACACATCACAAAGTGGTTTCTCAGATAGCTTTTTTCTAGTTTTTATCTGGTGATATTCACTCTTTAACCACTGGCCTCAATGAGCTCCAAAATGTCCATTCACAGAATGGAGAAAAACTGTGGGTGCAAACTGCTGAATCCAGAGAAAGGTTTAATTCCATTATATGAATGCACACAACACAAAGCAATTTCTCAGATAACTTCTTTCTAGTTTTTACCTGAAGGTATTTCCTTTTTGAATATAGGCCTCAATGTGCTCCCAGATATCCCTTCACAGATAGATTCTAAGAAAGCATTGTTTCCAAACTGCTAAATGTAAAGAAAAGTTTAAGTCTGTGAGATGAATGCACACTTCACAAACCTGTTTCTCAAATATCTTCCTTCTGGTTTTTATCCTGGGATATTTGCTTTTTTGCCATTGACCTCAAAGAGCTCCCAAATGTCCATTCACAGAATGGACAAAAACAGTGTTTCCAAACTGCTGAATGAAAAGAAAAGTTTAACTCTGTGAGGTGAATGCAAACCTCACAAAGCAGTTCCTCAGATATCTTCCTTCTAGTTTTTATCCTGGGATATTCACTTTTTTGCCAATGGCCTCAATTAGCTCTGAAATTTCCATTTGCAGAAGAGACAAAAACAGTGTTGGAAAACTGGTGAATCCACAGAAAGGTTTAACTCTGTGAGCTGAATGCACACATCAGAAAGCAGTTTCTCAGGCAGCTTCTTTCTAGTTTTTATCTGACAATATTTCCTTTTTCACCCTAGTCCTCAGTATGCTCCAAGATATGCCTTCACAGATTATACAAAAACCATGTTTCCATACTACTGAATGAAAAGAACGTTTTATCTATACAAGATGAATGGACACATCATGAAGCAGTTTCTCATATAGCATCCTTCCAGTTTTTATCCTGGGATATTGGTCTTTTCTAGACTGACCTCTATGAGCTCCCAAATATCCCTTCACAGACCCTACAACAGTGTTTCTAAAGTGCTGAATCCAAAGGAAGGTTTAACTCTGTGAGATGAATGCACACATCACAAAGCAGTTTCTCAGAAAGCTTCTTTCTAGTTTTTATCTGAAGATATTTCCTTTTTCACCACAGGCCTCTATGTGCACCCAAATATTAATTCACGGATTCTGCCAAAACATTGTTTCCAGACTACTGAATGAAGAGAAGGTTTTAACTTAATGAAGTGAATGCACATATCACAAAGCATTATCTCAGATAGCTTGCTTCTAGTTTTTATCCTGAGATATTCGTTTTTTCACCATTGGCCCCAATGAGCTCCAAAATGACCACTCGCAGAATCGACAAACACAGTGTTTGCAAAAGACGGAATTCACAGAAAGGTTTAACTCTGTGAGTTGAATGCACACATCACAAAGCAGTTTCTCAGAAGGCTTCTTTCTTGTTTTTATCTGAAGATATTTGATTTTTCACCATGGGCCTAAATGTGTTCCCAGACATCCCTTCATAGATTCTATGAGAACAGTGTTTCCAAACTGCTGAATGAAAAGAAAGTTTTAACTCTGTGAGAAGAATGCACACATAAAAAATTGGTTTCTCAAGTAGCTTCCTTCAAGTTTTTATCCTGGGATGTTCACTTTTTTGCCTTTTGCCTCAATGCACTCCCAAATATCCCTTCCTGGATTCTGCCAAAATAGTGTTTCCAGACTGCTGTATGAAAAGAAACTTTTAAATCTGCGAGGTGAATGCACACATCACAAACCAGTTTCTCAAGTAGCTTACTTCTGTTATTTATCCTGGGATATTTGCTTTTTCACCATTGGCCTCAATGAGCTCCCAAATCTCCATTCACAGAATGGACAAAAACAGTGTGTACCCACTACTCAATCAACAGAAACATTGAATTCTGTGAGAGGAATGCACACATCACAAGCAGTTTCTCAGAAAGCTTCTTTCTAGTTTTTATATGAAGATATTTTCTTTTTCATCATAGGCCTCCAGGTGCTCCCAAATATAACTTCACAGATTCTACAAAAACCGTGTTTACAAACTGCTGAATGAAAATAATATTTTACCTCTGAAAGATGAATGCACATAACGCAAAGTGATTTCTCAGGTAGATTCTTTCTAGTTTTTTCCTGGGATATTTGGATTTTCCCCTTTCACCTCATTAAGCTCCCAAATATCCCTTCACAGATTCTACAACAACAGCGTTTCCAAACTGCTGGGTAAAAAGAAAGGTTTAACTCTGTGAGATGAAGGCACACACTACTAAGTGGT
Organism: Homo sapiens; assembly: GCF_000001405.40. Classification (NCBI taxonomy): domain Eukaryota; kingdom Metazoa; phylum Chordata; class Mammalia; order Primates; family Hominidae; genus Homo; species Homo sapiens. The sequence continues at coordinate 54,885,594 of NC_000011.10, read as the reverse complement.
TTCTCAGATATCTTCCTTCTAGTTTTTATCTGATATTTCCTTTTCCAACCTAGGCCTCCATGCCCTCCCAGATATCACTTCACTGATTCTATCAAAACAGTGTTTCCAAACTACTAAATGAAAAGAAATGTTTAAATCTGCAAGATGAATGCACACATCAAAAGTGATTTCTCAAATAGCTTCCTTCTAGTTTTTATCCTGGGATATTGGCCTTTTCTAGATTGGCCTCTGTGAGCTCCTAAATATCCCTTCACAGACTGTACAACAACAGTGTTTCCAAAATGCTGAATCCAAAGGAAGGTTTAACTCTGTGAGACGAATGCACACATCACAAAGCCACTTCTCATAAATCTTCTGTCTGGTTTTTATCTGAAGACATTTCCTTTTTTACCATAGGCTTAAATGCACTCCCAAATATCCCTTCATGGATTCTGCCAAAAAATGTTTTCAGACTGGTCAATGAAAAGAAAATTTTAACTCTGTGAAGTGATTGCACACTTCACAAAGCAGTTTCTCAGATAGCTTCTTTCTAGTTTTTAATGTGTGATATTCGCTTTTTTTGCCATTGGCCTCAGTGAGCTCCCAAATGCCCATTCTCATTGAATCCAAAGAAAGGTTTAATTCCGTTATATGAATGCACACATCACAAAGCAGTTTCTCAGAGAGCTTCTTTCTAGTTTTTATCTGAAGATATTTCCTTTTTCACCATAGCCCTCTACGAGCTTTAAAATATCCCTTCACTGATTCTACCAAAACAGTGTTTCCAGACTGATGAATGAAAAGGAAGGTTTAGCTCTGCGAATTGATTGCACACATCACAAAGCGGATTCTCAGATAGCTTTCTTCTGTTTTTTTATACTGGTATATTCACTTTTTCACTTTTGGCCTCAATGAGCTCTGAAGTGTACATTCACAGAATAGACACAAACCGTGTTTCCAAACTGCTGAATTCAAGGAAAGTTTTACCTCTGTGAGAAGAATGCACACATCACAAAGCAGTTTTTCAGAAAGCTTATTTATACTTTCTATCTGAATATATTTCCTTTTACAACATAGGCATCAATGCATTCCAAAATATCCCTTTGCAGATTCTTCAAAACAGTGTTTCCAAACTGTTGAATGAAAAGAAAGTTTTAACTCTATGAGGTGAATGCACACATCACAGAGTGGTTTCTCAGATAGCTTCCTTCTAGTTTTTATCCTGGCATATTTGCTTTTTCACCATGGGCCTCAATGATCTCCAAAATGTCCATTTTCAGAATGGACAAAAACAGTGTTTCCACATTACTGAATCCACAGAAAAGTTGAACTCTGTGAAATGCATGTACACATCACACAGCAGTTTCTCAGAAAGCTTCTTTGTAGTTTTTATCGGATATTATTTCATTTTTCACCATAGGCCTCTATGCCCTCTCAGATATCCCTTCACAGATTCTACGAAAACAGTATCACCAAACTGCTGAATGAAAAGAAAAGTTTAACTGCGAGTTGAATGCACACTTCACACAGTGGTATCTCAAATAGCTTCTTTCTAATTTTTATCCTGGGAAATTCATTTTTTTGCCTTTGACCTAAACGAACTCCCAAATGTCCATTTGCAGAATGGACAAAAACAGTGTTTGCAAACTGCTGAATCCACAGAAAGGTTGAACTCTGTGATATGAATGGACACATCTCAAAGCAGTTTCTTAGAAAGCTTCATTTTAGTTTTTATCCGAAGTTATTTTCTTTTTAAGGATAGGCCTCTAGGTTCTCCCAAATATAACTTCACAGAATCTACAAAAACAGTGTTTCCAAACTGCTGAATGAAAAGAATGTTTTAACTCTGAGAGAAGAATGCACACATCAAATATCGGATTTGTAGATAGCTTCCTTCTAGTTTTTTTCCCGAGATATTCAGTTTTTCCCATTTGGCCTCATTAAGCTCCCAAATATTCCTTCACAGATTCTACAACAACAGTGTTTCCAAACTGCTGAATCCGAAGAAAGGTTTAACTCTATGAGAAGAATGCACACATCACAAAGCAGTTTCTCAAAAAGCTTATTTTTAGTTTTTATCTGAAAATATTTCCTTTTGTACCGTAGGCCTCAATGCACTCCAAGGTATCCCTTAGTGGATTCTATGAAACAGTGTTTCCAAACTGCTGAATGAAAACAGAGGTTTTACTCTGTGAGATGAATGCACCATCACAAAGCAGTTTTGCAAATAACTTTCTTCTAGTTTTTATCCTGGGATAAATTATTGCCATTGGCCTCAAAGAACTCTCAAATGTCCATTTGCATAATGGGCAAAGACAGTGTTTGCAAACTGCTTAAACCACAGAAAAGTTGAACTCTGTGAGATGAATGCACTCATCACAAAGCAGTTTCTCAAAAAGTTTCTTTCCAGTTTTTATTTGAAAATATTTCCTTTTTCACCATAGGCCTCAATGAGCTCACAAAGATCTCTTCACGGATTCTAACAAAACAGTGTTTCCAGACTGTTGTATGAAAAGAAAGTTTTAACTCAGTGACGTGAATGCACTCATCACAAAGCTGTTTCTCAGATAGCTTCCGTCTAGTTTTTATACTGGGATATTCTCTTTTTCACCATTGACCTCAATGAGCTCCAAAATGTTCATTCACAGAATGGTCAAAAGCCGTGTTTGCAAATTGCTGAATCCACAGAAAGGTTTAACTCTGTGGGATGAATGCGCACATCAAAAAGCATTTTCTCAGCATGTCTCTTTCTAGTTTTTATCTGAATATACTTCCTTTTTCACTGCAGGCCTCAATGTGTCCCCAAATGTCCCTTCGTGGATACTGCCAAAACAGTGTTTCCAGACCGCTGGATGAAAAGAAAGTTTTAAATCTGGGAGATGATGGCACACATCACAAAGCTGTTTCTCAAATAACTTCTATCTAGTTTTTATCCTGGGATATTTGCTTTTTTGCCTTTGGCCATAATGAGCTCCAAAATGTCCATTAGCAGAATGGACAAAAACAGTGCATGAAAACTGTTGATTCCACAAAAAGGTTTAACTCTGTGAGGTGAATGCAAACCTCACTGAGCAGTTTCTCAAAAAGCTTCTTTCTGTTTTTTTTTTCTGAAGATTTTTTTTTTTTACCATAGGCCTCAAGGAGCTCCCAAATATCCCTTTGCAGATTCTGCTGAAACAGTGTTTCCAGAATGCTGAAGGAAAAGAAAGTTTTAATTCTGGGAGGTGAATGCACACCTCACAATTGTGTTTCTCATATAGCTTCCTTCTAATTTTTACCCTGGGATATTCGTTTTTTTGCCATTGGCCTCAAAGAGCTCCCAAATATCCCTTCGCAGATTCTACAACAACAGTGTTTCCAAACTGCCGACTCCAAAGAAATGATTACGTCTGTGAGATGAATGCACACATCACAAAGCTGTTTCTCAGAAAGCTTCTTTCTAGTTTTTATCAGAAGATATTTTCTTTTTCACCAAAAGCCTCAAGGCACTCCCAAATATCCTTTCATGGATTCAGCCAAAACAGTGTTTTCAGACTACTGAATAAAAAGGAAAGTTTATCTCTGCGATTTGAATGCACACACCACAAAGCAGTTTCTCAGATAGCTTCCTTCTAGCTTTTATCCTGCGATATTCGCTTTTTCACCATTGTCCTCAATTAGTTCTGAACTGTTCATTCACATAATGGACAAAAACAGTGTTACCAAACTGCTGTATCCAAAGAAAGTGTAACTCTGTGAGATGAATGTACACATCTAAAAGCAGTTTCACATTAAGCTTCTTTCTAGTTTTTATCTGAAAATGTTTCATTTTACACCATAGGCTTCAATGCACCAAGAAATATATCTGCAAAAGGATATTTAGGATCTCATTGATGCCAATTTTGAAAAAGAGATTATCCCAGGATAAAAACTAGAAGGAAGTTATCTGAGAAAGCGATTTGTGATATGTGCATTCATCTCCCAGGGTTAAACCTTTCTTTTCATTCAGCAGTTTGGAAACACTGTTTTCTTAGAATCTGCAAAGTGATATTTGGTAATACACTGAGGACTATGGGGATTAGGATATATCTTCAAATAGCAACTAGAAAGATCCTTAATGAGAAACTGCTTTGGGATGTGTGCATGCGTCTCACAGAATTAAACCTTTGTTTGGATTCAGCAGTTTGGAAACACTGTTTTTGTCCATTTCGTGAATGAACATTTGGGAGCTCATAGAGGCCAATGGCAAAAAGGTGAGTATCCCAGGATAAAAACTGGAACTTTTCTCTGACAGGAAGGAACACATTTCTGATGTGTGCATTCATCTTACAGTTAAAACTTTCTTTTCATTCAGCAGATTGCAAACACTCTTTTCTTATAATCTGTGACAAGATATTTGGAAGAGTATGGAGGCCTATGCTGGAAAAGGAAATATCTTCAGATAAAAACTAGAAAGAATCTTCATTAGAAACAGGTTTGGGATGTGTGCATTCATCTCACAGAGTTAAACATTTCTTTGGAGTCAGCAGTTTGATAACACAGCTTTTGACAATTCTGTGAATGGACATTTGGGAGCTCAATGAGGCCAATGGCAAAAAGGGGAATATCCCAGGATAAAAACTGAAGGAAGCTCTCTAAGAAACCACTTTTTGATGTGTGCATTCATCTGGCATAGTTAAACCCTTCTTTTCATTCAGCAGTTGGGAAACAATGTTTTTGTAGTAACTATTAAAGGATATTTGGCAGTGCATTGAGGCCTATGGTGAAAAAGGAAATATCTTCAGATAAAACTAGAAAGAAGCTTAATGAGAAACTGGTTTTGGATGTGTGCATTCATCTCAGAGAGTTAAACCTTTCTTTGGATTCAGCAGTTTGGTAACACTGTTTTTGTCAATTTGGAGAAAGGACATTTGGGAGCTTAAAGGCCAATGGTGAAAAAACGAGTATCCCAAGATAAAAACTAGGAGGAAGCTATCCGAGAAAGCACTTTGTGATGTGTACCTTCATCTAGCAGAGTTAAACCTTTCTTTTTGTTCAGCAGTGTGGAAACACTGTTTATGCATAAACTTTGAAAGGATATTTGGCAGTGCATGGAGGCCTACAGTGAAAATGGAAATATGTTTAGATAATATCTAGAAAGAAGCTTTCTGAGAATCTGCTTTGTGACATGTTCATTCATCTCACATGGTTAAACCTTCCTTTGGTTTCAGCAGTTTGGAAACACTGATTTCTTAGAATCTGCAAAGAGATATTTCATAGAGACTGAGGGCTATGGTGAAAAGGAAATATCTTCAGATAAAAACTGGAAAGAAGCTTAATGAGAAACTGGTTTGGGATGTGTGCATTCACAACACAGAGTTAAAATTTTATTTTTATTCAGCAGTTTGGAAACTGTTTTCTTAGCATCTGTGAAAACATATTTGGTAGCGCATTGAGGGCTATGGTGAATCGGCAATATCTTCAGTTAAAAACTAAAAAGAAGCTTTATAAGAAACTGATTTCTGATGTGTTCTTTCATCTCACAGAGTTAAACCTTTCTTCGAATTCAGCAGTTTTAGAACACTGTTTTTGTGCATTCTGCAAATGGACAATTGGGAGCTCATTGAGGCCAAAGATGAAAAAGCTAATATCCCAGGATAAAAACTAGAAGGAAGCTGTCTGAGAAACTGATTTGTGATGTGTGCATTCATCTCGCAGAGTTAAACTTTTCTTTTCATTCAGCAGTTTGGAAATACTCTTTTTGTAGAAACTGCAAAATGATATTTGTCAGTGCAATGAGGCCTATGGTGAAAAAGGAAATATCTTCAGATAAAACCTAGCAAGAAGCTTTCTGAGAAACTACTTTGTGATGTGTTCATTCATCTCACAGAGTTAAACCTTTCTTTTGATACAGCAGTTTGGGAACACTGTTTTTGTCTATTCTGGGAATGGACATTTGGGAGCTCATTGAGGCCAATGGCAAAAAAGCGAATATCCTAAGATAAAAAGTAGAAGTAAGTTATCTGAGAATACGATTAGTGATGTGTGCATTCTTCTCACAGAGTTAAAACTTTCTTTTCATTCTGCAGTTTGGAAACACTGTTTGCCTAGCATCTGCGAAGAGATATTTGGTAGCCCATTGAGGCCTATGGTGAAAAAGGAAATATCTTCAGATAAAAACTAGAAAGAAGCTTAATTAGAAATTGCTTTGGGATGTGTGCATTTATCTCACAGAGTTAAACCTTTCTTTGGATTCTGCACTTTGGCGACACTGTTTTTGTCCATTCTGCAAATGTACATTAGGGAGCTCATTGAGGCCAATGGCGAAAAAGCAAATATCCCAGGATAAAAAGTAGAAGGAAGCTATCTTAGAAACTGCTTTGTGATATGTGAATTCATCTCTGAGAGTTAAAGCATCCTTTACTTCAACAGTTTGGGAACATTGTTTTTGTAGAATCTTTGAAGGTATATTTTGGAGAGCACATTGGACTATGGTGAAAAAGGATATATCTTCAGATAAAACCTACAAAGAATCTTTCTGATAAACTGCTTTGTGATGTGTGCATTCATCTAAAGGAGTTCAACATTTCAGTGGATTAAGCAGTTTGCAAACAATGTTTCTGTGCACTCAGAAATTGAACATTTTAAGCTCATCGAGGCCAATGGCAAAAAGCATATATCCCAGGATGAAACTAGAGGGAAGCTATTTGAGAAACTGCTTTGTGATTTGTGCATTCGTCTCATAGAGTTAAAATTTTATTTTCTTTCAGGACTTTGGAAACAGTGTTTTTGTAGATTCTGCAGAGGGATATCTGGGAGCACATGGAGGCCTACAGTTAAAAAGGAAATATTTTCAGATAAAAAATAGAAAGAAGCTTTCTGAGAAATTGAATTTTGATGTGTATTCATCTCACAGAGTTCAAACTTTCTGTGGGTTCAGTAGGTTGCATTCACTGCTTTTGTCTGTTCTGTGAATGGACATTTGAGAGTTATTTCAGATCAAAGGCAAAAAAAGCGAATATCCCAGAATAAAATCTAGAGGGAAGCTACTTAAGAAACTGCTTTGTGATGTGTGCATTCATCTCACACAGATAAAACTTTCTTTTCATTCGGCAGTCCAGAAACACTGTTTTGACAGAATCTGTGAAGGAATATTTAGGTGCGCAATGAGGCCTATGGTGAAAAGGAAATATCTTCAGATAACAAATAGAAAGAAGCTCTCTGAGAAACTGCATTGTGATGTGTGCATTAATCTCACAGAGTTAAACCTTTCTTTGTATTCAGCAGTTTGAAAACATTGTTGTTGTAGAATCTGCAAAGGGATATTTGGGAGCTAATTGAGGCCAATGGTGAAAAATCAAATATCCCAGGAAAAAAACTAGAAGAAATCAATCTGAGAAACTGCTTTGTGATGTGTGCATTCATCTAGCAGAGTTAAACCTTTCTTTTCATTCAGCAGTTTGGAAACACTGTTTTAGTAGAATCTGCGAAGGGATATCTGGGAGTGCATTGAGGCCAATGATGAAAAAGGAAATATCTTCAGATAAAAACTAGAAAGAATGTTTCTGAGAAACTACTTTGTGATGTGTGCCTTCATCTCACAGAGTTAAACCTTTCTTTCCATTCAGCAGTTTGAAAACACCGGTGTTTTAAAATCTGCAAAGGAAAATTTGGAAGCTTAATGGGGCCAAAGGAGAGAAATGGACTATCCCAGAGTAAAAACTAGAAGGAAGATATTTGAGAAATCGCTTGGTGATGTGAACATTCTTCTATCAGAATTGAAACATTCTTTTCATTCACCAGTTTGGTAACGTTGCTTTTCTTCAATCTGCAAAGGTATATATTGGAGTACATAGAGGCCTACAGTGAAAAAAGGAGATATCTTCAGATAAAAACTACAAAGAATCTTTCTGAGAAACTGCTTTGTGATCTGTGCATTCATCTCACAGAGTTCAACTTTTCTATGGATTAAGCAGTTTGCAAAAACTGTTTTTGTCCATTCTAAAAATGGATATTTTGAAGTTCATTGAAGCCAATGGCAAAAACGCAAATATCCCAGGATAAAAACTAGAGGGAAGCTATTTGAGAAGCCGCTTTGTGATATGTGCATTCATCTCTCAGAGTTAAACCTTTCTTTTCATTCAGGACTTTTGAAACACTTTTTTTTGAAGAATCTGAAAAGGAATATCTGGGAGTGTTTTGAGGCCTATGGTGAAAAAAAAATCTTCGGATAAAAAACTGAAAGACACTTTCTGAGAAACTGCATTGTGTTGTGTCCATTTATCTCACAGGGTTCAAATTTTCTGTGATTCAGTAGTTTGCAAACACTTTTTTTGTCCGTTCTGTGAATGGACATTTGGGAATTATTTCAGATCAATGGGGAAAAAGTGAATATCCCATGATAAATTCTAGAAGGGAGTTATTTGAGAAACTGCTTTGTGATGTGTGCATTGATCTCACAGAGATAAAATTTTCTTTAAATTCAGCAGTCTGGAAAGAGTATTTTGGCAGAATGGATGAAGGGATATTTGGGAGCTCCTTCTGGCCTATGGTGAAAAATGACATATCTTCAGATAAAAACAAGAAAGTAGCTTTCAGAGAAACTGCTTTGTTATGTGGGCATTCATCTCACAGAGTTAAACCTTTCTTTTCTTTTTTTCTTTTCCTTTTTGATTATGCTTTATGTTTTAGGGCACATGGGCACAAGGTGCAGGTTTGTCACATATGTATACATGTGCCCTGTTGGTGTGCTGCACCCATTAACTCTTCATTTAACATTAGGTATATCTCCTAATGCTATCCCTCCCCCCTCCACAACCATAGGTGGGAATTGAACAACGAGAACACATGGAAACAGGAAGGGGAACATAAACCTTTCTTTTCATTCAGCAGTTTGGAGACACTGTTTTTGTAGAATCTGTGAAGAGATATCTGGGAGCAAATTGAGGTCTATGGTGAAAAAGGAAACGTCTTCACATAAACACTAGATGGAAGCTTTCTGAGAAACTGCTTTGTGATTTGTACATTCAACTCACAGAGTTAAACCTTTCTGTGGATTCAGCAGTTAGTAAACACTGTTTGGTCCATTCTGCGAATGGATATTTGGGAGCTCATTGAGGTCAATGGCAAAAAAAGCGAATATCCCAAGATAAAAACTAGAAGGAAGCTATATGAGAAACCGCTTTCTGATGTATGTGTTCATCTCACAGAGCTAAACCTCGCTTTTATTGAGCCGTTTGGAAACACTGTATGCATAGAATCTGAAAGGGATAACTGGGAGTACCTTAAGGCCTATGGTGAAAAAGGAAATAGCTTCAGAAAAAAACTAGAAAGAAGCTTTCTCAGAAACTGCTTTGTGCTGTGTCCATTCATCTCACAGATTTAAACCTTTCTTTGGATTCAACAATTTGGAATCACTGTTGTTGTAGAATGTGCAAAAGGACATTTGGGAGCTCATTTAGGCCAATGGTGACAAAGAGAACATCCCAGGATAAAAACTGGAAGAAAGCTATTTGAGAAACCACATTGTGATGTGTGCATCCATCTCGCAGAGTTAAATCTTTCTTTTCATTCAGCAGTTTGAAAACAGTGTTTTTGTAGAATCTGTGAAGGGATGTCTGGGAGTGCATTGAGGCCTAAGGTGAAAAAGGAAATATCTTCAGAAAAAAAACTAGAAACAATATTTCTGAGAAACTTCTTTGTGATGTGTATTTTCACCTCATGGAATTAAAACTTTCTGTGGATTCAGCCACTTGCAAACACTGTTTTTGTCCATTCTGCAAATTGACATTTGGTAGCTCATTGAGGCTAATGGCAAAAAAGCGAATATCCCAGGATAAAAACTAAAAGGAAGCTGACTGAGAAACCGCTTTGTGATGTGTGCATTCACCTCCCAGAGTCAAACCTTTCTTTTCGTTCAGTAGTCTGGTTACAGTATTTTGGTAGAATTGGCAAAGGGACATCTAGGAGTGCATAGAGGCCTAGGGTAAAAAAGGAATATCTTCAGACAAAAACTAGAAAGATGCTTCCTGAGAAACTACGTTGTGATGTGGGCATTCGTCTCACAGAGTTAAACCTTTCTTTGGTTTCAGCAGTTTGAAAACACGTTTTTGTAGAATCTATGAAGGGATATTTGGGAGCTCATTGATGCCAATGGCGATAAAGCAAATATCTCATGATAAAAACTTGAAGGAAGCTATCTAAGATACTGCTTTGTGATCTGAGCATTCAGCTGGAAGAGTTAAAACTTTCTTTTCATTCAGCAATCTGGAAACACTGTTTTGGCAGACTCAATGAAGAGATATTTGGGAGTGCATTGAGGCCTACAGTGAAAAAAAAATTTCCAGAAAAAAAACTAGAAAGAAGCTTTCTGAGAAACAGCTTTGGGATGTGTACATTCACCTCACAGAGTTAAAACTTTTTTGTATTCAGCAATTTGGAAACAGGCTTGTTGTAGAATCTGAGAATAGATGTATGGGAGCTTAATGAGGCCAAACGGGAAAACAGAATATCCCAATATAAAAACTAGAAGAAAGCTATCTGAAAAACCGTTTTGTGATGTGTGCATTTAGGTCTCAGAGTTAACACATTCTTATCATTCAGCAGTTTGGAAACATTGTTTCTGTAGAATCTGCAAAGGTATAGTTTTGAGTGCCTAGAGGCCTATTGTGAAAAAGGAAATAACTTCAGATAAAAGCTAGAAAGAAGCTTTCTGATAAATTGCTTTGTGATGTGTGCATTCATCTCACAGAGTTCAAACTTTCTATGGATTAATCAGTTTTCAAATAATGTTTTTGTCCATTCTGAAAATGGACATTTTGAAGCTCATTGAGGCCAATGGCAAAAAAGCAAATTACCCAGGATAAAAACTAGAGGGAAGATGTTTGAGAAAAAGCTTTGTGATGTGTGCATTCATCTCGCAGAGTTAAACTTTTCTTTTCTTTCAGGAATTTGGAAACACTGTTTTCATAAAATCTGCAAAGGGATGTCTGGGAGTGCATTGAGGTCTATGGTAAAAAAGGAAATATCTTCAGATTAAAAACTAGAAAGAAGCTTTCTGAGAAACTGCTTTGTGATTTGTGCATTCATCTCACGGTGTTAAAGTTTTCTGTGGATTCAGCAGATTGCAAACACTGTTTTTGTCCATTCTGTGAATGGACATTGGGGAACTCATTGAGTCCAATGGCTAAAAAGTGAATATCCCCAGATAAAAACTAGAAGAAAGCTATTTGAGAAACCACTTTGTGATGGGTGCATTCACCTCATAGGGATAAAAAGTTCTTTTCTTTCAGCACTCTGGAAACACTGTTTTGGTAGAATCTGTGAAGTTATATTTGTGAGCTCATTGAGGCCTATGTTGAAAAAGGAAATATGTTCTGATAAAAATTAGAAAGAAGCTTTCTCAGAAACTGCTTTGTGATGTCTGCATTCATCCCATAAACTTAAACCTGCCTTCGGATTCAGCAGTTTGAAACCACTGTTGTTTTAGAACCTGCGAAGGTGTATTCTGGAGCTCATTTAGGCCAATGGCAAAAAAAAGCGAATATCCTAGGAAAAAAAATAGAAGGAAGCAATCTGAAAAAACGCTTTGTGATGCGTGCATTCATTTCACAGAGATAAACATTTCTTTTCATTCAGCAGGTTGGAAACACTGTTATCGTAGAATCTGTGAAATGATATCTTGGAATGCTTTGAGGCCTATGGTGAAAAAGGAAATATCTTCCCATAAAAATTAGAAAGAAGCTTTCTAAGAAACTGCTTTGTGATGTTTGCATTCACCTCACAGAGTTAAACATTTATGTGGATTCAGCAGTTTCCAAACAGTGTTTTTGTCTTTTGTGCAAACGGACATTTGGAAGCTCTTTGAGGTCAATGGTGAAAAACCGAATATCCCTGGATATAAACTGGAAGGAAGCTATCTGAGAACCCTCTTTGTGATGTGTACATTCACATCACAGAGATAAACCTTTCTTTTCATTCAGCAATCTGTAAACATTGTTTTTGCAGAATCCGCAAAGGGATATTTGGGAGTGCATTTAGGCCTATGGTGAAAAAGAACATATCTTATCAGCTTAAGGAGATTTTGGGCTGAGACAATGGGGTTTTCTAGATATACAATCATGTCATCTGCAAACAAGGAAAATTTGATGTCCTCTTTTCCTAATTGAATACCCTTTATTTCCTTCTCCTGCCTAATTGCCCTGGCCAGAACTTCCAACACTATGTTGAATAGGAGTGGGGAGAGAGGGCATCCCTGTCTTGTGCCAGTTTTCAAAGGGAATACTTCCAGTTTTTGCCCATTCAGTATGATATTGGCTGTGGGTTTGTCATAGATAGCTCTTATTATTTTGAGATATGTCCCATCAATACCTAATTTATTGAGAGTTTTTAGCATGAAAGGTTCTGGAATTTTGTCAAAGGACTTTTCTGCATCTATTGAGATAATCATGTGGTTTTTGTCTTTGGTTCTGTTTATATGCTGGATTACATTTATTGATTTGTGTATATTGAACCAGCCTTGCATCCAAGGGATGAAGCCCACCTGATCATGGTGGATAAGCTTTTTGATGTGCTGCTGGATTCTGTTTGCCAGTATTTTATTGAGGATTTTTGCATCAATGTTCATCAAGGATATTGGTCTAAAATGTTCTTTTTTGGTTGTGTCTCTGCCCGGCTTTGGTATCAGGATGATGCTGGCCTCATAAAATGAGTTAGGGAGGATTCCCTCTTTTTCTATTGATTGGAATAATTTCAAAAGGAATGGTACCAGTTCCTCCTTGTACCTCTGGTAGAATTGGGCTATGAATCCATCTGGTCTTGGACTCTTTTTGTTGGTAAGCTATTGATTATTGCCACAATTTCAGAGCCTGTTATTGGACTATTCAGAGATTTACCTTCCTCCTGGTTTAGTCTTGGAAGGGTGTATGTGTCAAGGATTTTAACCAGTTCTTCTAGATTTTCTAGTTTATTTGCATAGAGGTGTTTGTAGTATTCTCTGATGGTAGTTTGTATTTCTGTGGGATCAGTCGTGATATCCCTTTTCTCATTTTTTATTGCAATGTCTCAGGATACAAAATCAACGTACAAAATCACAAGCATTTTTATACACCAATAACAGAAAAACTGAGAGCCAAATCGTGAGTGAATTCCCATTCACAATTGCTTCAAAGAGAATAAAATACCTAGGAATCCAACTTACAAGGGATGTGAAGGACCTCTTCAAGGAGAACTACAAACCACTGCTCAATGAAATAAAAGAGGATACAAACAAATGGAAGAACATTCCTTGCTCATGGATAGGGAGAATCAATATCATGAAAATGGCCATACTGCCCCAGGTAATTTATAGATTCAATGCCATCCCCATCAAGCTACCAATGACTTTCTTCACAGAATTGGAAAAAACTACTTTAAAGTTCATATGGAACCAAAAAAGTGCCTGCATCACCATGTCAATCCTAAGCCAAGAGAACAAAGTCGGAGGCATCACGCTACCTGACTTCAAACTATACTACAATAACCAAAACAGCATGATACTGGTACCTAAATGGAGATATAGATCAATGGAACAGAATACAGCCCTCAGAAATAGCACCACATATCTACAACTATCTGATCTTTGACAAACCTGAGAAAAACAGGAAATGGGGAAAGGATTCCCTATTTAATAAATGGTGCTGGGAAAACTGGCTAGTCATATGTAGAAAGCTGAAACTGGTTCACTTCCTTACACCTTATGCAAAAATTAATTCAAGGTGGATCAAAGACTTAAATGTTAAAACTATAAAAACCTTAGAAGGAAACCTAAGCATTACCATTCAGGACATAGGCATGGGCAAGGACTTCATGTCTAAAACACCAAAAGCAATGGCAACAAAAGTCAAAATTGACAAATGGGATCTAATTAAACTAAAGAGCTTCTGCACAGCAAAAGTATCTACCATCGGAGTGAACAGGCAACCTACAAAATGGGAGAAAATTTTCACAACCTACTCATCTGACAAAGGGCTAATATCCAGAATCTACAATGAACTCATACAAATTTACAAGAAAAAAACAAACAAACTGATCAAAAAGTGGGCGAAGGACATGAACAGACATTTCTCAAAAGAAGACATTTCTGCAACCAAAAACACATGAAAAAATGCTCACCATCACTAGACATCAGAGAAATGCAAATCAAAACCACAATGAGATACCATCTCACACCAGTTAGAATGGCAATCATTAAAAAGTCAGGAAACAACAGGTGCTGGAGAGGATGTGGAGAAATAGGAACACTTTTACACTGTTGGTGGGACTGAAAACTAGTTCAACCATTGTGGAAGTCAGTGTGGCGAATCCTCAGGGATCTAGAACTAGAAATACCATTTGACGCAGCCATCCCATTACTGGGTATATACCCAAAAGATTATAAATCATTCTGCTATAAAGACACATGCACACGTATGTTTATTGTGGCACAATTCACAATAGCAAAGACTTGGAATCAACACAAATGTCCAACAATGATAGGCTGGATTAAGAAAATGTGGCACATATACACCATGGAATACTATGCAGCCATAAAAAAAGATGAGTTCATGTCCTTTGTAGGGACATGGATGACATTGGAAATCATTCTCAGTAAACTATCGCAAGGACAAAAACCAAACACCGCATGTTCTCACTCACAGGTGGGAATTGAATAATGAGAACACATGGACACAGGAAGGGGAACATCACACTCTGGGGAATATTGTGGGGTGGGGGGACGGGGGAGAGATAGCATTAGGAGATTTACCTAATGCTAAATGACGAGTTAATGGATACAGCACACCAGCATTGCACATGTATACATATTTAACTAACCTGTACATTGTGTACATGTACCCTAAAACTTAAAGTATAATAGTAATAAAAGAAAAGAAAAGAAAAAAACATATCTTCAGATAAAAACTAAGAAGCTTTCTGAGAAGATGCTTTGTGATCTGTCCATTCATCTTGCAAAGTTAAACCTTTCTTTGGATTCAGTAATTTGGAAACTCTGTTTCCATAGAATCTGCAAAGTTATATCTGGGAGCACTTTGAGGCCTATGGCAAAAAAGGAAATATCTTCAGATTAAAACTAGAAAGAAGCTGTCTGAGAAACTGCTTGGTGAGATGTGCATTCATTTCCCATAGTTAAACCTTTGTGTGGATTCAGCAGTTTTCAAATACTGTTTTTGTCCATTCTGCAAATGGACATTTGGGAGCTCATTGAGAACAATGGCGAAAAAGCTTATATCCCAGGATAAAAACTAGAAGGAGGCTATCTGAGAAACTGCTTTCTGAGGTGTGCATTCACCTTGCAGAGTTAAAACCTTTTTTTCTTTCAGCAGTATGGAAACACTCTTTTGACAGAATCCAAGAAGTTATATTTGGGAGCGCATTGAGGCCTACTGTGAAAAAGGAAATATTTTCAGCTAAAAACTAGAAAACTTTCTGTGAAACTGCTTTGTGATGTGTGCATTCATTTCTCACAGGTAAACCTTTCTTTGAATTCAGGATTTTGGAAAAACTGTTGTTGCAGACTCTGCAAATTGATATTTGGGAGCTCATTGAGGCCAATGGCAGAAAAGTGAACATCCCAGGATAAAAACTAGAAGGAAGCTATCTGAGAAACCACTTTGTGATGTATGCACTCATCTCGCAGAATTAAAACTTTCTTTTCATTCAGTAGTTTGGAAACACTGTTTTTGTAGAATTTTTGAAGTGATGTCTGGGAGCACATTGAGGCATACGGTTAAAAAGAAATATCTTCAGATAAAAACTAGAAAGAAGCTTTCTGAGAAACTGCTCTGTGATGCGTGCACTCATCTCACAGAGTTCACTTTTCTTTGGATTCGACAGTTTGCAAACACTGCTTTTGTCCATTCTGTGAATGGACATATAGGAGCTCATTTAGTCCAAAGGCAAAAAAGCGAATATCCCTGGATAAAAACTACAAAGAAGCTATCTGAGAAAAAGCTTTGTGATGTCTGCATTCACCTCACAGAATTAATACTTTCTTTTCATACAGCAGTGTGGAATACTATATTGGCAGAATCCACGAAGGGATGTTTGGGAGCACATTGAGGCCTATGGTGAAAAAGGAAATACTTTCAGGTAAAAACTAGAAAGAAGCTTCCTGAGAAACTTCTTTGTGATGTGTGCATTCATCTCACCAAGTTAATCCTTTCTTTGATTCAGTAGTTTGGAAACACTGTTCTTGAATTGTCTGCAAAGGGATATTTGGAGCTTAATGAAACCAAAGGCAAGAAAGTGTATGTCCCAGGAAAAGAACTAGAAGGACACTATCTGAGAAACCGCTTTGTGATGTGTGCATTCATCTCTCAGAGTTAAACATTTCTTTTCATTCAGCAGTTTGGAAACACTGTTTTTCTGCAAAGTCAGATTTGGGAGCACATTGAGGCCTATGGTAAAAAAGGAAATATCTTCAGATAAAAGCAAGAAATGGGCTTTCTGAGAAAGCTGCTTTGTGATGTGTCCATTCATCTCACAGAATTAAACCTTTCTTTTCATTCAGCAGTTTGGAAACACTGTCTTCATAGAATCTGTGAAGTGATATCTGGGAGTGCATTGAGGCCTATGGTGCAAAAGGAAATAACTTCAGATAAAAACTACAAAGAAGCTTTCTCAGAAACTGCTTTGAGATGTGTGCATTCACCTTACAGAGTTGAACCTTTCTTTGGATACAGCAGTTTGGAAACACTATTGTTGTAGAATCTGTGAAGAGATATTTGGGAGCTCATTGAAGCCCATGATGAAAAAGCGAACATCTCAGGATAAAAACTAGAAGGAAGCTATTTTTGAAACCGTTTTGTGATGTGTGTATTCAACTCGTAGAGGTAAACCTTTCTTTTCATTCAGCAGTTTGCAAACACTGTTTTGGTGGAATCTGTGATAGGATATCTGGGAGTACATTGAGGCCTACAGTGAAAAAGGAAATATCTTAAGATAGAAACTAGAAAGAAGTTTTCTGAGAAACTGCTTTGTGATGTGTGCATTCCTCTCACAGAGTTAAAACTTTCTGTGGATTCAGCAGTTTGCAAACACTGTTTTTGTCCATTCTGTGAATAGACATTTGGGAGTTAATTGAGGCCAGTAGGATAAAAGAAAATATCCCAGGATCAAAACTAGAAGGAAGCTATCTGAGAAACAGCTTTGTGATATGTACACTCACCTCACAGAATTAAAACATTCTTTCCTTCAGAAATATGGAAACACAGTTTTGGTTGATTCTGCAAAGGGATATTTGGGAGCACATTGAGGCCTATGGTGAAAAAGGAAGTATCTTCAGATAAAAACAAGAAAGAAGCTTTCTGAGAAACTGTTCCGTGATGTGTACATTCATCTTTCAGACTTAAAACCTTCTAGTCATTCAGCAGTCTGGAAACACTGTTTAGGCAGAATCTGTGAAGGCTTATTTGGAACTCCTTGAGGCCTATGGTGAGAAAATAAATATCTTCAGATAAAAGCTATAAGGAAGCTTTCTGAGAAACTGCTTTGTGATGTGTTTATTCATCTCAGAGTTAAATCTTTCTTGGATTCAGCTGTTTGGAAACACTGTTGTTGTAGAATCTGTGAAGGGATATTTTGGAGCTTATTCAGACCAATGGTGAAAAAACAAATATTTTAGGACAAAAAGTAGAAGGCAGCTATCTTCAAAACCACTTTGTGATGTGTGCATTCAACTCACAGAGTTAACCCTTTCTTTAGATTTAGAAGTTTCAAAACACTGTTCTTGTAGATCCTGCAAAGAGATATTTGGGAACTTAATGAGGCCAAAGGCAAGAAAGCGAATATCCCGGAAAAAAAAACTAGAAGGAAGCCATTTGAGAAACCACTTTCTGATGTGTGCATTCATCTCTCAGATTTAAGCCTTTGTTTAAATTCAGCAGTTTGGAAACACTGTTTTTGTAGAATCTGTGAAGTTACATTTGGGAGTTCATTGAGGTCTATGGAGACAAAGGAAATATCATCAGATATAAACTAGAAAGAATTTTTCTGAGAAACTGCTTTGTGATGTGTGCATTCATCTCACAGAGTTAAACTTTTCTGTGCATTCAGCAGTTTGCAAAGACTGCTTTTATCTATTATGAAAATGGACATTTGGAAGCTCATTAAGGCCAATGTCAAAAAAAAAGACTATCCCAGGATTAAAACTAGAAGGAAGCCCTTTGAGAAACTGCTTTGTGATGTGTCAATTCATCTCGTGGAGTTAAAACTTTCTTTCATTCTGCAGTTTGGAAACATTGTTTTCGTAGTTTCTGTGAAATGATATCTGGTAGCACATTGAGCCCTATGCTTAAAAAGGAAATATCTTCAGATAAAAACTAGAAAGAAGCTTTCTGAAAAACTGCTTTGTGATGTGTGCAATCATCTCACAGAGTTAAACCTTTCTTTGGATTCAGCAGTTTGGAAACATTGTTTTAGAACCTGCGAAGGGATATTTGGGAGCTGATTGAGGCCAAAGGCGAAAAAGCAAATATTCTAGGATAAAAACTAGAAGAAAGCTATTTGAGAAACCACTTTCTGAATTGTGCATTCATCTCACAGAGTTAAACATTTCTTTTCATTCAGCAGTTTGAAAAGACTGTTTTTGTGGAATTCTGTGAAGGGATATCTGGGAGTGCATTGAGGCCTAGGGAGAAAAATTAAAAATCTTCTGATAAAAACTAGAAAGATGCTTCTTCAGAAACTGCTTTGTCATGTGTGCATTCACCTCACCAATTTAATCCTTCTGTGGATTCAGCAGTTTGCAAAAACGGTTTTTGTCCATTCCACAAATGGACCTTTGGGAACTCATTTTGGCCAATGGCAAAAAAGCAAATGACCCATGAAAAAAACTAGAGGGAAGCTATCTGAGAAACCACTTTGTGATGTCTGCATTCACCTCCTAGAGTTAAAGCTTTGTTTTCATTCAGCAGTCTGGAAACACTGTTTTGTCAGAATCTGTGAGGGGATATTTATGAGCAAATTGAGGCCTATGGTGAAAAAGGAAATATCTTCAGACAAAAACTAGAAGAAGGTTTCTGAGAAACTGCTTTGTGATGTGGGCATTATTCTCACAGAGTTAAACGTTTCTGTGGATTCAGCAGTTTGCAAACACTGTTTTTGTCCATTCTGTGAATGGATATTTGGGAGCTCATTGAGGTCAATGGCAAAAAAGTGAATGTCTCAGGATAAAAACTAGAGATTACCTATTTGAGAAAATGCTTTGTGATGTGTACATTCACCTCACAGAATTAAAACTTTCTTTTAATTCAGCAGTCTGGAAACACTACTTTGGCAGGATCCACCAAAGGATATTTCGGAGCGCCTACAGGCCTATGGTGAAAAAGTAAATATCTTCAGATAAAAACTAGAAAGAAGCTTTCTGAGAAACTGCTTTGTTATGTGTGCATTCCTCTCACAGAGTTAAATCTTTCTTTGGATTCAGCAGTTTGGAAACAGTGTTGTTCTAGAATCTGCTAACACTGTTAGCAGTGGGATATTTGGGTGTACATTGAGGCCAAAGGTGAGAAAATGATTATCCCAGGATAAAAAATACAAGGAAGCCATTTGAGAAACCACTTTGTGATGTGTGCATTCATATCACAGAGTTAAACCTTTCTTTTCATTCAGCAGTTTGGAAACAAAGGTTTTGTAGGTTCTGCGAAGAGATAACTGGGAGCTTTTCGAGGCCTATGGTGAAAAAGGAAATATCTTCTGATAAAAACTGCAAATAACCTTTCTTAGAAACTGGTTTGTGATGTCTGCACTCGTCTCACAGAGTTAAACATTTCTGTGGACTAAGCAGTTTGGGAACACTGTTTTTGTCCATTCTGCAGATGGATATTTGGGAGCTCATTGAAGCCAATGGGGAAAAAGGGAATATCCCAGGATAAAAACTTTAAGGAAGCTATCTGAGAAACCACTTTGTGATGTGTGCATTCATCTCACTGAGTTAAACCTTTCTTTTCATTCAGCAGTCTGGAGACATTGTTTTGGCTGATTCCCCAAAGGATGTTTGGGAGCACATTGAGGCCTATGGTGGAAAAGGAAATATCTTCAGATAAAAACAAGAAAGAAGCTTTGTGAGAAACTGTTTTGTGATGTGCTCAATCACCTCAGAGAGTTCAAACTCTCTTTTTATTCAGCAGTTTGGAAACACGGCTTTTGTAGAATCTGCAAAGGTATATCTGGGAGCGCATTGAAGCCTATGGTGAAAAAGAAAATATCTTTAGATAAAAACTAAAAAGAAGCTTTGTGAGAAACTGCTTTGTGATATGTGTATTCATCGCACAGAGATATACCTTTCTGTGGAATCAGCAGTTTGCAAACACTGTTTTTGTCCATTGTGCCAATGGACATTTGAGAGCTCATTGAGGCCAAAGGTGAAAAAGCGAATATCCCAGGATAAAAACTGGAAAAAAGCTATCTGAGAAACTGGTTTGTGATGTGTGCATTCACCTCGCAGAGATAAACATTTCTTTTCATTCAGCAGTCTGGAAACACTGTTTTGACAGGTATCTGAGAAACCACCTTCTGAGATCTACATTGATCTAGCAGAGTTAAACCTTTCTTTTCGTTCAGCTGTTTGGAAACACTGTTTTGGTATAATCTGCGAAGTTATATTTGGGAGTGCCTTGAGGCCTATGGTGAAAAAGGAAGTATCTTCAGATAAAAATTAGATAGAAGCTTTCTGAGAAACTGCTTTGTGATGTGTGCATTCTTCTCACAGGGTTAAAACAATCTTTGCATTCAGCAGTTTGGAAACACTGTTTTTGCAGAATCTGTGAACAGATATTTTGGTGCTCATTGAGGCCAATGGTGAAAAAGAGAACATCCCTGGTTTAACACTAGAAGGAAGCCATTTGAAAAACCGCTTTGTGATGTGTGCATTCATCTTGCAGAGGTAAAACTGTCTTTTCATTCAGCAGTTTAAAAATACTGTTTTTGGAGTATCTAGGAAGGGATATTTTGGAGCGAATTGAGGCCTGTGGTGAAAAGGGAAATAACTTCAGATAAAAACTAGAGAGAAACTTTCTGAGAAACTGCTGTGTGATTAGCGCATTTATCTCACAGAGTTAAAAGTTTCTTTGGATTCAGCAGTTTGGAAACACTGTTTTTGTCCATTCTATGTAGGGACATTTTGGAGCTCATTGAGGCCAAAGCAAAAAAGCCAATATCCCTGGATGAATACTAGGAGAAATCTATCTGAGAAACTGCTTTGTGAAGTGTGCTTTCAACTCATAGTGTTAAACCTTTCTTTTCATTCAGCAGTTTGGAAAAATTATTTTGGTAAAATATGTGAAGGGACATTTGGGAGCTCACTGAAGCCTAGAGTGAAAAAGGAAATATCTTCAGATAAAAACTACATAGAAGCTTTTTGAAAAACTGCATTGTGATGTGTGC
This sequence comes from Homo sapiens, assembly GCF_000001405.40. NCBI lineage: Eukaryota > Metazoa > Chordata > Mammalia > Primates > Hominidae > Homo > Homo sapiens. The sequence goes on along the minus strand of NC_000011.10, from coordinate 54,864,237 downwards.
ATTTATCTCACAGAGTTAAAGCTTTCTGTGGATTCAGCTGTTTGGAAACACTCTTTTTGTCCATTTTGCAAATGGACATTTGGGAGGTCATTGAGTTCAAAGGTGAAAAAGTGAATATCCCAGAATAAAAACTAGAAGAAAACTGTCTGAGAAACAGCTTTGTGATGTGTGCATTCATCTCACAGAGTTAAACCTTTCTTTTCATTCAGCATTGTGGAAATGCTGTTTTCGTAGAATCTTCAAAGGGATATCTGGGAGTGCATTGAGGCCTATGGTGGAAAAGCAAAAGTATTCAGATAAAATCAAGAAAGAAGCTTTCTGAGAAACTGCTTTGTGATGTGTGCATTAACCTCATTGAGTTAATCCTTTTGGTGAAAACAGCATTTTGTATACACTGTTTTCATCCATTCTGTGAAAGGACATTTCATAGTTCATTAACAACAATGGCAAAAAGCGAATATCACAGGAGAAAAGCTAGAAGGAAGCTATCTGAGAAACCGCTTTGTGATGTGTGCATTCACCTCACAAAGTTAAAACCTTCTCTTCATTCAGCAGTCCAGAAACACTGTTTTGGCAGAATCCAAAAAGGGATATTTGGGAGCGCATTGAGGCTTGCGGTGAAAAAGGAAATATCTTCAGATAAAAACAAGATAGAAGCTTTCGAGAAAGCACTGTGTGATATGCACATTCATCTCTAAGAGTTGAACCATTCTTTGGATTCAGCAGTGTAGAAATACTGTTTTTATCCATTCTACAAATGGACATTTGGGGGCTCTTTCAGACCAAAGGTGAAAAACTGAATATCCCAGGATAAAACCTAGAGGAAACTATCTGAGAAACCACTTTGTGATGTGTGCATTCAAATCACAGAGTTAAAACTTTCTTTTCATGCAACAGTTTCAAAACACCGTTTTTGTAGAATGTGCAAAGGGATATTTGGGAGTATATTGAGGTCTATGGGTGAAAAAGGAAATATCTTCAGATAAAAACTAGAAAGAAGCTTTATGAGAAACTGCTTTGTGATGTGTGCATTCATCTAACAGAGTTAAACCTTTTTTTGGATTCGGCAGTTTGCAAACATTGTTTTTGTAGAATCTACTAAAGGATATTAGAGAGTTCATTGAGGCCAAGGCCAAAAATTGAATATCCCATGATAAAAATTAGAAGGAATCTATCTGAAAAACTGCTTTGTGATGTGTGCATTTATCTCACAGAGTTAAACGTCTCTTTTCATTCAGCAGGTTGGAAACACTGTTTTTGTAGAAACCGTGAAGGGATATTTGGGAGCGCATTTAGGCTTGTGGTAAAAAGAAATATTTTCAGTTGAAAACTAGAAAGAAGCTTTCTGAGAAACTGCTTTGTGATGTGTGCATTCATATCACACAGTAAAACCTTTCTTTGGATTCAGCAGTTTGGAATCACTGCTGTTGAAGAATGAGTGAAGGGATATTTGGGAGCTCAATGAGGCCATCCAGGAAAAAGCGAATATCCTAGGATAAAAACTAGAAGGAAACTATTTGAGAAACCACTTTGTGATGTGTGCATTCATCTCAGAGTTAAAACTTTCTTTTCATTCAGCTGTTTGGAAACACTGTTTTGATAGAATCTGCAAAGGTATATATAGGAGCACTTTGAGGACTATGGTGAGAAAGAAAATAACTTCAGATCAAAACTAGAAGGAAGCTTTCTGAGAAACTTCTTTGTGATGTGTGCATTCATCTCACAGATTTCAACATTTCTTTGGATTAGGCAGTTTGTAAACACTGTTTTAGTAGAATCTGCAAAGGGATATTTGATAACTCATTGAGGACATAGGCAAAAAAGCGAATATCCCAGGATAAAAACTAGAAGGAAGCTATCAGAGAAACTGCTTTGTGATGTATCCATTCATCTAGCAGAGTTAAACCTTTCCTTTCATTCAGTATTGTGGAAACACTGTTTTCATAGAATATGCAAAGAGAAATTTCAAAGCTCTTTTAGGGCTCTGGTAAAATGAAATATCATGGGATAAAAACTAGAAAAAATCTTTTTGAGAAACTTCTTTGTGATGTGTGCATTCATCTCATAGAGATAAATATTTCTTTTCCCTCATCAGTTGGGAAACACTGTTTTTGTCCATTCTGCAAATGGACATTTGTTAGCTCATTCAGGCCTAAGGTGAAAAAGCTAGTATTTCATATAACTTCCTTCCAGTTTTTATCCTGCGATATTTGCTTTTTTGCCATTGTCCTCAATGAGCTCCCAAATGTCTATTCACAGAATGGACAAAAACAGTGTTTCCAAACTGCTGAATCCAAAGAAACGTATAGCTCTGTGAGGTGAATTCACCTTTCATAAAGCAGTTTCTCAGAAAGCTTCTTTGTAGTTTTTACCTGAAGATATTTCTTTTTCGCCATAGGCCACAATGTGCAACCAAATATACCTTTGCAGATCCTACAAAAACAGTTTCCAAACTGCTGAATGTTAAGAAAATTTTAACTTTGGGAGATCAACGTTTGCTTTTTTGCCTTTGGCCTCAATGACCTCCCAAATATCCCTTCACAGATTCTACAAAAACAGTGTTTCCAAACTGGTGAGTAGAAAGAAAGGTTTAACTCTGTGAGAGGAGTGCACACATCACAAAGCTGCTTCTCAGAACACTACTTTCTAGTTTTCATCTGAAGATATTTCCTTTTTCACTATAGGACTCAAAGTGTTCCCTTATATCCATTCACAGATTTTAAAATACAGTTTTTCCAAACTGCTGAATGAAAAGTAAGTTTTAACTCTGTGAGATGAATGCACACATAACAAAGCAACCTCAGATAGTTTCCTTCTAGATCTTATCCAGGAATATTCACTTTTTCACCATTGGTCTCAATGAGCTCCCAAATGTCCATGCACAGAATGAACAAAAACATTGTTTCTAAACTGCTGAATCCAAAGAAAAGTTTGACTCTCTGTGACAAATGCACACATCTCAAAGTAGTTTCTCAGAAAGCTTCTTTCTAGTTTTTATCTGAACATATTTCATTTTTCACCATAGGCCCCAATGGTCTCCCAAATACCCCTTCACAGATTTTACAAAACAGTGTTTCCAAACTGCTGAATTAAAAGAAATTTTAACTCTGCCAGATGAATGCACTCATAACCAAGCCGTTTCTCAGATAGTTTCCTTCTAGTTTTTATCCTGGGATATTTGCTTTTTTGTCTTGGCCTCAAAGAGCTCCTAAATACCCTTTTGCAGATTCTACAAAAACAGTGTTTCCATACTGCTGAATCCAAAGAAATATTTAACTCTATGAGATGAATGTACACACCACAAATCAGTTTCTCAGAAAGATTCTTTGTAGTTTTTTACTGAAAATATTTTCTTTTTCACCATAGGCCTCTATGTACCCCCAAATATCCCTTCACAGATTCTATGAAAACAATGTTTCAAAACTGCAGAATGAAAAGGAAGGTTTAACTCTTTGAGATGAATACACATATCACAATGTGGTTTCTCAGAGAGGTTCCTTCTAGTTTTTTTCCTGGGATATTCACTTTTCTGCCATTGGCCTCAATGAGCTGCCAAATGTCCATTCATAGGACAGAAACAGTGTTTCCCAAATGCTGTATCCAAAGAAATGTTTAACTCTGTGACATGAAAGCACACATCACAAAGCAATTTCTCAGAAGGCTTCTTTGTAGTATTTATATGAAGATATTTCCTTTTTCACCATAGTCCTCAATGTGCCCCAACATATCCTTTTGCAGATTCTACTACAATGTGTTTCCAAACTGCTGAATGAAAAGAAACGTTTCACTCTGTGAGATGAATGCACATATCACAAAGCAGATATCACAAAGCTTATTCTAGTTTTTATCCTGGGATATTGGCTTTTTTGACTTTGACCCCAATGAGCTCCCAAATAACTCTTTGCAGAGTTATTTGTGAAACAAAAACAGTGTTTCCAAACTGCTGAATGAAAAACAAGTTTAACTCTGTGAGATAAATGCATACATCACAAAGCAGTTTCTCAGATATCTTACTTCTACTTTTTATCCTGGATATTAACTTTTTTGCCATTGGCAGCAATGAGCTCTGAAATGTCCATTCTCACAATGGGCAAAAAGAGGGTTACCAAACTGTTGAATTAAAACAAAGGTTTAACTCTGTGAGATGAATGCACACACCGAAACTTATTAAAGCTTATTAAACTCATTAAGCTTCTTTCTGTTTTTTATCAGAAATTATTTCATTTTTCACCATAGGCCTCAATGTGCTGACAAATATCTCTTCACAGATTCTCAGAAAACAGTGTTTCCAAACTGTTGAGTGAAAAGAAAGGTTTAACACTGCGAGATGAATGCACACATCTCAAACCCGTTTCTCAGATAACTTCTTTGTAGTTTTTATCTTGGGATTTTCACTTTTTTGCCATTGGCCTCAATGAGTTCCCAAACGTATATTCACAAAATGAACAAAAACAGAGTTTACAAACTCCTGAATCCAAAGAAAGGTTTAAATATGTGAGATGAATGCTTCTTTAAGAGTCTTTCTAGCTTTTATCTGAAGATATTTCCCTTTTCACCATAGGACTCAATGAACTACCAAATATCCCCTCACAGATTCTAAGAAAACAGTGTTTCCAAACTGCTGAATGAAAAGAAAGGTTTAACTCTGTGAGAGGAATGCACACATCACAAATTGGTTTCCCAGAGAGCTTCCTTCTATTTTTTCATACTTGGATATTCACTTTTTTGACATAGGTCTCAATGAGCTTCCCTATGTCCATTCACAAAATGGACAAAAACAGTGTTAACAAACTGCTGAATACAAAGAATGGTTTAACTCTGCAAGATGAATGAACACACCACAAAGAAGTTTCTCAGCAAGCTTCTTTCTGCTTTTTATCTGAATATATTTACTTTTTCACCATAGGCCTCAATGTGCTCCCAAATATCTCTTCACAGATTGTACAAAAACAATGTTTCCAAACTGCTGATTGAAGGGAAAGGTTGAACTCTATAAGATGAATGTGCACATCACAAAGGGGTTTCTCAGATAAATTCCTTCTAGTTTTTATCCTGGGCTACATGCATTTTCACCATTGGCCTCAATGAGTTCCCACAAATCCATTTGCAGAATGGACAAAAACAGTGTTTCCAAACAGCTGAATCCAAAGAAATGTTAATGCTGTGAGGTGACTGAAGACATCACAAAGTAGTTTCTCAGAAAGTGTCTTTCTAGTTTTTATCTGAAGATATATCCTTTTGAACCCTAGGCCTCAAAGCACTCCCAAATATCCCGTAGCAGATTCTACAAAAACAGTGCTTCCAAACTAGTGAATGAAAAGAAAGGTTTAACTCTGGCAGTTTCATGCAGACATCACAAAGAAGTTTCTCAGAAAGCTTCTTTCTAGTTTTTAACTGTAGATATTTCCTTTTCACCATAGGTTTCAATGCAATTCCAAATATCCCTTTGCAGATTCCACAAAAACACTCTTTCCAAACTACTGAATGAAAAGAAAGTTTTAATTCTGTGAGATGAATGCACACATCACAAATCAGCTTCCCAGATCACCAGCTTTTAGTTTTTATCCTGGGATATCCTTTTTTTCACCATTGGCTTCAATGGGCTCCAAAATGTTAATTCACAGAATGGACAAAAACACTCTTTCCAAACTGCTGAATCCAAAGAAAGGTTTAACTCTGTAAGACAAATGAACACATTACAAATCAGTTTCTCTGAAAGCTTCTTTCTAGTTTTTATCTGAATATATTCCTCTTTTCACCTGAGGCCTCAATGCACTCGCAAATAGCCCTTCACAGATTCTGTAAAAACAATGTTTCCAAACTGCTGAAAGAAAAGACATTTTCAACTCTGTGAATGAATACAGACAACACAAAGGGGTTTCTCAGATATCTTCCCTCTATTTTTTATCCTGGGATATTCACTTTTTCACCTTTGACCTCAATGAGCTCCGAAATACCCATTCACAGAATGGACAAAACAAGGTTACAAAACTGCTGAATCTTAAGAAAGGTTTAAGTCTGTGAGAAGAATGCACACATCCTAAAGCAGTTTTTCATTAAGCTTCTTTCTAGTTTTTATCTGAAAGTATTTCCTCTTTCACCATAGGCCTCAATGAGCTACAAATTATCTCTGCACAGATTCAAAGAAAACAGTGTTTCCAAACTACTGAATGAAAAGAAATGTTTAAACCTTTGAGATGAATGCAGACATCACAAAGAGGTTTCTCAGATAGTTTCATCCTCTTTTTTATCCAGGGATATTTACTTTTTCACAATTGGTCTAAATGAACTCCCAAATGTCTATTCACAGAATGGACAAAAAGAGTATTTCCAAACGGCTGAATCCAAAAAAACTTTAAGTCTGTGACATTAACGAAACCATCACAAAGCAGTCTCTCAGAAAGCTTCTTTCTAGTTGTTATGTGAAGAAAATTCCTTTTTCAGCATTGAAGTCAATGTGTTCCCCAATATCCCTTCACAGATTCTCCAAAAACAGTTTTTCCAAACTGCTGAATGAAAAGAAAGGTTTAACACTGTTTGATGAATGCATACATCACAAAGCGTTTTCTCAGATATTTTCCTTTTGGTTTTTATCTTGGGACAATCACCTTTTCACCATCGGCCCCAATGAGCTCCCAAATGTCCATTTGCCGAATGGACAAAAACAGTGTTATAAAACTGCTGAATACAAAGAAAGGTTTAACATTGTGAGATGAATGAAGATATCACGAAGCAGTCTGTCAGAAAGGCTTTCTAGTTTTTATCTGAAGCTATTTCCTTTTTCACCATAGTCCTCATTGTGCTACAAAATATCCCATTGCAGATTCTAAGAAAACAGTGTTTCCAAACTGCTGAATGAAAGGAAAGGTTTAACTCTGTGAGATGAATGCACACATCACAAATTGGTTTCTCACATAATGTGCTCCTAGTTTTTATCTTCAGATATTTGCTTTTTTGCCATTGGCCTCAATAAGCTCCCAAACGTCCTTTTGCAGAATGGACAAAAACTGTGTTTCCAAACTGCTGAATCCAAAGAAAGTTTTAAATCTGTGAGCTGAATGAACACATCACAAAACAGTTTCTCAGAAAAGCTTCTTTCTAGTTTTTCTCTGAAGAAAATTCCTTTTTCACCATAGGCCTCAATGCCCTGCCAAATATCCCTACATAGACTCTACAAAAACCAATTCCAAACTACTGAATAAAAGAAAGGTTTATCTCTGCAAGATGATTGCACAGATCACAAAGCATTTTCTCAGATGACTTCCTTCTAGTTTTTTTCCTGGGATACTCACTTTTTCTCCAGTGGCTTCAAAGAGCTCCCAAATGTCCACTCGCAGAATGGACAAAAACAATGTTACAAAACTGTTGAATCCAAAGAAAGGTTTAACTCTGTGAGATGAATGCATACATCACAAAGCAGTCTCTCAGAAATGTTGTTTCAAGTTTGTAACTGAACATATTTCCTTTTTCACCATGGGCCTCATTGTGCTACCAAGTATCTCTTCATAGATTCTAAGAAAGCAGGGTTTCTAAACTGCTGAATGAAAAGAAAGGTTTAACTCTGGGAGATGAATGCACACAACGCAAAGTAGTCTCTAAGAAAGGTTATATCTAGTTTTTGTCTGAAGATATTTCCTTTTTCACATAGTCCTCATCCCGCTACAAAATATCTCTTCACAGATTCTATGAAAACAGTGTTTCCAAACTGCTTAATGAAAAGAAAGGATAAAGTCTGTGACATGAATGCACATATCAGTAAAGGTTTATCATGTAATGTGATTCTAGTTTTTATCCTGAGATATTCACTTTTTTGCCATTGGCCTCAATGAGCTCCCAAAAGTCCATCAGCAGAATGCCCCAAAACAGTGTTAACAAACTGCCGAATCCAAAGAAAGTTTAACTCTGTGAGGTGAAGGAACACATCACAGAACAGTTTCTCAGAAAGATTCTTTCCAGTTTTTCTCTGAAGATAATTCGTTTTTCCCCTTAGGCCTCCATGCACTGCCAAATATCCCTACACTGATTCTGCAAAAAAAGTGTTTCCAAACTGCTGAATCAAAAGAAAGGTTAACTCTGTGAGATGAATGCACACATCGCAAAGCTGTTTCTCAGATTACTTCCATCTAGTTTTTATCCTGGGATATTCACTTTTTTGCCATTGGCCTCAAAGAGCTCCCAAATGTCACTTTGTGGAATGGACAAAAACACTGTTTCCAAACTGCCGAGTCCAAAGAAAGGTTTGACTCTTTCAGATGAATAAACACATCAAAAAGTAGTTTCTCAGAAAGCTTCTGTAGGGACCAACCCCACAGGGTCGGTGGATCTTTCCCTGTGTGTGGCAATGAGAGAGTGTAGAAATAAAGACACAAGACAGATAATAGAAAAGGCAGCTGGGCCTGGGGGACCACTACCACCAATGCGTGGAGACCAGTAGTGGCCCCGAATGTCTGGCTGCACTGTTATTTATTGGATAAAAGGCAGAAGTGGCCAGGTAAAGAATGTGAGTCACCTCCAATGATAGGTAAGGTCACGTGTGTCACGTGTCCACTGGACAGGGGACCCTTCCCTGCCTGGCAGCCAAGGCAGAGAAGGAGAGGAAACAGAGAGAAAGACAGCTTATGCCATTATTTCTGCCTTTCAGGGACTATTAGTATTTTCACTAATTTACTACTGTTATCTAGAAGGCAGAGCCAGGTGTACAAGATGGAACATGAAGGCAGACTAGGAGTGTGACCACTGAAGCACAGCATCACAGGGAGATGGTTAGGCCTCCGGATAACTGCGGGCAAGCCTGACTGATGTCAGACCCTCCACAAGAGTTGGAGGAGCAGAGTCTTCTCTAAACTACCCCGGGGAAAGGCAGACTCCCCCCTTTCCCTGTCTGCTAAGTAGTGGGTGTTGTTCCTTGACACCTTTCCCTACTGCTGGACCACGGTCCACCTGGTAACGGGCATCTTCCCAGACACTGGCATTACTACTAGACCAAGGAGCCCTCTGGTGGCCCTGTCTGGGCATAACAGAAGGCTTGCACTCTTGTCTTCTGGTCACACCTCACTATGTCCCCTCAGCTCCTATCTCTGTATGGCCTGGTTTTTCCTAGGCCATGATGATAGAGCAAGGATTATTATACTATTGGAATAAAGAGTAACTGCTACAAACTAATGATTAATAATATTCATATATAATCATATCTAAGATCTATATCTGGTATAACTATTCTTGTTTTATATTTTATTATACTGGAACAGCTCGTGTCCTCTGTCTCTTGCCTCGGTGCCTGAGTGTCTTGCTGCCCACAGCTTCTTTCTATTTTTTTCTGAAGATATTTCCTTTTTCATTGTAGGCCTCAATGTGCTGTTAAATATCCCTTCGCAGATTCTACAAAAACAGTGTTTCCAAACAGCTGAATGTTAAGAAACTTTTAACTCTGTGAGATGAATGCACACATCACAAAGCGGTTTCTCAGATAGCTTCCTTCTGGTTTTTATTCTGGGATACTCACTTTTTTGCCATTGGCCTCAATGAGCTCCCTAATGTCCATTTGCAGAATGGACAAAAACAGTGTTATCAAACTGTGAATTCAAAGAAAATTTTAACACTGTGAGATGAATGCACACATCACAGATCGATTTCTCAGGTAACTTCCCTTTAGGTTTTTTTCTGTGATATTCACTTTTTTGTCATTGGCCTCAATGATCTCACAAATGTCCATTCGCAGAATGGACAAAAACAGTGTTAACAAACTGCTGAATCCAAATAAGGCTTTATTTCTGTGAGATGAATGAACACATCACAAACCATTTTCCCATTATGCTTCTTTCTGGTTTTTATCTGAAGATATTTCCTTTCCCACGTAGGCCTGCATACTCTTCCAAATGTCTATTCACAGATTCTAAAAATATAGTGTTTCCAAACTCAAGGTAAAAGAAAGTTTTAACGTTGTGAGTTGAATGCACACATCACAAATCGGTTTCTTCTGTAACTTCCTTCTTGTTTTTATCCTGGGATATTCACTTTTTCGCCTTTGGCCTCAATGAGCTCCCAAATCTCCATTTGCAAATGGAAAAAACAGTGTTTCCAAACTGCTGAATCAAAATGAAGGTTTAACTCTGTGTGATGAATGAACACATCAGAAAGCAGTTTCTCAGAAATCTACTTTCTACTTTTTATCTAAAGGTATTTCCTTTTTCACCATAGGCCTCAATGAACTGCCAAATATGCTTTCACAGATTCTACAAAAACAGGGTTTCCAAACTGCTGAATGAAAAGACTGTTTAACTCTGTGAAATGAATACACACACCACAAAGCTGTTTCTAAGATAGCTTCCTTCTAGTTTTTATCATGGGATATTTGCTTTTTTGCCATTGGCCTCAATGAGTTCCCAAATGTCCACTCACAGAATGGCCAAAAACCGTGTTTCCAAACTGTGAATCTAAAGAAAGTGTTCACTCTCTGAGATGAATGAACACATCTCAAGGCAGTTTCTCATTAAGCTTCTGTCTAGTTTTTATCTGGAATTTACTATTCACCATAGTCCTCATTGTGCTACCAAATATGTCATCACAGATTCTAAGAAAACAGTGTTTCCAAGCTCCAGAAGAAAAAGAAAGTTTTAACTCTGTGAGATGAATGCACATATCACAAATTAGTTGCTAAGATAACTTCCTTCTAGTTTTTATCCTGGGATATTTGCTTTTTTGCCATTGGATTCAATGAGCTTCCAAATGTAAATTCACAGAACAGACAAAACTGTGTTACCAAACTGCTGAATTGAAAGAAAGGTTTAGTTCTCTGAGATGAATGCACACATCCCAAACCAGTTTATCATTAATCTTCTTTCTAGTTTCTATCTGAAGATATTTATTTTTCACCATGGGCCTCCATACTCTTCCAAATATCTCTTCCCAGATTCTAGGAAAACAGTATTTGCATACTGCTGAATGAGGAGAAACGTTTAACATGGTGAGATAAATGCACGCATCACAATGCAGTTTCTCAAATAGCTTCCTTCCACTTTTTATCCTTGGATATTTGCTTTTTCACCATTGGTCTCAATGAGCTCCCAAATGTTTCCACATTGGACAAAAACAGTGTTACAAAAGTGCTGAATCCAAAGAAAGTTTTAACTCTGTGAGATGAACACACACATCCCAAACAAGTTTCACATTAAACTTCTTTCTAATTTTTATCTGAAGATATTTCCTTTTTCACCATAGGCCTCCATAGGCTTTCAAATATCTCTTTGCAGATTCTAAGAAAACAGTGTTTCCAAACTGCTGAAAGAAAAGAAAGGTTTAATTCTGCAAGATGAATACACACATCACAAAGCTGTTTCTCAGATAGCTTCCTTCTAGTTTTTATCCTGGGGTATTGGCTTTTTTGCCTTTGGCCTCAATGAGTTCCAAAATGTCCTTTCGCAGAATAGGCAAAAACAGTGTTTCCAAACTGTGAATCTAAAGAAAGGTTTCACTCTCTGAGATGAATGGACACATCACAAAGCAGTTTCTCGTTAAGCTTCTTTCTAGTTTTTATCTGGAGATATTTACTATTCACAATAGTCCTCATTGCACTACCTTATATCTCTTCCCAGATTCTAAGAAAACAGTGTTTTGCAACTCCCAAATGAGAAGAAAGGTTTAGCTCAGTGAGATGAATGCACACATCACAAAGCTGTTTCTCAGATAACTTCCTTCTAGTTTTTATCCTGGGATATTCACCTTTTTGCCTTTGGCCTCAATGAGCTCCCAAATGTCCATTCACAGAATGGACAAAAACAGTGTTACCAAACTGCTGAATTGAAAGAAAGGTTTAACTCTCTGAGATGAATGCACACATGCCAAACAGGGTTATCATTAAGCTTCTTTCTAGTTTTTTTCTGAAGACATTTCCTTTTTCACCATGGGCTTCCATACTCTTCCAAATATCTCTTCCCAGATTCTAGGAAGACAGTGTTTCCATACTGCTGAATGAGGTGAAATGTTTAACACCACGAGATAAATGCAGACATCACAACATGGTATATCAGATAGCTTCCTTCTAGTTTTTATCCTTGTATATTTAGTTTTTTGCCACTGGCCACAATGAGCTCCCAAATGTAAATTTGCACAATGGACAAAAACAGTGCTACGAAAGTTCTGTATGCAAAGAAAGGTTTAACTCTCTGAGATGAAGGCACAAATCCAAAATCAGTTTCTCACTAAGCTTCTTTCTAATTTTTATCTGAAGATATTTCCTTTTTCACCATAGGCATCCATACTCCTCCAAATATCTCTTCACAGATTCTAAGAAAAGAGTGTTTCCAAATAGATGAATGAAAAAAAATGTTTAAGTCAGAGAGATGAATACACACATCACAAAGCTGTTTCTCAGATACCTTCCTTCTAGTTTTCATCCTGACATATTCACTTTTTTGCCATTGTTCTCAAAGAGCTCCCAAATGTACATTCACAGGATGGGCAAAAAACGTGTTAACAAACTGCTGAATCTAAAGAATGGGTTAACGCTGTGAGATGAATGCACACAACCCAAAGTAGTCTCTCTTTAAGCTTCTTTCTATTATTTATCTGAAGATATTTTCTTTTTCACCATAGGCCTCAATGCACTACCAAATATCTGTTCACAGATTCTTCGAAAAAAGTGTTTCCAAACTGCTGAATGAAAAGAAAGGTTTAACTCTGTGAGATGAATGCACACATCACAAATTGGTTTCACAGATAGCTCCTTCTAGTTTATCCTGCGATATTCGCTTTTTTGGTGTTGGCTTCAATGAGCTCCCAAATGTCCTTTCACAGAATGGACAAAAACAGTGTTATCAAACTGCTGAATCCAAAGACAGTTTTAACTGTGTGGGATGAATGCATGTATCACAAAGCAGTTTATCAGAAAGCTTCTTTCTAGTTTTTATCTGAAGAAAATTCCTTTCTCAACTCAGGCCTCAAAGCACTACCAAATATCTCTTCAAAGATTCTACAAAAAAAGTGTTTCCAAACTCTTGAATGAAAAGAAAAGTTTAATTCTGTGAGATTAATGCACACATCAGAAATCAGTTTCTCAGATAACTTCCTTCTAGTTTTTATCCTGGGATATTCACTTTTTTGCATTTGGCCTCAATGAGTTCCAAATCTCCATCCTCAGAATGGAAGAAAACAATGTTTCTAGTTATACATTCTTCTAAATTTTTTTCAAAGTTTTCAACTTCTTTGCCTTTGGTTTGAATGTCCTCCCGTAGCTCACAGTAATTTGATCGACTGAAGCCTTCTTCTCTCAGCTCGTCAAAGTCATTCTCCATCCAGCTTTGTTCCGTTGCTGGTGAGGAACTGTGTTCCTTTGGAGGAGGAGAGGCACTCTGCGTTTTAGAGTTTCCAGTTTTTCTGTTCTGTTTTTTCCCCATCTTTGTGCTTTTATCTACTTTTGGTCTTTGATGATGGTGATGTACGGATGGGTTTTTGGTGTGGATGTCTTTTCTGTTTCTTAGTTTTCCCTCTAACAGACAGGACCCTCAGCTGCAGGTCTGTTGGAATACCCTGCTGTGTGAGGTGTCAGTGTGCCCCTGCTGGGGGGTGCCTCCCAGTTAGGCTGCTCGGGGGTCAGGGGTCAGGGACCCACTTGAGGAGGCAGTCTGCCCGTTCTCAGATCTCCAGCTGCATGCTGGGAGAACCACTGCTCTCTTCAAAGCTGTCAGACAGGGACATTTAAGTCTGCAGTAGTTACTGCTGTCTTTTTGTTTGTCTGTGCCCTGCCCCCAGAGGTGGAGCCTACAGAGGCAGGAAGGCCTCCTTGAGCTGTGGTGGGCTCCACCCAGTTCGAGCTTCCAGGCTGCTTTGTTTACCTAAGCAAGCCTGAGCAATGGCGGGCGCCCCTCCCCCAGACTTGCTGCCACCTTGCAGTTTGATCGCAGACTGCTGTGATAGCAATCAGTGAGACTCCGTGGGCGTAAGACCCTCTGAGCCATGTGCGGGATATAATCTCGTGGTGCACCGTTTTTTAAGCCCATCGGAAAAGCGCTGTATTCGGGTGGGAGTGACCCAATTTTCCAGGTGCCGACCGTCACCCCTTTCTTTGACCCAGAAAGGGAACTCCCTGACCCCTTGCGCTTCCTAAGTGAGGCAATGCCTCGCCCTGCTTCGGCTCACGCACGATGCACACACCCACTGACCTGCGCCCACTGTCTGGCACTCCCTAGTGAGAAGAACCCGGTACCTCAGATGGAAATGCAGAAATCACCCATCCTCTGCGTCGCTCACGCTGGGAGCTATAGACTAGAGCTGTTCCTATTCGGCCTTCTTGGCTCACCAAGGCTCGAGAACTACGTGAAGAATGCAGAAGCCTCAGGAGCCAATGCGATCAACTGGAAGAAAGAGTATCAGTGATAGAAGATGAAATGAATGAAATGAAGTGAGAAGGGAAGTCTAGAGAAAAAAGAATAAAAAGAAATCAGCAAAGCCTGCAAGAAATATGGGACTATGTGAAAAGACGAAATCTACGTCTGATTGGTGTACCTGAAAGTGATGGGGAGAATGGAACCAAGTTGGAAAACACTCTGCAGGATATTATCCAGGAGAACTTCCCCAATCTAGCAAGGCAGGCCAAAGTTCAGATTCAGGAAATACAGAGAATGCCACATAGATACTCCTTGAGAAGATCAACTCCAAGACACATAATTGTCAGATTCACCAAAGTGGAAATGAAGGAAAAAATGTTAAGGGCAGCCAGAGAGAAAGGTCGGGTTACCCTCAAAGGGAAGCCCATCAGGCTAACAGCGGATCTCTCGGCAGAAACCCTACAAGCCAGAAGAGAGTGGGGGCCAATATTCAACATTCTTAAAGAAAAGAATTTTCAACCCAGAATTTCATATCCAGCCAAATTTAGCTTCATAAGTGAAGGAGAAATAAAATACTTTACAGACAAGCAAATGCTGAGAGATTTTGTCACCACCAGGCCTGCCTTACAAGAACTCCTGAAGGAAGCACTAAACATGGAAAGGAACAACCGGTACCAGCCACTGCAAAATCATGCCAAAATGTAAAGACCATCGAGACTAGGAAGAAACTGCATCAACTAACGAGGAAAATAACCAGCTAACATCATAATGACAGAATCAAATTCACACATAACAATATTAACTTTAAATGTAAATGGACTAAATGCTCCAATTAAAAGACACAGACTGGCAAATTGGATAAAGAGTCAAGACCCATTAGTGTGCTGTATTCAGGAAACCCATCTCACATGCAGAGACACACATAGGCTCAAAATAAAAGGATGGAGGAAGATCTACCAAGCCAATGGAAAACAAAAAAAGGCAGGGGTTGCAATCCTAGTCTCTGATAAAACAGACTTTAAACCAACAAAGATCAAAAGAGACAAAGAAGGCCATTACATAATGGTAAAGGGATCAATTCAACAAGAAGAGCTAACTATCCTAAATATATATGCACCCAATAAAGGAGCACCAAGATTCATAAAGCAAGTCCTGAATGACCTACAAAGAGACTTAGACTCCCACACAATAATAATGGGAGACTTTAACACCCCACTGTCAACATTAGACAGATCAACGAGACAGAAAGTCAACAAGGATACCCAGGAATTTAACTCAGCTCTGCACCAAGCAGACCTAATAGACATCTACAGAACTCTCCACCCCAAATCAACAGAATATACATTTTTTTCAGCACAACACCACACCTATTCCAAAAGTGACCACATACAGGGAAGTAAAGCTCTCCTCAGCAAATGTAAAAGAAGAGAAATTATAACAAACTATCTCTCAGACCACAGTGCAATCAAACTAGCACTCAGGATTAAGAATCTCACTCAAAACCACTCAACTACATGGAAACTGAACAACATGCTCCTGAATGACTACTGGGTACATAACGAAATGAAGGCAGAAATAAAGATGTTCTTTGAAACCAACGAGAAAAAAGACATAACATACCAGAATCTCTGGGACACATTCAAAGCAGTGTGTAGAGGGAAATTTATAGCACTAAATGCCCACAAGAGAAAGCAGGAAAGATCCAAAATTGACACCCTAAC
This sequence comes from Homo sapiens, assembly GCF_000001405.40. Taxonomy (NCBI): domain Eukaryota; kingdom Metazoa; phylum Chordata; class Mammalia; order Primates; family Hominidae; genus Homo; species Homo sapiens. The sequence continues at coordinate 54,848,195 of NC_000011.10, read as the reverse complement.
AAAACAGTAAAAAGAACTAGAAGAGCAAGAGCAAAAACATTCAAAAGCTAGCAGAAGGCAAGAAATAACTAAAATCAGAGCAGAACTGAAGGAAATAGAGACACAGAAAACCCTTCGAAAAATTAATGAATCCAGGAGCTGGTTTTTTGAAAGGATCAACAAAATTGATAGACCGCTAGCAAGACTAATAAAGAAAAAAAGAGAGAAGAATTAAATAGATACAATAAAAAATGATAAAAGGGATATCACCACCGATCCCACAGAAATACAAACTGCCATCAGGGAATACTACAAACACCTCTACGCAAATAAACTAGAAAATCTAGAAGAAATGGATAAATTCCTGGACACATACACTCTCCCAAGACTAAACCAGGAAGAAGTTGAATCTCTGAATAAACCAATAACAGGATCTGAAATTGTGGCAATAATCAATAGCTTACCAACCAAAAAGAGTCCAGGACCAGATGGATTCACAGCCGAATTCTACCAGAGGTACAAGGAGGAGCTGGTACCATTACTTCTGAAACTATTCCAATCAATAGAAAAAGGGGGAATCCTCCCTAACTCATTTTATGAGGCTAGCATCATTCTGATACCAAAGCCAGGCAGAGACACAACCAAAAAAGAGAATTTTAGACCAATATCCTTGATGAACATTGATGCAAAAATCCTCAATAAAATACTAGCAAACCGAATCCAGAAGCACATCAAAAAGCTTATCCACCATGATCAAGTGGGCTTCATCCCTGGGATGCAAGGCTGGTTCAACATACGCAGATCAATAAATGTGATCCAGCATATAAACAGAGCCAAAGACAAAAACCACATGATTATCTCAATAGATGCAGAAAAAGCCTTTGACAAAATTCAACAACCCTTCATGCTAAAAACTCTCAATAAATTAGGTATTGATGGGACGTATTTCAAAATAATAAGAGCTATCTATGACAAACCCACAGCCAATATCATACTGAATGGGCAAAAACTGGAAGCATTCCTTTTGAAAACTAGCACAAGACAGGGATGCCTTCTCTCACCACTCCTATTCAACATAGTGTTGGAAGCTCTGGCCAGGGCAGTTAGGCAGGAGAAGGAAATAAAGCGTATTCAATTAGGAAAAGAGGAAGTCAAATTGTCCCTGTTTGCAGATGACATGATTGTATATCTAGAAAACCCCATTGTCTCAGCCCAAAATCTCCTTAAGCTGATAAGCAACTTCAGCAAAGTCTCAGGATACAAAATCAATGTACAAAAATCACAAGCATTTTTATACACCAACAACAAACAGAGAGCCAAATCATGAGTGAACTCCCATTCACAATTGCTTCAAAGAGAATAAAATACCTAGGAATCCAACTTACAAGGGATGTGAAGGACCTCTTCAAGGAGAACTACAAACCACTGCTCAAGGAAATAAAAGAGGACACAAACAAATGGAAGAACATTCCATGCTCATGGGTAGGAAGAATCAATACCATGAAAATGGCGATACTGCCCAAGGTAATTTACAGATTGAATGCCATCCCCATCAAGCTACCAATGACTTTCTTCACATAATTGGAAAAAACTACTTTAAAGTTCATGTGGAACCAAAAAAGAGCGTGCATCGCCAAGTCAATCCTAAGCCAAAAGAACAAAGCTGGAGGCATCACAGTACCTGACTTCAAACTATACTACAAGGCTACAGTAACCAAAACAGCATGGTACTGGTATCAAAACAGAGATATAGATCAATGGAACAGAACAGAGCCCTCAGAAATAATGCCGCATATCTACAACTATCTGATCTTTGACAAACCTGAGAAAAACAAGCAATGGGGAATGGATTCCCTATTTAATAAATGGTGATGGGAAAACTGGCTAGCCATAGGTTGAAAGCTGAAACTGGATCCCTTCCTTACACCTTCTACAAAAATCAATTCAAGATGGATTAAAGAGTTAAATGTTAGACCTAGAACCATAAAAACCCTTGAGAAAACCTAGGCATTACCATTCAGGACATAGGCATGGGCAAGGACTTCATGTCTAAAACACCAAAAGCAATGGCAACAAAAGACAAAATTGACAAATGGGATCTAATTAAATGAAAGAGCTTCTGCACAGCAAAAGAAACTACCATCAGAATGAACAGCAACCTACAAAATGGGAGAAAATTTTCGCAACCTACTCATCTGACAAAGGGCTAATATCCAGAATCTACAATGAACTCAAACAAATTTACAAGAAAAAAACAAACAACCTCATCAAAAAGTGGGCAAAGGACATGAACAGACACTTCTCAAAAGAAGACATTTATGCAGCCAGAAAACTCATGAAAAAATGCTCATCATCACTGGCCATCAGAGAAATGCAAATCAAAACCACAATGAGATACAGTCTCACACCAGTTAGAATGGCAATCATTAAAAAGTCAGGAAACAACAGGTGCTGGAGAGGATGTGGAGAAATAGGAACACTTTTACACTGTTGGTAGGACTGTAAACTAGTTCAACCATTGTGGAAGTCAGTGTGGCGATTCCTCAGGGATCTAGAACTGGAAATGCAATTTGACCCAGCCATCCCATTACTGGGTATATACCCAAAGGACTATAAATCATGCTGCTATAAAGACACATGCACACGTATGTCTATTGCGGCATTATTCACAATAGCAAAGACTTGGAACCAACCCAAATGTCCAACAATGATAGGCTGGATTAAGAAAATGTGGCACATATACACCATGGAATACTATGCAGCCATAAAATATGATGAGTTCATGTCCTTTGTAGGGACATGGATGAAATTGGAAATCATCTTTCTCAGTAAACTATCGCAAGAACAAAAAACCAAACACCGCAAATTCTCACTCATAGGTGGGAATTGCACAATGAGATCACATGGGCACAGGAAGGGGAATATCACACTCTGGGGACTGTTGTGGGGTGGGGGTATGGGGGGAGGGATAGCATTGGGAGATATACCTAATGCTAGATGACGAGTTAGTGGGTGCAGCTCACCAGCATGGCACATGTACACATATGTAACTAACGTGCACAATGTGCACATGTACCCTAAAACTTAAAGTATAATAAAAAAATAATAATAATAAAAAAAAAGAAAACAATGTTTCCAAACTGCTGAATCCAAAGAAAGGATTAACTCAGTGAGATGAAAGAAACATCACAAAACAGTTTCTCAGAAAGCTGCTTTCTAGTTTTTAATGGAAAAAAAAATTCCTTTTCACCATAGGCCTAAATATGCTCCCAAATATCCATTCACAGATTTTACAAAAATAGTGTTTCCAAGCTACTGAATGAAAAGAAAGTTTTAACACTATGAGATGAATGGAAATGTATTTTTTTAGCATAACATTCTTTTAGTTTTTTTAATTATACTTTAAGTTCTAGGGTGCATGTTGTCGGGTCTCTGAGCCCAAGCTAAGCCATCATATCCCCTGTGACTTGCACGTATACATCCAAATGGCCTGAAGTAACTGAAGAATCACAAAAGAAGTAAAAATCGCCTGCTCCTGCCTTAACTGATGACATTACCTTGTGAAATTCCTTCAACTGGCTCATCTTGGCTCAGAAGCTCCCCCACTGAGCACCTTGTAACCCCCATCTCTACCAGCTAGAGAACAACACCCTTTGACTGAATTTTCGTTTCCCTACCCAAATCCTATAAAACCGCCCCAACCCTATCTCCCTTTGCTGACTCTGTTTTCAGACTCAGCACACCTGCACCCAGGTGAAATAAACAGCCTTGTTGCTCACACAAAGCCTGCTTGGTGGTCTTTTCACACGGATGTGATTGAAGCTTGCACAACGTGCAGGTTTGTTACATATGTATACATGTGCCATGTTGGTGTGCTGCACCCAGTAACTCATCATTTACATTAGGTACATTTACGAATGCTATCCCTCCCCGCTCCCCCCACCCCACGACAGGCCCTGGTGTGTGATGTTCCCCACCCTGCGTCCAAGTGTTCCCATTGTTCAATTCCCACCTATGATTGAGAACATGCAGTGTTTGGTTTTCTGTCCTTGCGATAGTTTGCTGAGAATGATGGTTTCCAGATTCATCCATGTCCCTACAAAGGACATGAATTCATCATTTTTTTGGCTGCATAGTATTCCATTGTGTATATGTGCCACATTTTCTTTATTTTTCCCAGAAAAATTGTTTTTATTTTTATTGATTTTTATTTTATTATTATTATACTTTAAGTTTTAGGGTACATGTGCACAATGTGCAGGTTAGTCACATATGTATACATGTGCAATACTAGTGTGCTGCACCCATTAACTCGTCATTTAGCATTAAGTATATCTCCTAATGCTATCCCTCCACCCTCCCCCCACCCCACAACAGTCCCCAGAGTGTGATGTTCCCTTCCTGTATCCATGTGTTCTCATTGTTCAATTCCCACCAATGAGTGAGAATATGCAGTGTTTGGCTTTTTGTTCTTGTGATAGTTTACTGAGAATGATGATTTCCAATTTCATCCATGTCCCTACAAAGGACATGAACTCATCATTTTTTATGGCTGCATAGTATTCCATGGTGTATATGTGCCACATTTTCTTAATCCAGTCTACCATTGTGGGACATTTGGGTTGGTTTCAAGTCTTTGCTATTAAGAATAGTGCCACAATAAACATACATGTGCATGTGTCTTTATAGCAGCATGATTTATAGTCCGTTGGGTATATACCCAGTAATGGGATGGCTGGGTCAAATGGTATTTCTAGTTCTAGATCCCTGAGGAATCGCCACACTAACTTCCACAATGGTTGATCTAGTTTAGAATCCCACCAACAGTGTAAAAGTGTTCCTATCTCTCCACATCCTCTCCAGCACCTGTTGTTTCCTGACTTTTTAATGATTGCCATTCTAACTGGTGTGAGACTGTATCTCATTGTGGTTTTGATTTGCATTTCTCTGATGGCCAGTGATGATGAGCATTTTTTCATGTGTTTTTTTGGCTGCATGAATATCTCCTTTTGAGAAGTGTCTGTTCATGTCCTTTGCCCACTTTTTGATGGGGTTGTTTGTTTTTTTTGTAAATTTGTTTGAGTTCATTGTAGATTCTGGATATTAGCCCTTTGTCAGATGAGTAGGTTGCGAAAATTTTCTCCCATTTTGTAGGTTGCCTGTTCACTCTGATGGTAGTTTCTTTTGCTGTGCAAAAGCTCTTTCATTTAATTAGATCCCATTTGTCAATTTTGTCTTTTGTTGCCATTGCTTTTGGTGTTTTAGACATGAAGTCCTTGCCCATGCCTATGTCCTGAATAGTAATGCCTAGGTTTTCTTCTAGGGCTTTTATGGTTTTAGGTCAAACGTTTAAGTCTTTAATCCATCTTCAATTAATTTTTGTATAAGATGTAAGGAAGGGATCTAGTTTCAGCTTTCGACATATGGCTAGCCAGTTTTCCCAGCACCATTTATTAAATAGGGAATCGTTTCCCCATTAATTGTTTTTCTCAGGTTTGTCAAAGATCAGATAGTTGTAGATATGTGGCATTATTTCTGAGGGCTCTGTTCTGTTCCATTGATCTATATCTCTGTTTTGGTACCAGTACCATTCTGTTTTGGTTACTGTAGCCTTGTAGTATAGTTTGAAGTCAGGTAGCGTGATGCCTCCAGCTTTGTTCTTTTGGCTTAAGATTGACATGGCGATGCAGGCTCTTTTTTGGTTCTATATGAACTTTAAAGTAGTTTTTTCCAATTATGTGAAGAAAGTCATTGGTAGCTTGATGAGGATGGCATTGAATCTATAAATTACCTTGGGAAGTATGGCCATTATCACTATATTGATTCTTCGTACCCATGAACAAGGAATGTTCTTCCATTTGTTTGTATCCTTTTATTTCATTGAGCAATTGTTTGTAGTTCTCCTTGAAGAGGTTCTTCACATCCCTTGTAAGTTGGATTCCTAGGTATTTTATTCTCTTTGAAGCAATTGTGAATGGAGTTCACTCCTGATTTGGCTCTCTGTTTGTCTGTTATTGCTGTATAAGAATGCTTGTGATTTTTTACATTGATTTTGTATCCTGAGACTTTGCTGAAGTTGCTTATCAGCTTAAGGAGATTTTGGGCTGAGACAATGGGTTTCCTAGATATACAATTCATGTCTTCTACAAACAGGGACAATTTGACTTCTTCTTTTCCTAATTGAATACCCTTTATTTCCTTCTCCTGCCTAATTGCCCTGGCCAGAACTTCCAACACTATGTTGAATAGGAGTGGTGAGAGAGGGCATCCCTGTCTTGTCCCTGTTTTCAAAGGGAATGCTTCCAGTTTTTGCCCATTCAGTATGATATTGGCTGTGGGTTTGTCATAGATAGCTCTTATTATTTTGAGATACGTCCCATTAACACCTAACTTATTGAGAGTTTTTAGCATGAAGAGTTGTTGAATTTTGTCAAAGGCCTTTTCTGCATATATTGAGATAATCACGTGGTTTTTGTCTTTGGTTCTGCTTATGTGATGGATTACATTTATTGATTTGCGTATATTGAACCAGCCTTGCACCCTAGGGATGAAGCCCACTTGATCATGGTGGATAAGCCTTTTGATGTGCTGCTGGATTCGGTTTGACAATATTTTACTGAGGATTTTTGCATCAATGTCCATCAAGGATATTGGTCTAAAATTCTCTTTTTTGGTTGTGTCTCTGCCCGGCTTTTTTATCAGGATGATGCTGGCCTCATAAAATGAGTTAGCGAGGATTCCCTCTTTTTCTATTGATTGGAATCCTTTCAGAAGGAATGGTATCAGATCCTCCTTTTACCTCCAGTAAAATTCGGCTGTGAATCCAACTGGTCCTGGACTCTTCTTGGTTGGTAAGCTATTGATTATTGACACAATTTTAGAGCCTGTTATTGGCCTATTCAGAGATTCAACTTCTTCCTGGTTTAGTCTGGGGAGGGTGTACGTGTCGAGGAATTTATCCATTTCTTCTAGATTTTCTAGTTTATTTGCATAGAAATGTTTGTAGTATTCTCTGGTGGTAGTTTGTATTTCTGTGGTATCGGTAGTGATATCCCCTTTATCATTTTTTATTGCATTTATTTGATTCTTTTCTCTTTTCTTCTTTATTAGTCTTACTAGTGGTCTATCAGTTTTGTTGATCCTTTCAAAATATCAGCTTCTGGACTCATTAATTTTATGAAGGATTTTTTGTGTCTCTATTTCCTTCAATTCTGCTCCGATTTTAGTTATTTCTTGCCTTCTACTAGGTTCTGAGTGTGTTGGCTCTTGCTTTTCTAGTTCTTTTAATTGTGATGGTAGGGTGTAATTTTGGATCTTTCCTGCTTTCTCTTGTGGGCATTTAGTGCTATAAATTTCCCTCTATAAACTGCTTTGAATGTGTCCCAGAGATTCTGGTACGTTGTGTCTTTGTTCTCGTTGGTTTCAAAGAACATCTTTATTTCTGCCTTCATTTCGTTATGTACTCAGTACTCATTCAGGAGCAGATTGTTCAGTTTCCATGTAGTTGAGCGGTTTTGAGTGAGTTTCTTAATGTTGAGTCCTAGTTTGATTGCACTGTGGTCTGAGAGACAGAGTGTTATAAATTCTGTTGTTTTACATTCGCTGAGGAGAGCTTTACTTCCAACTATGTGGTCAATTTTGGGATAGGTGTGGTGTGGTGCTGAAAAGAAAGTATATTCTGTTGATGTGGGGTGGAGAGTTCTGTAGATGTCTATTAGGTCTGATTGGTGCAGAGCTGAGTACAATTTCTGGATATCCTTTTAACTTTCTGTGTTGTTGATTTGTCTAATGTTGACAATGGGGTGTTAAAGTATCCATTATTATTGTGTGGGAGTAGAAGTCTGTTTGTAAGTCACTCAGGACTTGCTTTATGGATCTGGGTGCTCCTGTATTGGGTGTATATATATTTAGGATAGTTAGCTCTTTTTCTTGAATTGATCTCTTTACCATTATGTAATGGCATTTTTTGTTTCTTTTGATCTTTGTTGGTTTAAAGTCTGTTTTATCAGAGACTAGAATTGCAAGCCCTGCTTTTTTTTTGTTTTCCATTTGCTTGGTAGATCTTCCTCCATCCTTTTATTTTGAGCCTATATGTGTCTCTGCATGTGAGATGGGTTTCCCAAATACATCACACTGATGGGTCTTGACTCTTTATCCAATTTGCCAGTCTGTGTCTTTTAATTGGAGCATTTAGCCCATTTACATTTAAAGTTAATATTGTTGTGTGTGAATTTGACCCTGTCATTATGATGTTAGCTGGTTATTTTGCTCATTAGTTGATGCAGTTTCTTCCTAGCCTCGATGGTCTTTACAATTTGGCCTGATTTTGCATTGGCTGGGACCAGTTGCTCCTTTCCATGTTTAGTGCTTCCTTCAGGAGCTCTTTTAGGGCAGGCCTGGTGGTGACAAAATCTCTCAGCATTTGCTTGTCTGTAAAGGATTTTATTTCTCCTTCACTTATGAAGCTTGGTTTGGCTGGATATGAAATTCTGGGTTGAAAATTCTTTTCTTTAAGAATGTTGAATATTGGCCCCCACTCTCTTCTGGCATGTAGTGTTTCTGCTGAGAGATCCGCTGTTAGTTCGATGGTCTTCCCTTTGTGGGTAACCCGACCTTTCTCTCTGGCCACCCTTAACATTTTTTCCTTCATTTCCACTTTGGTGAATCTGACAATTATGTGTCTTGGAGTTGCTCTTCTCGAGGAGTATCTTTGTGGCATTCTCTGTATTTCCTGAATCTGAATGTTGGCCTGCCTTTCTAGATTGGGGAAGTTCTCCCGGATAATATCCTGCAGAGTGTTTTCCAACTTGATTCCATTCTCCCCGTCACTTTCAGGTACACCAATCAGACATAGATTTGGTCTTTTCACATAGTCCCATATTTCTTGGAGGCTTTGTTCATTTCTTTTTATTCTTTTTTCTCTAAACTTCACTTTTTGCTTCATTTCATTCATTTCATCTTCCATCAGGGATACACTTTCTTCTTGTTGATCACATCGGCTCCTGAGGCTTCTGCATTCTTCATGTAGTTCTTGAGCCTTGGCTTTCAGCTCCATCAGCTACTTTAAGGACTTCTCTGCATTGATTATTCTAAGTATCCATTTGTCTAATTTTTTTCAAAGTTTTTAACTTCTTTGCTATTGGTTTGAGTTTCCTCCTGTAGCTTGGAGTATTTTTGATCGTCTGAAGCCTTCTTCTCTCAACTTGTCAAAGTAATTCTCCAACCAGCTTTGTTCCATTGCTGGTGAGGATCTGTGTTCCTTTGGAGGAGGAGAGGCACTCTGCTTTTTAGAGTTTCCAGTTTTTCTGCTCTGTTTTTTCCCCATCTTTGTGGTTTTATCTACTTTTGGTGTTTGATGATGGTAATGTACAGATGGGTTTTTGGTGTGGACGTCCTTTCTGTTAGTTTTCCTTCTAACAGACAGGACCCTCAGCTGCAGGTCTGTTGGAGTTTGCTAGAGGTCCACTCCAGACCCTGTTTGCCTGGGTATCAGCAGCGGTGGCTGCAGATCAATCGATTTTCAAGAACCACGAATGCTGCTGTCTGATCATTCCTCTGGAAGTTTTGTCTCAGAGGAGTACCCAGACATGTGAGTTGTCAGTCTGCCCCTACTGGGGTGTGCCTCCCAGTTAGGCTGCTCGGGCGTCAGGGGTCAACGACCCACTGAAGGATGCAGTCTGCCCATTCTCAGGTTTCCATCTGCATGCTGGGAGAACCACTGCTCTCTTCAAAGCTGTCAGAGAGGGACATTTAAGTCTGCAGAGGTTACTGCTGTCTTTTTGTTTGTCTGTGCCCTGCCCCCAGAGGTGGAGCCTACAGAGGCAGGCAGGCCTCCTTTAGCTGTGGTGTCATCCACCCAGTTCGAGCTTCCTGGCTGCTTTGTTTACAAAAGCAAGCTTGGACAATGGCGGGTGCCCCTCTCCCAGCCTCATTGCCGCCTTGCAGTTTGATCTCAGACTGCTGTGCTAGCAATCAGTGAGATTCCGTGGGCATAGGACCCTCCGAGCCAGGTGCAGGATATAATCTCCCAGTGTGCCATTTTTTTAAGCCTGTGGGAAAAGCGCAGTATTTGGGTGGGAGTGACCCGATTTTCCAGGTTCCATCTGTCACCCCTTTGTTTGACTAGGAAAGGGAACTCCCTAACCCCTTTTGCTTCCTGAGTGAGGTAATGACTCACCCTGCTTCCGCTGGCACATGGTGCACTGCATCCACTATCCTGTACCTACTGTCTGGCACTCCTTAGTGAGATGAACCTGGTACCTCAGATGGAAATGCAGAAATCACCCATCTTCTGCATCGCTCATGCTGGGAGCTGTAGACCGAGGTTTTCCTATTCGGCCATCATTGAGATGAATGCAAATATTACAAAGCGTTTTCTCAGGTATCTTCCATCTAGTTTTTCCTGGGATATTCACTTTTTCGCCATTGGCCTCAATGAACTCTAAAATGTCCATTCGCAGAATGGGCAAAAACAGTGTTACCAAACTGCGGAATCCAAAGAAAATTTTATCTCTGTGAGATGAATGCACACATCACAAAGCAGTCTCTCAGAAAGTTCTTTCTTGTTTTTATCTGGAGATATTTTCTTTTTCACCATAGGCCTCATTGTGCTACCAAATATCTTTTCACAGATTCTAAGAAAACAGGGCTTCCAAACTGCTAAATGAAAAGAAAGATTTAAGTCTTTGATTTGAATGTATACATCACAAATCGTTTTCTCAGATTAATTCCCTCTAGTGTTTATCCTGGGATATTCCCTTCTTGCCCTGGCCACAATAAGCTCACCAAGGTCCATTCAGAAAATGGACAAAACAGTGTTGCAAAACTACAGAATCCAAAGAAACTTTTAACTCTGTGAGATGGATGCACACATCCCAAAGTAGTTTCTCATTAAGCTTCTTTCTAGGTTTTTTATTATTATTGTTATGCTTTAAATATTAGGGTACATGTGCATAACGTGCAGGTTTGTTACACATGTATACATGTGCCATGCTTGTGTGCTGCACACATTAACTCATCATTTAGCATTAGGTATATCTCCTAATGCTATCCCTCTCCCTTACCAACACCCCACAACTGTCCCTGGTGTGTGATGTTCCCCTTCCTGTGTCCATGGGTTCTCATTGTTCAATTCCCACCTATGAGTGAGAATATGTGTAGTTTGTTTCTTTGTCCTTGTGATAGTTTGCTGAGAATGGTGGTTTCCAGCTTCATCCATGTCCCTACAAAGGACATGAACTCATCATTTTTATGGCTGCATAGTATTCCATGATGTATACGTGCCACGTTTCCTTAATCCAGTCTATCATTGTTGAACATTTGGGTTGGTACCAAGTCTTTGCTATTGTGAATAGTGCCACAATAAATAAACGTGTGCATGTGTCTTTATAGCAGAATGATTTATAATCCTTTGGGTATATACCCAGTAATGGGATGGCTGGGTCAAATAGTATTTCTAGTTCTTGATCCCTGAGGAATCGCCACACTGACTTCCACAATGGTTGAACTAGTTTACAGTCCCACCAACAGTGAAAAAGTGTTCCTATTTCTCCACATCCTCTCCAGCACCTGTTGTTTCCTGAATTTTTAATGATCACCATTCTAACTGGTGTGAAATGGTATCTCCTTGTGGTTTTGATTTGCATTTCTCTGATGGCCAGTGAGGATGAGCATTTTTTCATGTGCTTTTTGGCTGCATAAATGTCTCTTTTGGGAAGTGTCTGTTCATAACCTTCACCCACTTTTTGATAGGGTTGCTTGTTTTTTCTTGTAAATTGATTTGAAGTCATTTTATATTCTGGACATTAGCCATTTGTCAGATGAGTAGGTTGCAATAATTGTCACCCATTCTGTAGGTTGCCTGTTCACTCTGATGGTAGTTTCTTTTGCTGTGCAGAAGCTCTTTAGTTTAATTAGATCCCATTTGTAAATTCTGGCTTTTGTTGCCATTGCTTTTGGTGTTTTAGACATGAAGTCCTTTCCCATGCCTATGTCCTGAATGATATTGCTTAGGTTTTCTTCTGGGGTTTTTATGGTTTTAGGTCTAACATGTAAGTCTTTAATCCATCTTGAATTAATTTTTGTATAAGGTGTAAGGAAGGGATCCAGTTTCAGCTTTCTACATATGGCTACCCAGTTTTCCCATCACCATTTATTAAATAGAGAATCCTTTCCCCATTGCTTGTTTTTCTCAGGTTGGTTGAAGATCAGATAGTTGTAGATATGCGGCATTATTTCTGAGGGCTCTGTTCCATTCCATTGGTCTGTATCTGTTTTGGTACGAGTACCATGCTGTTTTGGTTACTGTAGCCTTTTAGTATAGTTTGAAGTCAGGTAGCATGATGCCTCCAGCTTTGTTCTTTTGGCTTAGGATTGACTTGGCAATGTGGTTTCTTTTTTGGTTCCATGTGAACTTTAAAGAATTTTTTTCCAGTTCTGTGAAGAAAGTCATTGGTAGCTTGATGGGGATGACATTGAATCTATAAATTACCTTGGGCAGTATGGCCATTTTGACGATATTGATTCTTCCTACCCACGAGCATGGAATGTTCTTCCATTTGTTTGTATCCTCTTTTTTTTCCTTGAGCAGTGGTTTGTAGTTCTCCTTGAAGAGGTCCTTCACATCCCTTGTAAGTTGGATTCCTAGGTATTTTATTCTCTTTGAAGCAATTGTGAATGGGAGTTCACTCATGATTTGGCTCTCTGTTTGTCTGTTATTGGTGTATAAGAATGCCTGTGATTTTTGCACATTGATTTTGTATCCTGAGACTTTGCTGAAGTTGCTTATCAGCTTAAGGAGATTTTGGGCTGAGATGATGGGGTATTCTAAATATACAATCATGTCATCTGCAAACAGGGACAATTTGACTTCCTCTTTTCCCAACTGAATACCTTTTATTTCCTTCTCCTGCCTGATTGCCCTGGCCAGAACTTCCAACACTATGTTGAATAGGAGTGGTGAGAGAGGGCATCCCTGTCTTGTGCTAGTTTTCAAAGGGAATGCTTCCAGTTTTTGTCCATTCAATATGATATTGGCTGTGGGTTTGTCATAGATAGCTCTTATTATTTTGGGATACATCCCATCAATACCTAATTTATTGAGAGTTTTTAGCATGAAGTGTTGTTGAATTTTGTCAAAGGCCTTTTCTGCATATATTGAGATAATCACGTGGTTTTTGTCTTTGGTTCTCTTTATGTGCTGGATTACGTTAACTGATTTTCATATGTTGAACCAGCCTTGCATCCTAGGGATGAAGCCCACTTGATCATACTGGATAAGCTTTTTGTTGTGCTGCTGGATTCGGTTTGCCAGTGTTTTATCGTGGATTTTTGCATCAATGTTCATCAAGGATATTGCTCTAAAATTCTCTTTTTTGGTTGTATCTCTGTCAGGCTTTGGTATCAGAATGATGTTGGCCTCATAAAATGAGTTAGGGAGGATTCCCTCTTTCTCTATTGATTGGAATAATTTCAGAAAGAATTGTAACAGCTCCTCCTTGTACCTCTGGTAAAATTCTGCTGTGAATCCATCTGGTCCTGTAGTCTTTTTTTTTGGTAAGCTATTAAATATTCCCTCAATTTCAGAGCCTGTTTTTGGTCTCTTCAGAGATTCAATTTCTTCCTGGTTTAGTCTTGGAAAAGTGTATGTGTCGAGGAATTTATGCATTTCTTCTAGATTTTCTAGTTTACCTGTGTAGAGATGTTTATAGTATTCTCTGATTGTCATTTGTATATCTGTGGGATCGGTGGTGATAGCCCCTTTATTATTTTTTATTGTGTGTATTTCATTCTTCTCTCTTTTCTTCTTTATAAGTCTTGTTAGTCCTTGATCAATTTTGCTGATCTTTTCAAAAAACCAGCTCCTGGATTCACTGATTTTTTGAAGGGTTTTTTGTGTCTGTATTTCCTTCAGTTCTGCTCTGATCTTAGTTATTTCTTGCCTTCTGAAAGCTTTGGAATGTGTTTGCTCTTGCTTCTCTAGTTCTTTTAATTGTGTTGTTAGGGTGTCAATTTTTGATCTTTCCTGCTTTGTCTTGTGGGCATTTAGTGCTATAAATTTCCCTCTATAAACTGCTTTGTATGTGTCCCAGAGATTCTGGTATGTTGTGTCTTTGTTCTCGTTGGTTTCAAAGAACATCCTTATTTCTGCCTTCATTTTTTTATGTACCCAGTGGTCATTCAGGAGCAGGTTGTTCAGTTTCCATGTTTTTGAGCGGTTTTGAGTGATTTTCTTAATCCTGAGTGCTAGTTTGATTGCACTGTGGTCTGACAGACAGTTTGTTATAATTTCTGTTCTTTTACATTTGCTGAGGAGTGCTTTACTTCCAACTATGTGGTCAATTTTGGGATAGGTGTGGTGTGGTGCTGGAAAGAATGTATATTCTGTTGATGTGGGGTGGAGATTTCTGTAGATGTCTATTAGGTCTTCTTGGTGCTGAGCTGAGTTCAATTCCTGGATATCCTTGTTAACTTTCTGTCTCATTGATCTGCCTACTGTTGACAGTGGGGTGTTGAAGTCTCCCATTATTATTGTGTGGGAGTCTAAGTCTCTTTTTAAGTCCCTAAGGACTTTCTTTATGAATGTGAGTGCTCCTGTATTGGATGCATATATATTTAGGATAGTTAGTTCTTCTTGTTGAATTGATCCCTTTACCATTATGTGATGGCCTTCTTCGTCTGTTTTGATTTTTCTTGGTTTAAAGTCTGTTTTATCAGAAACTAGGATTGCAACCCCTGCCTTTTTTTTGTGTTCCCTTTGCTTGGTAGATCTTCTTCCATCCCTTAGTTTTGAGCATATGTGTGTCTCTGCACTTTAGATGGGTTTCCTGAATACAGACTAACAGAGGTAGCCAAGACAGCTGAGTAGGAACAGGTCTAGTCTACAGCTGCCAGTGTGAGCGATGCCGAAGATGGCTGATTTCTGCATTTCCAACTGTGATACCGGGTTCATCTCATGGGGTACTGCTGGACAGTGGGTGCAGGACAGTGTGTGCAGCAAACCATGCATGAGCCAAAGCAGGGTGAGGCATCACCTCACCTGGGAAGCACAAGGGGTCAGGGAATTCCCTCTGCTAGTCAAAGAAAGGGGTGACAGAAAGCACCTGGTACATCAGGTCACTCCCACCCTAATAATCTGGTTTTCCAATGGATTTAACAAATGGTACACCAGAAGATTGTATCCCGCCCCTGGCTTGGAGGGTCCCATACCCATGCAGCCTTGCTCATTGCTAGCACAGAAGTCTGTGATCAAACTGCAAGGTGGCAGTGAGGCTGGGGGAGAGGCGCCTGCCATTGCTGAGGCTTGAGTAGGTAAACAATGTGGCCTGGAAACTCGAACTGGGTACAGCCCCCCACAGCTCAAGGAGGCCTGCCTACCTCAGTAGGCTCCACCTCTGGGGGCAGGGCACAGACAAACAAAAGGCAGCAGTAACCTCTGCAGACTTAAATGTCCCTGTGTGACACCTTTCAAGAGAGTAGTCATTCTCCCAGCATGCAGCTTGGGATCTGAAAATGGGCAGACTGCCTCCTCAAGTGGGTCCCTGACCCCCGAGTAGCCTTACTGGGAGGCACCCCCCATTAGGGGCAGACTGACACCTCACACACCTGGGAACTCCTCTGACAAAACTTCCAGAGGAACAATCAGGCAGCAGCATTTGTGGTTCACTATTATCTGCTGTTCTGCAGCCACTGCTGCTGATACCCAGGCAAAGAATGTCTGGAGTGGGCATCCAGCAAACCCCAACAGACCTGCAGCTGAGGGTCCTGACTTTTAGAAGGAAAACCAACAATCACAAAGGACATTCACACCAAAAACCCATCTGTACATCACCAACATCAAAGACCAAATGTAGATAAAACCACTAAGCTTCCTTCTAGTTTTTTTCTGAAGAGAATTCCTTTTTCACCATAGGCCTCAATGTGCTACCATATATCTTTTTGCAGATTCTAAGAAAATAGTTTTTTGAAATGTCTGAATGAAAAGAAAACTTTAACTCTGTGAGATGAATGCACACATCCCCAATCAGTTTCTAAGATAACCTCCTTCTGGTTTTTATCAACAGATATTTTCTTTTTTGCCATTGGCCTCAATGAGTTCCCAAATGTCCATTCACAGAATCGACAGAAACAGTGTTTCCAAAATACTGAATCAAAAGAAAGGATTAACTCCTTGAGAAGAAGGACACATCATAAAACAGTTTCTCAGAAAGCTTCTTTCTAGATTTTTCTGAAGATATTCCCTTTTTCACCACAGGCCTCAATTTGCTGCCAAATATCCTGTTGCAGACTGTAAAAAAACAGTGTTTCCAAGCTGCTGAATGAAAAAAAGTTTAACATGGCGAGATGAATTCACACATCACAAAGCAGTTTTCAGATAGCTTCCTTCTCATTTTTATCCTGGGATATTTACTTTTTTGCCATTGTCCTCTATGAGCTCCCAAATGTCCTTTCGCAGAATGGACAAAAACAGTGTTTCCAAACTGATGAATCCATACGTTTTAACACTGTGAGATGAATGAACACATCACAAAGCAGTTTTTCTGAAAGCTTCTTTCTAGTTTTTATATGAAGAAAATTCATATTTCACTATAGGCCTCAAAGCACTACCAAATATGACTTCACAGATTCTAAGAAAACAGTATTTCCAAACTGCTGAATGAAAAGAATGGTTTAACCCTGTAAGATGAATACACACATCACAAATCAGTTTCTCAGATAACTTCCTTCTAGTTTTTATCCTGGGATATTAGCTTTTTCACCATTGACCTCGAGCTCCAAAATGTTCATTCATGGAATGGACAAAAAATGTCCTACCAAACTACTGAATCCAAAGAATGGTTTAACTCTGTGACATGAATGCACACATCACAAAGCAGTTTCTCATTAAGCTTCTTTCTAGTTTTTATCTGAATAAATTTCCTTTTTCACGATAGGCCTGAATGCTCTACAAAATATCTCTTTGCAGATTCTAAGAAAAGAGTGTTTCCAAACTGCTGAATGAAAAGAAAAGTTTAACCCTGTGAGATGAATGCACATATCACAGATCAGTTTCTCAGGTAACTTACTTCTAGTTTTTATCCTGAGTTATTCACTTTTTCGCCATTGGCCCCAGTGATCTGCAAATGTCCATTTGCAGAATGGAGAAAAACAGTGTTTCTAAACTGTGGAATCCAAAGAAAGTTTTAACTCTTTGAGATGAGTGAACACCTTTCAAAGCAGTTTCTAAGAAAGCTTCTTTCTAGTTTTTACCTGAAGAAAATTCCTTTTTCACCATAGGCCTCAAGTGCTCCCAAGTATCCCTTCACAAATTCTACAAAAACAGTGTTTACAAACTGCTGAATGAAAAGAAAGGTTTAACAATGGGAGATGAATGCACATATCACAAAGCGTTTCCTCAGATATCTTCCTGTTAGTGTTTACCCTGGAATATTTGCTTTTTCAGCATTGTCCTCAATGAGCTCCCTAATGTCCATTCACAGAAGGGACAGAAACAGTGTTACCAAATTGATGAAACCAAAGAAAATTTTATGTCTATGAGATGAATGCACACATCACCAAGCAGTCTCTCAGAAATGTTCTTTTGAGTTTTTATCTGAAGATATTTCCTTTTTCACTATAGGCCTCATTGCACTAACAAGTATCTTTTCGCAGTTTGTAAGAAAACAGTGTTTCCAAATTGCTGAATTAAATGAAAGTTTTAACTCTATGAGATGAATGCCCATATCACAAATTGGTTTCTCAGATAACTTCCTTTAGTTTTTATCCTGTGATATTCTGTTTTTGCCATTGGCCTCAGTGAGCTCCCAAAAGTCCATCTTCAGAATGGACAAAAAATGGTAACAATATTACCAAACTGCTGAATCCAAAGAAATGTTTAACTCTGTGACATGAATGAACACAACCTAAAGCAGATTCTCATTATGCTTCTTTCTAGTTTTTATCTGCAGATATTTCCTTTTTCACCATAGGCCTCAAGGCACTAAAAAATTTTGCCTTGCAGATTCTAAGAAAACAGTGTTTCAAAACTCCTGAATGAAAAGAAAAGTTTGAATCTGTGAGTTGAATGCATGCAACACAAATCAGTTTGCTCAGATAAACTCCTTACAGTTTTTATCTTAGGATTTTCCCTTCTTCACCATTGGCCTGGCCTCAATGAACTCCCAAATGTCCATTCACAGAATGGACAAAAACAGTGTTAACAAACTGCTGAATCCAAAGAAATGTTAACCCCTGTGAGATGGATGTACACATCCCAAAGCGCTTTCTCTTTCAGCTTCTTTCTAGTTTTTATCTGAAGATACTTCCTTTCTCACCATTGGCCTCAATGTGCTACCAAATATCTCTTCACAGATGCTAAGAAAACAGTGTTTCTCAATGGCTGAATGAAAAGGAAGGTTTGACTCTGTGAGATAAATGCACACATCAGAAATAGGTTTCTTAGATGGCTTTCTTCTAGTTTTTATCCTTAGATATTTGCTTTTTGCCAAGGCCTCAATGAGCTCCCAATGTGCATTCACAGAATGGACAAAAACAGTGTTTACAACCTGCAGAATCCAAAGAAAGGTTTAACTCTGTGAGATGAACACCTCAGAAAGCAGTTTCTCTCAAGCCTGCTTTCTAGTTTTTATCTGAAGAAAATTCCTTTTTCACCACAGGCCTCAATGCACTACCAAGTATCCCTTCACTGATCCTACAAAAATAGTGTTTCCAAATTGCTGAATGAAAAGAAAGTTTTAACACTGGGAGATGAATGCACACATCACAAAGCATTTTTTCAGATATCTTCCTTCTATTTTTTATCCTGTGATATTCGTTTTTTTGCCTTTGGCCTGAATGAGTTCCCAAATGTCCATTCGCAGAATGGACAAAAACAGTTTTTTCCAAACTGCTGAATGAAAAGAAAGGTTAACTCTTTTAGGTGAATGCACACATCACAAATTGGTTTCTCAGATAAATTCCTTCTAGTTTTTATCCTGATATATTTTCTTCTTCGCCCTGGCCTCAGTGAGCTCCCAAACGTTGATTTGTAGAATGGGCACAAACAGTGTTGCCAAACTGTTGAATCCAAAGAAAGTTATAACTCTGTGAGATGGATGCACACATCCAAAGCAGTTTCTCATTAAGCTTCTTTCTAATTTATCTGAAGACAAAGCCTTTTTCACCATCTGTCTTAATGCGCTACAAAATACCTCTTCTCAGATTCTAAGAAAACAGTTTTTCCAAATGTCTGTTTGAGAAGAAAAGTTTAACTCTGTGAGATGAATGCTCACATCATAAAGTGGTATCTCAGAGAGCATACTTCTGGTTTTTATCCTGGGATATGTGCTTTTTAGCCATTGGCCTCAATGAGCTCCAAATGTCCATTCGCAGAATGGACAAAAACAGTGTTTCCAAACTGCTGAATCCAAAGAAAGCTTCAATGCTGTGAGATGAATTCACACATCAAAAAACAGTTTCTCAGAAAGCTTCTTTCTAGTTTTTATCTGATGAAAATTCCTATTTCACCATAGGCCTCAATGCACTACCAAATATCTTTTCACAGATTCTAAGAAAACATTTTTTCCAAATGACCGAATGAAAAGAAAAGTATAACTCTGTGAGATGAATGCACACATCACAAACCGGTTTCTCAGATAGCTTCTTTCTAGTGTTTATCCTGGGAAATTCACTTTTTCGCTATTGGCCTCAATGAGTTCCCAAGCCTTCTTTCTCGTTTTCATCTGAATATAGTTCCATTTTCACCTTTGGCCATCATGTGCTGAAAAATATCTCTTGGCATTTTCTACAAAAACAATGTTTCCAAACTACTATATGAAAGGAAAGTTTTAACACTGAGGGATGAATTCACAAATCACAAAGTGGCTTCTCAGGTAACTTCCTTCTAGTTTTTATCTTGGGATATTTGCTTTTTCGCCATTAGACTCAATGATCTCCCAAATGTCCATTCACAGAATGGACAAAAACAGTGTATACAAACTGCTGAATCAAAATAAAAATTTAACTCTGTTAGATGAAAGAATGCATCCCAAAGCGTTTCTCAGAAAGTGTCTTTCTAATTTTAATTTGAAGATATTTCCTTTTTCACCATAGGCCTCAAAGAGTTGCCAAATATCC